>NC_000002.12:12157291-12464047 GCF_000001405.40 Homo sapiens
TTTTGTTTTTGTTTTTGTTTTTTTTTGAGATGGAGTCTCGCTCTGTCGCCCAGGCTGGAGTGCAGTGGCGCGATCTCGGCTCACTGCAACCTCCGCCTCCTGGGTTCAAGTGATTCTCCTGCCTCAGCCTCTCGAGTAGCTGGGACTACAGGCACGCAGCACCACACCCAGCTAAATTTTGTATTTTTAGTAGAGACGAGGTTTCACCGTGTTGGCTAGAATGGTCTCGATCTCCTGACCTCATGATCCACTCGCCTCAGCCTCCCAAAGTGCTGGGATTACAGGCATGAGCCACTGCGCCTGGGGTTTATTCAGAGTTTCTAATCTGTTTTTAAACATAGCTCATTTATAATTTACATTCCATGAGACTCACCTATTGTAAGTGTACAATTCAAGGAGTTTTAGAAAATTTACAGAGTAGTGCAACCATCAAACCAAATCTAGTTTTAGAACATTTCCATTACCCCCCAGTAATCCCCTTGACTTTGCAGTCAACCTCCATTCTCACTCCTAGCTTCAGCCAAGAACCGATCTGCTTTTGGTCTCTATCAATTAGCCTTTTCTGGATGTGTCATAAAAATGGAATAATATGCTATATAGTTTTTTCTGGCTTCTTTACTCTTGGCATAATTTTTTAAGGTTCATTTGTGTTGAAGCAGGTTATCCCTATTTTGTCCTTTTACAATGCTGGGTGGTATTTAAGTATACAGCTGAAATACATTTTGCTTATCAATCCATTGTGTGATGGACAATTACATTGTTTCCAGTTTTGGCTATGAAGAATAATGATGCTATATGTTCATGTGCAAATCTTTGTGTGGATATATATTTTTATTTCTCTTGGGTATATTCCTAAAAGTAGAGCTGTTGGGTTTCATGGTAAGTTTGTGTTTAACATTTTGAGAAACTTTCAAACTGTTTTTCTAAAGTAACTGTATCATTTTGTGTTCCCACCAGCTACGAGGGCATGGCGGCGGGGTTTTCCAGTTACTCCACATCTTTGTCAACGCTCGATATTATCTGGCTTTTAAAATTCGAGCTATTCCAGTGGTTGTGGAATTTACCTAATTACTAATGATAAACACCTTTTCAGATGACTGTTAGTCATTTATATGCCTTCTTTGGTGAAATATCTGTTTAAGTCTTTTGCCAACTTTGTATTTGGCTTTTTGGGCATCCTATTTTTGAGTTAATGAGTTTTTACATTTCTGATGCATGTGCTTCATCAGATACATGGTTTGCAAATACTTTATTTCAATGTGTGGCTTGTTTCTTTCGTTATCTTAATGGTATCTTTTGAAACACAAATATTTTAAATTTTAATGGAGTCCAATTTATCATTTCTTTTTTTCCTTTATGGCTCATGCATTTGGTATTGCATCCAACAACTCTTTGTCTAACTAATATCTCAAAGGTTTTCCCCTATGTGTTCTTTTAGAAATCTTATCATTTCTCACAGTTATATTTAATATATGATCCATTTGTAGTTAATTTTTGTGTATGATGTGAGATAAGAGTCTAGGGTTTTTTTTTAATTTATATGAATCTTCCATTTTCCTTTCCATTTTTATTTTATATGAATCTTCCATTTTCCTAGCACCATTTGCAATTCATTGAAAAGATTACCCTGCTGAGTTGCTTTGGAATCTTTGCTCAATGTCAGTTGACTATAAATACAAGGTTTTTTGTGGACACCAATTCTATTTCATTAGTTGATGTACCTATCCTTCCACACTATCTTGATTACTATAGAGTTATAGTAAGTTTTGGCATTAAATAATGTTCTCTAACTTTATTATTTTTGTTTTCAAAATGGTTTTGGCTTTTCTAGATCCTTTGTATTTTCATATAAATGTAGGTTAGCATGTCAATTTCTACTAAAAATTCTCCTAGGATGTTGATAGGGATTGTGTGGAATCAATAAATCAATTTAGTAAAAAGTACCATCTTTACAATACTAAGTCTTCAACTCCATGAGCATGAGATGCCTTTTCATTTCCTTCTAGCAATATTTTGTAGTTTTCAGAGTAAAAATTATCCATTCCTTTTGTTAAAATTTTTCCTAAATATTTTATTCTTTTTAGTGCCATTATGAATTGCATTATTTTCTTGATTTCATTTTTGGATTGTTTATTGCCAGCATATACTCCAACCTGCTAAGCTCATTTATTAGTTCTAGTAGTATTGTTGTGCATTCTTTAGAATATTTTTACATATAAGATTGTGTCATGTGATTTTTTACATATAGGATTGTGTCATGTGAATAAAGAGTTTTATATCCCTCTGTCTAATCTTTTTTCCCCTAGCTTTCTTTCTTTCTAGTTTTTCCTTTTTTCTTCCTTCTTTCTTCCTTCCTTTCCTCCCTACCTCCTTCTTTCCTTTCTTCTTTTTTTCTTCCTTTCAATGTAATGTTAAATAGAAGAGACAAAATTTACATCCTTGCAGTGATTGATATTAGGGGGAAAGCATAAAGTCTTCACTACTAAATATAAGATCAATGGTAGGTTTCTTATAACTGTCCTTCATCAAGTTAAGGAACTCTTCTATATCTACCTGGTTTAGAGCTTTTTATTTTTTTTATTTATTTTCTATTTTTTATCATGAATAGGTGTTAGATTTTGTCAAAGGCTATGCTAAAAAACTTTATATTCCTGGGGTTAACCACACTTGGTAATAGTGTTTAACACTTATTGTAAGTTGCTGGATTTAGTTTTCTAATATTTTGCTAAAGATTTTGCATCTATGTTTATAAAGGATATTCGTTGGTAATGTTCTTTTTTTTGAAATGTCTTCATTTGACTTTGATAGCAGGGTAACAGTCCTCTCACAGAATAAGCTAAGGGAATATCTCTCCCTCCTCTATTTTTCAGAAAAGTTTGTGACTTTTCTAAAAAGTGATTCATCAGTGAATTCAGCTGGGTCTGGGATTTTCTACATAGAAAAATTTATAATTTTTATTTCAATTTATTTAGTTATAGATATATTAAGATTTTTCTATTTCTTCTGGGGTCAGTTTTGGGATAATTTGTGTCTTTCTAGGAAAGTATCCAGTTCATTTACATTTCTTAATTTCTTGGTAGAAAATTATTTATAATGTTCCCTTATAACCCTTATAATAAAAAAGTACTTGTTTTTATTTCTAGTTTTGTAATTGGTATCTTTTCTATATTTTCTGTTCCAGTCTAGCTAAGGGCTTGTCTCTCTTGTTGATCTTGTCAAAAATACAACTTTTGTTTTCACTGATTTTCTCTATTGTTTTTCTGTTTCTATTTCCTTGATTTCCAGTTGTTATTCTTTTTTTTTTTTTTGGCTAGGTTTGCTCACCTCTCACGTCTGCTGGGTACAAAAGAGCACATGGGTTCTGAAGACCAGGACTATGCTCCTATCTCTGTTGTGCATGTGAGTGCCCTGTGGTCAACCCAGGATGTGCGGGCAGCTTCTCAAAGCCCATCACCATCACTTCATCCCATCCTCTCAACCCCCTGTAAAATCCCTCACTTGTCCACCAGTTATTAATTCCTTGACTATTCCCTTCGTCCCCTGCTTGCCCGAAAAGGACCTCAGCCTCAGGATGGTGGAGCTGCCTGCTCTCACTGTTGCTTGTCACTTGAACTGACAACACCTCGAATCACATTAGCTCTCGGAAAGTGGTAATGGATGGAGCTTATTGTTTTCACAGCCTCTGCCTTTGCCCATGTTGTTGAACTATTGACAGAGTTGGGGGTGGAGATGGGAGCAGCTCTGGGCAGAACATCCCAGATTCCTGCTGTTCTTAAAAGAAATTCAGTAGTTTTCTGAAAAACTGCTTCTCAGTTTGTTGTATGACTTGGGTTGGTTTCCAGAGGACTGAAGTGGCTGTTTTAGGCAGGTTTGTCCAAATTTATTGTTGCTTTATGGGGAGATGATTTTATTGTGATGGCAGTTGTACATATGCTTGTTTGTTTTGGCTTTTATTTTAGCTTTGGATGGTGTCCTTTGTTCACATTAAGTCTCCTGTGGGAGGCAGGAGCTCAGAACCCCAAACAGACACCGTGGAGTTGCTTACATTGCAGACAAGAGATGTCCCATGCCTGCTTTCCTTCCATCCATCTCCCAGCTGCTCTCAAACTCCCTGTGCAGGAGCTGCTGCAGCATGGTTTGAAAACCACTCCATCCAATCCAGGAACTTCCTTTAATTTGGGAAATCAAGGCCCCCAAAGGGAGGGGACTGCCTTGGGTTCATTCGTAGAGTGGCTGAGGAGAGGATGTCAGGACGCCAGCAAGTGGCAGCTGCAGTCGGAATAGGCACCTCCTTGTGCCATGAGGGGCCTGCACTTTCATCTGTTGTTGGGAGAGGGTGGAACTCCAGCTTTATTGTCTTGTCCTTTTTAGGTGGAAGCCCACAGCAGAACTTAACACTGGGAAACAGTACACAGTACCTAAGAATTCCTGGCCGCCTTTCTTTCCTCTCCTCTCAGCTCTGCCGTCCTTCCGCAAGGCCATAATCACCACCAGTGAGGGTGAGAGTCATGTGCACATCACTGCCTTAGTACAGCTTAGTTCCCTGTTTCATCTGACGCACGCTGGGCACCTAGTGTGTGTCAGATGAAACAGGGCCAAGGCCTAGTCCTCAGCCTGCTGTGTGAAGTCCTTTTGTGTGTGTGTGTGTGTGTGTGTGTGTGTTGGACACTGAGATCTGGGTTTTATCCATATTTTCCCATTTAGCCCTTACAGTATCTTCTAACTTGTATTGCCCCCAGGCTGTAAATGTGATAAATGAGACTCAGAGAAGTGAAAAAACATGCCTGATTCTCACCCAGCTGTGGATGAAGCTGGAATCTGACTTGGAGTTTCTGCATTTCAAAGCCTGTGCCTTATTCCACAGCGTGATACATCTTCCGAAATATGAAGGTCTCAGGGGGACAGTGGGACCTCCAGCCAAAAGTTAGGAAGACATTGGGATCCTTCATTATGCTGTGACCTCTGCAAAGGAAAGGTACCGCACTCCACACACACGCACACACACACCCCCCCACACACAACACAAAGACACATATGCCACACATCTGCCCGATGACACACACACACACACACACACCACATACACAACACAGACACATATACCACATACCCCTAACCACACACACACAACACAAACACACATATATCACACAACTCCCAACCATACACACAAACACAAACCACATAACACACACACACCATACACATACCACCACATATACCACCTTCTACACACACACACCACACATATATTCACATACATGCATATACCACATACCACACACACATACCACACCACATACCACACACACACAAATATAAACCACAGACACACACATCACACACACACACCATGCACCACCCATACCACATACAGGCAGACACGTCCCAACCCACCATTTATACAACTGCAGCTATTGCAGCACTTTGGGGTCAGCGCCTAATTTTGTCAACTAAGGTATAATTAGACAAAGTTTTCAAAGGCGTAATTTTCTAGCAAGGTGCACTTCAAATGCACCCTGGGGAGTAGTGTAATTTTGTTTTTCTAAGACAGAACACCCATTCTTCACAGCTTCTCTGCCTTGGGAAGAGAGAGCAGGTTGGTGGAGGAGTTTAGCAGATTTATTGCCATGAACATAGTGTTTGAGACAGAAGGCAAGCTGTCATAGCCTGACATGCAGGAAACTTGGGATAAATATTTCTGTTGACTCTCCATGGATTCGTTATCCTCACATGCCCTGGTTCAGGGGTTCTCCTGTTGGCGTGAACTCAGTCAAAGGATTAGTTCTTGTCCCGAAGGAATTAATGGGGGTGGTGGCATGGGGTGGGGGAGAGGGAAGAAGGGGGAGGGCATTCATGAAAATCACTGGAAAGTAAATCAGAGGTGGAATGGTGAGGTAACAGTCACGTATTCACGATTACCCTCTCTTCCAAAAACAGACCAACCGGGCATTGAAAAACATAAATAACAGGTTACTATATTTGAAAGAATAGCTCATAATAGCTGACATTTATACACTGGATACATTGCTAAGCATGTAGCACATATTCATTTAGCAAATTTTATTAAAAACGTGCTATGTGTCAGGTTTGGTCAAAACTCTCATAGCACTTACATTCTTGGGGAAAGGGAAGAAAGGCAACGGTTCACGCGATGAAAGGAAACTCTCTGTAATGTTGTGATCAATGCTAGGACGCTCACAGCCCACAGGACGAATTCCAATATTGGCAGCGAGCACGCGACCCACCCCCAGGCTTGGGGCTATCCTGGTCTGGTCTCCACTGTGCCCTTCACGGCCCCACACTGCAGTGGGGGGCTGCCTACCTGCATGTCATAGACCATGTTTGCTTGTACCCCAGGGGCTTGGATCATCTGGTTCCCATTTTCCTGTAGGAGATTCTCTTTCCCCTCCTTCATTCCCCTTCCTCTCAGTTTCAGTCCCTCCTCCACTGCATCTCCTGCCTGCCCTCGGCCACCTCCAGCCATGCAGTAGCTGGGTCCATCCTTGCTGCCCCCCATCGTGCTGTGCTCTCCTCTCTTGTGACACATCTCTCCTTTTATCCCCCGGCCAGCCTTCCACTGTCTGAACCGCTCAATACCGGAAACACCCTGTCCCCGACCGATCTCAGAATTGCAAAAACATGTTCTTTAGACTTCGCCTCATTTAGGATGCTCTGGCTCACGGCAACCTGCTGTGTGGCAGGTGGTCCTGGGCACCGAGCTGGCCAAGCCAGAGGCGCAGAGGCAGAAAGCTGTTGAGGTTATTTCTACTCCCCTTTCTCTACTGGGCCCTAGCTTCTTGCTACACTAAAGCTTGCACGCTCATTCTCAAGAGCTCGCCCCCCACTGATACCTCCCTGGGGCTTTGGCCTTCTCTTGCTCCTGGATCTCAGCTTAGCTCCTGACATGCCTGCGCTCACACATGCTAACATGGGCCTGTGACATTGCTGTTACTCCCGTGGAGGCTGGGTCACTCTTGCTTTTCTAGGTCTTCCTTTGCCCCAGCTGAGACTTAGCCACAGTCATATTCAATAACAATTCTGTTCTCCTTGTGCAGAATGATGGCAGCTTTAGAAAATAGATGAAATGGTTCATGTAATGATGGCCTAAGGGTTTGGCCATCATTTGGATTCCTCTGTTTGTCAGGAGACTGGGGTATCTGGAGGGCTCAAAGCTCTGTAATGTGATGCAATTATTGGTTTATTTGTCTGGTCCTTCCACTGGCTAAGACTCTTTTTCTGAGAAAGCAAACAGAATTTTAGCTCCAGAATATGAGCACCTGGGCTAGTACTTTGGTAGGTGCTCCCTGAATATTTATAGACTAAATCGCTATTTGGATAATCTGAAATTTACACTGTGAATTCTGTAAAATTAAGGTCCATTTCCTATCTCTAAATCCCTAGCGTATTTGCCAACCATCCACTGAGTATTTAACATGTGCCAGACCCTGCACTGGCACTGAGGATGGAGAGATGTATGAGACAAGCAGGAAGACCTCGGATGGGGCAGAGGCCCATATGCAGGTATCAGAAGAGAACCTAACACCAACACGGGTAACAGCAATGCGGAGGAGGAGGCTGTTCACTCCTCTCTGAAGTGGTTAAGAAAGGACTCATAAGATCCCTGGGTATTTTTTTTGAAATAGAGGTGGGAGAAAGAGCTTCGGCTCTGAACCTGGATGCTATTGATGTGGTGCTTGCTGTGATTATTCTTATAGATAGCATGGATTGAGTCCTGATGGTGTGCTTGGTACAAAGCTGAGTGCTCTCTAAGATCATCTCATTTATTCTACTGTAAGGCAGGCTGCTATATAAGGCAGACTCTAATCATCCCCATTTTGCTGGGGATAAGTGAGGTTAAGTTATTTATTCATGTCACGGGCAGTAAGTGGTAGAAGAAGAAGCTTTTCATTATTCCAATTTGGTGACCTTGAATCTCATGGTCTCTACAAAGCCTTCCCTAACGATTGCACATCTTCGGGAATTCTCCTTTCCTTGAATTATCATGGTACTCTGAAACTTTTGCTACACACCATCTTTTCCATCATTGCACATTAGTCATGCTTCTCTAATAGCTTAGTGGTGGCTAGTCCTACTACCTAATCTGTTAATAATTTTTTTTTTAAATGAAGGAAGCAAAGTCACCTACAGGTGAGCACTGGCACAAAACACAGTAGTGTTCTAGTCCCTTGCACATTTTCCTCTCAGCTTGTTCACCGCAGTAGCTGTCATGAATATTATTTCAATCAGGTATCCTGACACACGTGTGTTCCTCCATTGTGATTTTGGACAAGTTATATGACTTCTGTAAGATTTTATTTAGTTGTCTGTACAAAAAGGATACTCTCTTCCTTTGGGGTGACTTGGGAATTACTGGATATGGTGCACATGAAAGCAATCAGCTTTAATTTCCTGACTTTTTTCCCTTGAGATAATATGTAAAGCTGAGTGTTGCTTCCAATAATAGGGGAAATGATCTAGTATTCCATTTATATGGCAGAATGTTGATTTGGGAATGTAATTAGACTTAGATCAAGAAATCAAGGTCAACCAGGCAGGGTGGCTCACACCTGTAACCCCAGCACTTTGGGAGGCAGAAGTGGGAAGATCGCTTGAGTTCAGGGGTTCAACACCAGCCTGGGAAGCATAATATAGACTCTATCTTTCCAAAAAAAAAAAAAGAAAAGAAAAGAATATTAGTTACACTTGGTGGCATGTGCCTATAGTCCCAGCTACTTGGGAGGCTGAGGCTGAGGCAGGAAGATTGCTTGAGCGTGGGAGGTCAAGGCTGTAGTGTGCTGTGATGACACTACCTGTATTAGGGTTCTCTAGAGGGAAGAACTAATGGGATAGATATGTAAAGGGGAGTTTATTAGGTATTAACTCACACGATCACAAGGTCCCACGATAGGCCGTCTGCAGGCTGAGGAGCAAGGAGAGCCAGTCGAAGCTCCAAAACTGAAGAACTTGGAGTCCAATGTTTGAGGGCAGGAAGCATCCAGCAGGGGAGAAAGATGTAGGCTAGGAGGCTAGGCCAGTCTCTCTTTTCACATTTTTCTGCCTGCTTATATTCTAGCCTCACTGGCAGCTGATTCGATTGTGCTCACCCAGGTTAAGGTTGGATCTGCCTTTCCCAGACCACTAACTCCAATGTTAATCTCTTTGGGCAACATCCTCACAGACACACCCAGGATCAATACTTTGTATCCTTCAATCCAATCAAGTTGACACTCAGTGTTAACCATCACACGTCCGTCTGCACTCCAGCCTGGGTGACAGAGACCCTGTCTCAAAAAGACCAAAATCAAAACACCCACACAGAAAAAGAGGGCTCAATTCCGAACTTTAGCTCCTATTAGCTCTGCAGTTTGGGACATGTAATTTATCTCTCTGTACTTTTCACCCTTTTATTCATAAAACATTTATTAAGCAATTCTTATTTTCAGAACCCCTAGAGCAATCAACAGACAGACAGAGCCCTGCTTCATGGAGCGTCTGCTCTCTCCTGGAGCTCACACGCTGAAACAGACAGGATGCAACACCTCAGGGTTGTTGGAGAACCAGGTAAAGCACTATGAAAACAAAGATGTATTTTATAAATATAATTAATAGAAAGAACACAGTATTTGGAGTCAAAGGACTTGGACTTGAAACCTGGTTTTATTCTTCCTGAGCTAGTGGCTTTGGAGTGAATGCAGGCCACTGGCTTTAATTTCTTTATCTGTTAAATGGAACAATATTCCCCTCGTCACAGCATGGTAGGACAGTTAAATGCAATGTCTGTGAAAGCATTTTATGAATAGGAAAACAATCTGTGAATATCAGTCATTTGTTAATTATTAGTCATTTAAAATGAAGCATAAGGAAATCTCTTATCTCAGAAATTAAAATATGTCTGCAATCAACAATTGCTCAGAGGATTGTCACATTGATAATTGATAAAGCATGTTAGGAAACTGGTAAGCATTGGTTAAAAGGTCCGGAGATGCCCACCAGAGTAGGCTGCCTGCAGAGCCAACAGAAGTTGGCTTAGTGATAAGCGATCTCTGGATGATACTGACCCATGGGGTCACTCCAAGCCCATTGCTGTAGCTCTGGCCTTCCTAAGAATGCTCCTGATGCTTAGTGCATTTCTCACTATCGGGAGAAGGACAGTCCAACAGTGTCCACAGAGAATCTCAGGCTAGAAGTCTGTTCTTCAGTAGAAGGTGAGAAATTTGCGTAAGGCACCTCTTTTGTTTTGTTTCAGTTACCCACGAGCTTGATTAGTGTGGCTCACCCTCTAGTGCCTCCTGATTTAGGGAGAAAATAAACTTCTCAGCTACCCAAAGCCGAGGGTGAACTGCCTGCCCTGGGTCCTGCCTGCACAGGCCGTCTAGCACCGTCTCCTGACGACCTCAGAGGGCTGCCCCAGGGGGCAGCAGAGACCACTGGCAGGGCTGAAACAGGGTCCTTGTCTGAGGAGACAATGGCTCATTGTGCACAGTGACCTGCTGTATTCTAGGCACTGTGACTGGCCAGGAGTGAGTGGTCATTGTGCATACGGTATACAGACACATAACAAAATTCATCTTTACAACACACTGGGAGGCGGGCAGTTGCAGATCCTGAGTGAGAGAACCAAGGGACTTGCATGAAGTGGAACGATTGAGTGTAATGTGTGTCTTTTTCCATGCACAGCCCTTGCTTTAGGTGTTATCTCAGGCAGGATGTTCAAGGAACGGAGGGATACATGAGGGAGAAAGACAGGAAGGAGCCCCCAGCCCCCAAGAGTAAACCAAGGCCCCAAGGCACTGCGCTAAGTGCCACCAGAGAGGCAGATGTCAAAGGTCAGAGAAACAAAGGTCACACCTAGCCAAGGACATCAGTTCAGGCTTTCTGGGGGAAGGAGCATCTTGAGGAACAAGACTACGTCAGGTGGAAAAGCAGATGACTGAACAGGCATTCCAGGAGAAGGAATGGTGTGAGCGGCGCCATCCTGGAAAGCTGAAACCCCAAGGTGAGATTTTACTGAGAATCTGAGAACACTTGTGTCTATTTCTTTTGAGGGACATATTCTAAAACTGCAAGGTGGATAGGAAAATAGAGCCAGCAGGAAATTAACGCAGTAATAGCAGCATACTGGCCCTGAGCAAAATGAGAGCACAGCTATCTTCTGAAGAGCTGAACCATGTCAATTCACCTGGTGCCTAGGGCACTTCTGACTTTGGAAATCCTGTTGACATTGATCAAGCTGAACCAGCCTAGCCTGAACATGATGACAGCCACTACTCAGCCTGTGCTCTTCTCAGCCTGGACTGGAGCTGCACGAGCTCTGCCTGACCACTTCACGTGGTCTCTGGGAAAGTCAGATCCGAAGGAAAGAAGGCCACAGGGGGCCCAGAGAGAAGAAGGTGAACTTTAGGCCCTGGCTGGATCCGATTCGGAGTTGAACAGATTAAGTTCCAAGATTAGAACCAGACTGTCCTGACTGTACAGGTGTAGGGAAGTCACCTTAAGCTTTGCATGTTAAATTGCAGTCTCTTTATCTCTAAAATGGAGATGATGATTCTGCCTTCAAGGTTTGATGTCAGGATAAGAGGAAGTAACACAGGAAAAACAACTAGCAAGGGGCCTAGTCAATGGGAGGTGCTGGAAAACATTAGTTTCCATTGCCACTGTGGAATAGTTAGAATGAGGCAATCATATAGAAAAATAATTAGACTCTTTCCTATCCTCAAAATACTCAAGTTCTCTGAAAATGCAATGTGATTATTTTTAATCAGCTGATTGGGATCCAGGATGACTTCATAGTCTTGTGAACCTAATTGAAACACATCCAGCTCTTATTGCTGTGAATTGGAGAACTGCAGGCTGCTCTGAACTCACAGTGACCCCTGTACAAATGACCATTTCATCAACTGCCTGGGGAGGAGGTTCAGAGGCATGAAAGGGAGACACGGGCAAGGACATAAGCTCATTTCCTTCTGGGGCTTGAGGAGTTCGTCAACAACATTTTAGTGATTCAGTAATGAGTTGCTGGTTCCCTAGAGGCGAAACAGGTCTCATGCTTCCCTAGGGAGGCATGAGACTACCAGAAGATAGTTTCCTATCTCGTACATCATCTCTTGATTTTACCATCTGACCTGTTCAGTTTATCTTTGTATGGTTTCCAGCTCCTAATTGCATACCCTGGCATGACCCAGCCACCTCCATTGAGCCCTTCATGGCACATGACTGTACCTTCCGGCTGTTTTCAGGCTGGTGAGAGAGACCCTTTCATATTTATCCTCTTGGTAGCACAGTCTTCTCTGCAGCTGAAGATAGAAGCCAGGGTAGTGATTCTAAGTGACACTTCAGATGTCACTCTTCAGCTACCTGAGATGAAAAATTGGGATTCCTGTTTCATACAAAAGGAGCTTGAAATTGTACCCAGGGTATGGGAAGATGCCAAGATGGTGGCAGCTACTGAATGCTGGGATCTTATAAATAAATAGAGGCTCAGAGAAGTTTCAATGACGCAGCTGGTACGTCAGGGCCAGTCAGAGAGGGACTTAGGTCGGTGTGATCTCACATCCAGTGCCTCTTTGTTCATCTCAGACCCGCTTCTGAGGCCAAACCAGGGCAGTGACAGCAGGAAGGAAGGGGAGGAGTGGTTCCAGAATTCCTTGTGGTATGAGAGGCATGACGTGCCACACAACACGTCTCCTAATGCTGGGTGACTGTGAAAAAGCCTCTAACTATTTTATTGTAAACCCCAGCAAATGCCAGGGCAACCTAATGACTTGGATTCTCCACAAAGAGAAAGCTTTTGGCACTGAGACAAAGACCTTAAATCCTCCTAAAGTTAAAATGAGCCCTAAATTTGCATTTCAGCTCCCTTCTTTGATTCTTTAGTGGTTTAACTTTGAAATGAAACACAAATTTCTTGGGGGATTTTTCTAAACTGGTTGCAAAGACCAGATGACCAGCTTCCCCGGCTCCTGTGTGTTTAGACCCTGTCATCACAGCCTGTGTGTCCGTCCCAGTCCCACTGCAGGGACTCAGGCAAAAATAGTAAGTGAGGTCAGACCTCAAAGGAAAAAAAAGCCCTTGTTATCTAAACAGAAGGAATCAAATCATCTTTTAAGTCTAAGGTTAAGAAATGCCTTACTCCTACTTGGATCTGTGTTTGTGGATGAATTACTTAATCTTTCATTCATTGGTACACGGGCTCAGAATGTCTTCTGCGAGCCGGATGCCAGGGAGGATGAGATGTGGGCCTGGACACAGCAGGTTTGCCGTGAGGCCAGTGGTGCTTGAGCTTCAGGGTACCTCACCACGCTCCTGGCCTCTTCCAAGGCAGAGGGGCCTTGGTGATGTGGCACACGGTCTTAGGATTTTGTAAAACACTTATATGTAACACTTAAACGTAAACACTCCCTCAAAAGACTTTAACTTCCATGAGACCTGAGCGCTCTCTGGTCCTTTCCCATGAGAAGCCTGGGTCTTGTGGGAGAGACATTCATTCAAACAAATGAATTCCCAAGCACATCAGAGGCACTAAGGTAGAAGTCAGGCAGGGCACAGTGGTACACAAAGGAGGGACCCCTGACCTGCTGAGAATACTGTTCCTACATCTAGAGCTTGGAGTAGGGTTCCGTCCTGTTTCCATGCCAACTGGGTGGATTGCAATTCAATGCTGATCCAACTACCTGGAGTTAGCGCAGGACTCTACATGTCAAAGGCTTAGGCCTCCACAAGACTGCCCTGACCAGATGCCAGCCACACTATGGGGGTCTCCAGGCCATTGCACTTCTATCCAACTGGTTATAAATTCAAGGGCTCCTGTATTAGTCTGTTCTCACACTGCTCTAATCTGTATTAGATTAGACATATGGAATCTAGACATACTAGACACTGGGTAGTTTATGAGGAAAAGAGGTTGAATTGACTCAAGTTCTACATGACTGGAGAGGCCTCAGGAAACTTATAATTATGGTGGAAGGGGAAGCAGGCACATCCTACATGGCGGCAGATGAAAGAGAGAGAGAGAGAGACAAGAGGTAAGAGCCCCTTATAAAACCATCAGATCTCATGAGAATGCACTCACTATCATGAGAACAGCATGGGGGAAGCTGCCCTCATAATCCAATCACCTCTCTCCCTCCACATGTGGGGATTACAGGCCCCTCCCTAGACATGTGGCGTTTACAATTAAAGATGAGATTTGGGTGGGGACACAGAGCCAAACCACATCAGTTCCCATGACCCCCTCAGGTTTGATAATTTGCTAGAACAACTCACAGAACTCAGGCAAACACTATACTTTATGATTACAGTTTTATTATAAAAGGGACACTTAGGGAAAGTTCTGGCAGTGTGTGAACTTAAGTGCAGAGCTCCTGTGCCCCCTCCTGTGGAATGGGGGTGCATTGACCTCCTGTGGAATGGCGGTGCATCGACCTCCTGTGGAATGGGGGTGTATCGGCCTCCTGTGGAATGGGGGTGCATCAACCTCCTGTGGAATGGGGGTGCATTGACCTCCTGTGGAATGGGGATACATTGACCTCCTGTGGAATGGGGGTGCATCGACCTCTGCAGCACATCCATGTGTTCCCCGGCAGAAACCCCCCTGCCCTTCCCGGTCCTCCTCATCAAGCTGTGTGTGTTTGGCAGAGCAAAGATCTGGGGTTCTTGAGCTGGAGCTCTGGCCCCTGGGTGACATCCCCTAAGCTCCTAGTAGCTACCAGTCCTGCTGGATGCCCTGCTCACATCTTGGAGTTGATTAAACTCAAGAAAATAGGTGGCTTGGAAAGAAAAACCTCAGGATTCCCCTCTCTCTGGCCACACTGAGCCTCAAAGCTGATATGGCTCTGCTGGGGTTGGTGAGGGCAAGAGACCTTTTGTGCTGTCACTTTCCTTGTCCCTTTCTAGTACTGAGAGGGGAATGTCTAGGTAGTTTCAGCTTGACGTGTGCTCATACTCTCTCTCCCTGTCTCCTTCCCACCATCCACTGGCATTGGAAAAGAGTGAGCTTTTGGTCCCCAGTTGCCATATACTCTTCCCCTCAAGCAGCAGCAAGCCCACACCTTTGCTGTCAGAGGAAGAATTGAAGAGGTGGCTTTAATAGGTGAACCTCCTTACCCAGCACCCCGTTCCCATGCCTGTGATCCTATCTTCCATGCCTGAGGCATCTGTTTTTAGTTTTTAAAATTAATGTTTTAATTTAGAGATAATTTTGATTCACATGCAATTGTAAGAACTATTACAGAGACCCTGTGGTGTACCCTTAACTCAGTTTTCCCTAGTAGTAACATCTTGGACAACTATAGGAGAATATCACAACTAAGGCATCGAGATTAATACAGGCAAAGCATAGAACATTTCCATCATCACAAAGAGCCCTTCTGTTGCCCTTTTGTAGCCACACTCATTTCTCTTCCATTCCTATCCCCTTCTTAACCCCAGTAACCATTAATTAGTCTGCCATTTCTATGAAGAGATCCACTGTAAACATAGGTGCACAGGTTTTTGTGTGAACTTAAGTCTTTATTACTGTGGGATAAATAGAGGAATCCATTCCGTAAGATGTTCTAACATCCCCTCTGGAGGATGGACACTTTGTAGAACCATGGCCAAGGTTAAGTACTTAGGAAAACAACAGGTAATACATTAAAAATTTAGATATTGCCCTCTCAGACGATTATTAAGACATGTATTTGCCCATGTTAGAAAATATGATGAAGATATTTTTCAGATTGCATATAATAAAAATACTATGTAAACATAATTATAGAAAAAATCATTTGCCATTTAGTACTACTTTCCAAGCACACATAGGCAGGAATAGATCCAAAATCCCTGGAGAGAGTGAAGCTGGTAAGTAAGAAAGATTTATTTTTCACATGTTGAGGGGAAGTCCTCACTGCTGTGCCTGGGCTGGTACCATCACACTAAGTGTCAGAGAGTGACGCCAAAGGAGATGTTTTCCTTTCAGAACTCTAATCACTAGTGAATCCCTCCCTCCCTTCCTTCCTTCTCTCTTGCTCTCTCTCTTCCTTTCTCTCTTTCTCTCTCCTTCCTTCCTTCCTTCTCTCTCTTTCTCTATAACTCTGTTGTCTATCATCTCTGTCCATCTCTATCTGTCCATCTACCTATTTATCTATCACTATCTGTTAATATATCTATCTGTCTATCATCTGTCTCTGTCACTCTATCATTCTATCTATCATCTATTTATGTATCATCTATATAATCTACCACTATCTATTATCTATCTATCTATCTATCTATCTATCTATCTATATCTATCTATCTATATCTGTCCCTCTATCTAATCTATCAATCACTCCTACTACATCTATCATCTATCTATCTATCTATCTATCACTATTTATCTATCTATCATCTATGTAATCTATCTTTTTTTTTGCAAGTTTGAAGGACTGAAGGAGCAGAGGGAGAATGCTCCAGTCACCCAGTGCCCACTAATGGCTGGGATAAGGACTACGCTGGGCAAGAACACAGGCATAAATGTGAATAGGATTTCATCCCTGTGGAAACTCCTTCCAGAGGGGAAGTGGGTCTCTCTCTGGGTCTCTAACAGCCTCATCTCAGGAGATAGTGACTGGCTTGTGTCTTTCTTCCTTTCTTGGAGTCCTAATCCCTCAAGCATTTCTGGATACTGAGATATTTCAGACCCAACACATCTAGCCCTTTCTCAGCTCCTTTAGAATTTCCTCTTTCCTTCCACTTTTTTAGAGATAATATGTGGATAGAAAGAGTACTGAAAAAGACTTAACCTTCTGGTCTCCTTACATCCTCCCTTCCTGAATTGCAGGCAGTACAAAAGTCACATTCCAAAATGATCACAGGACCAACTGCTCAGAGAAAAGTGATAGGTCAGCATTTCTGCATGGTAGCTGTCACCAAGTGCAATCTATCCTTATGGTATTTATATATTTTCGTTGAGGTATTATTGCATCTAGTAAAATACACAAATCTCTCAGGTCCAAAGCTAGATGGATTTCTTACATCAGTGTGTACGTTTGTAACAACTGTTCAGTCATGATATAGAACATTGTCATCATCCTGGATGGTCCCTCGGGCCCCTTCCTACTCTGTATTCACCCCCTCAAGGTTAGTACTGCTCTGATTTCTGTATTCTGGCTGAGTTTTATAAATTTAGGTTTAAACTATGGTTAACAATTTATAGCAGAATGCATGTGCAGCAACACATAAAAAGAGGAAACATTTTAGAGAAATATAAAAATGTTAGATTTAGTATTTGATGAAGTAAAAAAAAATTTGCAAATAGATGAGCCGCACCCACTAGGAACCCATGAGGCAACAATGACCTAGATGTACAGATAGGAGACCCTTGGTCCAAAGGTACACGGAAGGAAGACATTTTCTAAATTACCTTTTGGGTGTGCACTTGTTATTCATATAATCCCCAAACATCAGAGATGGGAGAGACTGAAGTCAGCACCTAGGTTCATCTCCTTTCTTTATAGAGCGGGAAACCAAGGCCCAGTGGAGCTACGACATTCACACAGGCCTCAGAACATGTTAATATCAGCACTGTGACATTACACTGTCCATCCTTCAACAGTAGGACATGGCTGTCTCTTCTGTTTACTTATCAAAGGATTAAAATAAAACATCAGTAAAAATTGAGAGACTTGGACTGTTATGGGCTGAATTGTTCTCCCCTAAAGTTGATACATTGAAGTCCTAATTCTGAGTACCTCAGAATGTGACTGTTTTTGGAGATGGGGCCTTTAAAGAGGTAATTAAGGGAAAATAAGGTCATGGGGTTGTGCTCATTCAATAGAACCCATGTCGTTACAAGAAGAGGAGTTTGGAATGCAGACATGAATAGAAGGAAGACCATGTGAAGACACAGCAGGAAGACGCCATCTACAAGCTAAGAAGAGAGGCCTTAGAGGAAGCCAGCCCTGCCAACACTTTGATTTCAAACTTCCAGCCTCTAGAACTGTAAGAAAAATACATTTGTGTTGTTTAAGCCACCCAGTCTGTGGTACTTTATTATAGCAACTCCAGAAAACTAATACATGGGCTGACAAAAGTAGCTGGTGTCTATTTGCTTATTCTATGTGTTCAATTATACATTTACTGAGAACCTAATATGTGCCTGTTACTCTGGGAGATGTTGCACTAAGGACTTTAAATATATTAACTCAATTAATCCTGAGCACAGACCTCTGAGGTAGGTATTGCTATACCCATTTTATAGATGAAGAAAGCAAGGCAAGACAAACTGAGAGAATTAGTCAAACTGACACACCAGCAGGTGGTAGAGTCACAGACATGTAAACGTGGGCAGTGTGGCCTGACAGAGTGAGTTGTGGGAGACAGAAGTCAGCAGGAACATGGAAGAGAATAATTCTCCCAGAAAAGGAGTGGAGATTTACGGAAGAGGAACTGAGGCTTGAAAAGTGAACAAGAGAGAATGACCGAAGGCGGTGGTAGTGGTATTTCCGTTTCAAGGCATGCAAAGAGGCGTGAAACAACATGGCAGTTTGGGAGAATTGTAAGTAGTTGTGCATTCGTTCAAAGAGAAGTGTTGAGTGAGAACACAGGGGCCAGATTACTAGGGTCTCGTATGATGAACTACTCTGGATGGAAGTGATCCTCTGGGCACTGGAAGACCCTGAAGAGGGTTAAGAAAGAGTGATCAGATTTGAATTTTATAAAGTGTTCAAGGAAGTGTGGCAGGGACTGCGGTTAGAGGCACACAGCCCATTTTCCAGGATGGCAGTGGTCTTGGCATGAGAAGGGTGAGCCAGGACTGTGGTCAGCATCTCACAGGGGATGAAGAAAAAGGAAAAAGTATCTGATGCTGAGAAAACAGAAAACGCAAGACTCAGTTTGCAGCAGATGAAGGAGAGAACAGGTCCAGAATCATTCCCGGTGTTTTGGATGACTTGACTAGGAGGCTGATGCCAGAGTTAGAGACAAAGTGGGTGCACACTCTGGGATCCTGGGTCCCATCGTGCAGAGGCTGCTGGCTCTCTGTAACCTGAGCTCAGAAGGATGGTCTGGAGGGGAGGCAGGAGAGGCATCAGTGTAGAGATGGGGACCCAAGCCAGGACAGTGAGTGAGAGCCTACAAAATGCAGAGGAAGTACAGCAGAGAGTTGGGGCAAGTTGGGGCAAAAATCTGGGTGGCCAGCAGCATACAAGAGATGTAGAGACAGTGGAGTCTGGAAGAAAAGTCTGGAAGGAATGATCTGATACACAGGAGGAAAACAAGATATGAATAGTCCCACCAAAACCAAGGGAGATGCTGTTTATAGGAAGAAGGTCTCTAACATTAGCTGCTGCAGAGACATGCCAGATGGTGAGGGCTGGACAGGTCTGGGCAGTGGCTCTATTGGAGAAAGTGAGCTGCAAACCAGGTTTCATCCTTAAAAGGAGTGTTTTGTCTTTTGTGATTGACATGATTCTCTGACTGATGTATCTAATTCATGATTTTTTTTTTCACAAATGCACATAGAGCTTTCAGTGTTACCCAGGTGAGCAATGCAGCAGGCAGGCTGCAGGCTCACATGTTGACACTCAGGTTCCACATGAGTACATGAATGTGACACAGCATTTCAGAACAACAAGAAAAAACGTGAACAAAATGAAAGAAAGAACTCCAACTGTCAATTTGATACTCAGAATTTAAAAATTCCCCAAATCTTATTAGAAATCAATAAAACTATGCCTAATTAGATGTAATGCGTCTTTCTTTTGAGAATGTAGGTTCATGGTCTCGTGGAACCAGTTCCTCCTGGTTTAAACAGAGTTATTGAAATGCAGGAAGGATGCTGGATGTCTGTGCTTCTTTTTTCTGAAAGGAACCTCTCAGTCCCTGGGTGACCCTGTGCTAATGAGTCTCCACTGGTGAGTCATCTCCCGGCCTGGACTCAGAGATGCTATCAGTTTCATTGAAGTCCCCACAGTCACCTCGGCTTCTCCAGCCTGCAACAGCTACAGGAAGGCCATTAGCTCAGCCGTGTGCCCTCCCTCCCCACACCACCCCAACTTGTCCCTCCTCTAATGTAATATTTGCAGACATGCCTGGCATTCGTTCCTAAAATGTATTATTCTACACACAAACACCCTTTGATCAGCTTGACAGGAAAACCAGAAGCATCACGTACATATTTGGTTTAGCAAAGCTGTAACGGGAACAGATGTCTCTGCAAAGACTATTTCAGAATGACCCTGAATGTGTCCTCTTTTTTTTTTTTCTGTAGAGAAATTATGGCCACATTTTTAATGATTCTTTCCAACTTGGAACTCTGCTGAGAGGTATCTCATTCATTCTCAGCCAGATTCCTGGCTCCCGGGCTGCAGTCCCGTGCAGGCTATAGGTTACTTGTTTGGAAGCATTTTCAGTGAATGAGGCCAGTCTGTGTTGTCCAGCTGGCAGGAGAGCAGCTGTGGACACATGGGGGAAATTGCACGTTTCTCCCTGTCACTAAGATGAGCCTGAGTGTCTCTCTTTCCTCAGGCAGCCAAGCAAACTTTCTGCTAGACCACACAGGCCCCAGTCACACTTACCCTGGGGCCCAAAGCAAAATTTTTCAGCTGCTGACAGGAAGAGTGTTTTTCTCTCTGGTTCTGTGAAGTCTGGAACCATGTGGCAGATGAAGTGGTTGCCTCAACTGGGTCACTGTTTGCTGGTCATGGGCTTCCACTGTGGAGCCAGCCCAGGGGAGGCCCAAATGGGAGGCAGCAGGGTGGGCTGCCCATGAGAAAAATGAACTGTTGAAAGAGCTGGACCTATTTGATTTGAACATCTGCACCATATCTTCCAGGATATTCTGTCCTGTCTACATTGTTGCCATTGACATGTCTTAGGTTGAATGACGTGATGGTGATAACAGATCATGAGATTTTCCTGTGTTATTTTTATGTTATGAGTGGTTTATTGAAGTGCAGTTAATATCCTCACTTGCTCTACCCTCCTTCTCTTGAAAGAGGTGATGATCCTATCTCTGCCCTCAAACTTTCTAGGTGAGGACTCGAGGGGTTGTGTGAAATTCTGGAGACTGTGCATTTGGTGGAAAGAGTATGGAATTTGAAACTGTGTAGTTGTGGTTTCCAAGGGTGGCTTTATCTCTTACTAGTTGTACAGACTTAGGCAAGTCACTGAAATTTACTGAGCACCAGTTTCCTCATCTGGGAAATGGAGATAACTGTCTACCTGAGAGATGAAGTATTCAACAGCTTGGCATCATGCCTGGGGCTTGGTAGATAATTCCTTCCCATCAGGCCCACCCCAGAGTTATGGGGTAGAGTCAAAGAGATGGACCCGAACTCCCTCCCTGTGTGGAGGAGCTGCTGTCCTCCAGGGGCGGTCAGTCAACAGGGACTGGCTTTCAATCCAATTCAGTCTAGCAGTGGAAGCTGGACTTGTAAGATAACAGCAATTAACATGAAGGCACCTACTATGTGCTGTGTTCAGACCTGACACACATTAACTCATTCAACGTTCACAGTAATCCTGCGAAGCAGGTCCTCTTATTATCCTTGTTTTACATGTAGAGGAACAGAATCTCAGAGCCGTAACAACTGGCTCAAGTCCACATGATCAGTAAGCAGAAGGGCTCAGCATCCAACTCAGACAGGCTGCCTCCAGAGACCAAGCTCATAACTACAATACTAACTGTCTCTGCTAAAATAATCTCTAAAACAATCTCAGACTTCAATTATCATTGCAGAATGCATTACATTCCAGGGTGATCACCTGCTACACATAACAGATCTTGACCCTTCACCCAACTGTTCAGGACATGTAGTAGGTCCTGCCCTCTGACCTCTCTTTCCAGCATGTACCCAGGGAATATATGCCTTGTTGCTGAAGCTGCAGGATGAAGGCGGTCCCACACTTCAATTTGGCTAGAAGACAGTTCTAAAAAATGAGGGAATGGCATAGCTTGGATTCACAAGTGTTTTTTTTTTTCTTCTTCTTTTTAATGCTATGCAGTTTTCCTCTCCAAATCTTGCACCAAGAGCTGTAATTATAAGATGATCATCATCATCCAAAAAAAAAAAAAAAAAAAAAAGAATAGAAGGTACTACACCTACAAACATTTAATTGTCCATGTAAATTAAGAGTTGTGAAATGACTTCAATGACTTCTACCTCTGCCTGGTGCACATTTCCCTACGTATATTTTCAAGAGAGAAGTTGAATGCCCTCCATAGAGAAATTCTCCTCTAATTTTATGAGCTAAAGGGGGAATTAGGGTGTGTTTTTCTCAGAAGCGATTTGGCTTTCTGCCTCCACCTTCTGCCAGACCCCAATTTCTGAACTTAGCCATGCCCCAGTTCTGATAGTTTGAGGAATGTGACTGTATGTGTGTGCAAATGTGTGTGTGTCTGTGTGGTTTAAAAAGTAATGATGGGATTCAATATAGAGCTCTTCTAGGTGTGGCATGGCTTTGACCTTGAATCCCACCTGGCCCTAGTGAACGGGCCTCTCCCTTGATTTGGTTATCTCATACCCTGGATTTGGTTCTGTGGCATGTCCAGTCCTAACCTCAGAGGCTTTGCTTTTTTACCCTTTAACATGTAGGAGGAAAGGAGTGTGTCACACTCTTTCAACTGAAAGATTAGTGCACTCACAGACCAAACACAGATTCACAGTCCCTTTATTCATAGTTTTAAAATCCAAAAAGCTCTGAAAACTAAAAGCTTTCTTGTAACTCATACCTGACCTGAACATATTTGGCAGGAAAACCTGATGTGAACTTCAGCTGTTTATGGTCCTTATTCCTTCTGGTTGGTATAGTATTCATATATTTTGCTGCATGAATATTAATTTATTTGATTATATGGGCTGCTCTCCCAGCCCCTGTGAGCCTGTTACATAATATATTGCATACACACCATATTACTTTTTTTAAATCTAAAAATATTCTGGATTTCATAATACATCTGGCCGCAAGTATTTTGGATAAGGGATGAAGGACCTGTGATCTCATTTAATCCTTGCCAACTGTCTTGTGAAATAGCCATTATATCCATAGTAAGATAAGAAAACTGATATTAGGAAGACTGGTTAATTTGTCCAGGGTCACAGAACGATTATGAGGAAGATTCAGGATTAAATATGTGCTTTTCAGATTTCAAAATGCATACCTTGCCCACCCTCTACATGGTTGGTCTTCCTAGCTTTTTTAGGCAGGTAAGCCCTGGGCGTGAATAAGAAGGCAAGATGGAAACAGGACCATGAGCAAGAACATGGGCCTGCCTTAGAACCTTGCTGCTCAGAGAGGGGTCCATGGACCAACAGAGTTGTCTGAGAGCATTTTGTTAAAAACACAGAATCTTGGGGCACATTCAGGACCTACTGAAACAGAATGTGCATTTTATCCAACATCCCCCGCTTCCAGGATTTCATTTGCACATTCAAATGTGAGGAGTCTTTGGCTAGATGTTTGGAGGAAGAAGAGAACCCATGCATGTTATTCTAAAAAGGGCTCCAAATGCCAGAGTTGTCATCTTTTGTCAGGATCATGCTAGAGGGCAGAGACTCTGCTGGAAGCAAATTTGGAGGGAGTGGAAGGTAATGGTTCCCAGTCCAGCAATGGTTACCAAAGAGAGCTATGTGCCCATGAAGAGAACATCATTGTACATTCGATCTGAGAGAATAACCCATTGCCTCAACTACTGATTTCCCAAACTAGTGTTATTTTTCTGTTTATCAAAGCACATCCTATAAATGTACATTTATCTTTGGGAAAACTCTGGTAACTGTCCTACTAAAAAATGTATCAAATCAATCAAAATCATAGTGATTAATTATGCGTTCATTAATGGTATGGCCCCAGAGTAGGGTTTCTCCAGTTTCACCATTGGCATTATGGACTGGATAAGTCTTGATTGTGGGGGCTGTCCTGTGTAACGTGGGATGTTTAGCAGCATCGGTAGCCTCTACCTTCTAAATGCCAGTAGCAACCCCCACTCCCAGCCATGAAAATAAGAAATGTTTCCAGCCATTGCCAAATGTCACTGGAGAGGAGGAGGGGGTTGGAGGAAGGAGGATATCACTCTCAGTTGAGAACCACTGCTCTAGAACTTTTTTGAATTCACTCTTTTCTACCTGGTAGTTCCTAAAGCTCAAGACGTGACTTCCTGATCATCGTCCAAGTAATCAACACTTAGCTGTTATTAAGCGGGATTCTTCAGACAGAAGGTTTTTGCATGAATGGACAATAGACAATACACAATACACATATCTGGTATGGTGATTGGATTGAGGACAGTGCCTTTGAGAAGAATCCTTGTCACGTGGATATCAATTCTCTTAGCCAACTGTATTCGGGAGTTGTTTATGAGCTGTGAAACTCAATCTGCTTGCTTTGGAGTTCTTGCCTATTTGGATGTGCAGAGTTATTTTTTAATGATAAATTTTACGTTTGTTGAAATGTATGAGGCATGAAGCTGGGGCTGAAAGTCAGGCTCCTGGAATACAACTCCCAATGAAAAGCAGGAGGCAAGGCTGCCCACACTTTACAGGATGCAGAGGAGGCAGCCTGAACATCCAGTGATGGGACACAGCTGAAGCATGTGGGTTCTGTCTTCTGCCTGGGCACAGTGATTCTGGCTAATAAAGATTGTGCATGGTTGGCAGCTCTTAAATGTCTACTGGTAAAGTCCCTGGGAAAATATGTTCTTTATTTCCCTTCAGAGACTATAAAATGAAAAGGGCAAGATTCTAAAGAACCCCCAAAGCTATTATTTCTGGGGGGAAACATTTTCCTGCCACTTCGACAGTTCCTGTAAAACCAATAGTACTAGCTAGAGGTGGCATGAAGAGGAACAGTAGCGGGGCTAAGACATTAGCAGCAGATCATCAATTTACACATTGAGGGCATCAGCAACAATGGTGGAAAAGAAATCTCTAAGACAAATCCATTAGGAATCACTGTGCCTATAGAGACCCTATAATCACACTGGATGGGATCATCAACTCAAATGCAATTCTGATTGTTCTCTGCAAAATGAGTGTCTCACTCTTCCAGATTCCTACTTAAATCAGGGCAGGTTAACTTGGGTGACATATGCAAGGACATGTAACCAGTACCCTGACCTTCCTTCTTAAGGAGGAAAGAAAACGCCATTGCTTCTCCCATGGAACTCAGTCTAAGGAGCTCATATGCTGTATAACTGTGATCCAAGTGATGCCAAGCACATAGCTCATGTATAACCAGTTAGCTGTGTGGATGCTACAGTACTGATCAGAAGTTTGGGGGATGCTGTGATGCTCCTATCAGCTCATCCCTTCTCTTTCTTCTCTTTACTGTCTGCTTAGTTGCATATTACTTTGCACTGTGTGGATTTGCTTCCCTCTTGCCCCGATCACTAGGCAGAGTTATACCGTTTGTGTTTCCTTCATCCTGGGTTCTCTATTTCTCTTTAGGTTGAACTTGCCTTTCATAGCCACTCCTTCCACTGCCACCCAGAGAAGGTCTCAGGCTGCCCAGCCTGGTCCAGGGCATTGCTACTCAGAGCGTGGTTGATGGGTCTGCTTGTTACAGAAATTAATACAGAAATTAAGAATAAGCTGTTTGAAACTTTTAATAGCAAACTGACAGAGCAATTTTATAATCTAATACTAATATTAATCTAATATATTAATATAAATCTAATATAATAATACAAATCTGACTGTCGTATTTCATTTCATTTATTTATCTTTCTTTTGGTAATTCATTTGCAATATATTTTTCAAATTTTGGTCTTCTAAGGATTAAGGACAAACAAACTTGCTCTCTCTACATGTGGTTTGAGAAGCATGGGTCTGGGGACCCCATCTAGTTGCCAGACCAAAATGACTTCATCCTTCGTCCCGCATCTTATCTCTCTAGTCATTTCCTAGGACCTTGGCCACAGAATGACTGAAGCCACTGTTCAGAGGGGCTAGCCTCACCAATCCCTCATAGTAAATGCAGTATGTTTTAGATTGGTGCTGCTCAGGTTCTGTAATGAGGCTGAGCTTATTACCCTTGTGGTGAAAGATGAAGGGAACCATCTTCTTAGAATAGGAAGGGAAGAGAGTTCATTCTTTTTGATCTGCTTTATTGCTATCCATTCCCACCAGCAGAAGAGCTGCTGAACCAATCCTGCACTTTTGCAAGGAGGAACCGTCATAGATATTTATCCATTTCCTAGTCTTTGCTCACCATGGGGAAGTTACAGCTGCACTTAATGAGGTACCTCACAGACCAGCAGATCTCATGGAATGGAAATGGCAAAAAGAATATAAATATGCAAATGTGAACACTCTGAATTGTCAGATTACACATCAAAATGAGGATTTTGTGTAAATGTTGAAGTTTTTGTGAAAAATAAACACAAGGAAAAATTGATAATATGAAAAATAAACATATTCAAAACTTTTTAATAGAATTTTCAGTATAACACCTATCAAGATACTTTGGGAGGCTGAGAGGGGAGGATTGCTTGATGCCAGGAATTCAAGACCAGTCTGGACAACATAGCAAGACCTCATCTCTACAAAAAATTTAAAAATTAGCTGGGCATGGGGGCACAGCTGTGGTCTGAGCTACTTTGGAGGCTGAGGTGGGAGGATCACTTGAGCCCAGGAATTTGAGGTTACAGTGAGCTGTGATTGTGTCACTGCACTCCAGCTTGTGCAACAGAGTGACACTCCTAAAAAAAAAAAAAGATACTTTTTGAAGGAACTCCCTAGGAAGATCCTGTCTGGGTGGAATAAGAGAAACAGCAGGGGTTTAGAAGTGACTGCTTGACACTCCCTGTCCAGGTGAACATGGAAAAGTCACATTATTTATGTCTCTATTTACTCATCTGTGAAATGGGGATTCTAATGCTCTCTACTTCATGGTTGATGCGAGGATTAAATAAGTTAATACAAATATGTAAATCACTTAAAACAGTGCTCATACTTAAGGCGGGCATGTTAATTACATGCTGAGCTTCAATTATCCGATCTGTAAAGTGAAGAAAATGAGACTCTTGAACTCAAGGGTTATCCTTGAAGAACACCTGATACAGTCCAGCTACAGTTTTCATTTCTCCAAATAATTCTGAAGGGTCTCGGGGTGCTGTGGATTTGCCTGATTTCTCTATGATTCGCTCCTCAGGTTCAGCCGGCAAGTGCAATCAAATTGCTTTCATCTTTCCAAAGTGATTTAAAACCAATGGAGGTTCCTAATAAGCCCATTCATTCCATCATTTATTCAACGGGTACTTCGAAGGCTTACCCTGTGCCAGCCACTGTTCTAGATGCCTGAGATTTATTAGTGAGCAAACAAAGATTCCTACCTCCAGGGAGCATGCATTCTGGGGGAAGGGGGTGATCAGATCAGAAATGGAACCCAATTTATAATTACATTTTTTAGCATGTTAGAAAGTGGTAAGCTCTGTGTTAAAAAGAAAGGGTAGACCTGGGTAAGAGGGTAGGAATGAAATGCAGAGGGTAGGGGAATGAGGCAGTTGCTGCAGGTATTTAATAGGGTCCTCAGGGTGGGCCATGTGTGGAAGGTGTGATGGAAACGAACTCTTGAAGGAGGTGGGGAATTAGCAAGTGCAGTCTTGTGGAAAGCACTCCCAACAGGAGAAACAGCAGAGCAAAGGCCTTGAGGCGGAAGCACATCTGTTGTGTTCAAGGGACAGTGAGGAGACCAATTTGACTGCAGTGGAGTGGGTGGCTGAGGTGAATTATCTAAAACCCAACACCAGGCTCTCTAGCGCTCTTCCTCCCCTGGATTCTCCATAAACTCTGGGGCTCCTGGAGTCCTGATGAAACTTCTCCCACAGGCAGCAACCTGTTGTGTGACATTTTGGTGAGGCCCTTCCTGCCCTCTGCAATTTAATGATCCTGTGCTGTTCTAGAGCTGTGCAGATAAAGCCGCTGGTTCAGGCAACATCAATGGCTGTCTCACTGTCTCCTGTTGAAGCTGGAAAATTCCTGTTACTCTAAGTCTAGCTTGGCCTCTCAAGTAGCCTCTTCACAAAGAGCCAGACAGGATGTAGACTCCTGTCCTTGCAGAATCCAGAGCCATACTGCTTTCTCTAGTCTTGGGGGTACACACCCTTGTTGGCAAGCTTTTCTTTGCCATCCTTGAAAGATGAAGGATCCTGCACCTCCATTTCTCAGACAAGCTCCACTGCTTCCATGAGCCTAGGCCAGGAGTTCCAGATTGATAGCTGGTGTTACTTGCCAAGATATTTTGTTTGTGAGGCAGAATATTACTGAAAATAAGAAAAGGTTGGCTGAAGATATAAAATTTCAGTTAGACTGGAGGAATAAGATCAGGAGATCTATTGTACCACATGGTGACTACAGTTAATAACTATGTATTGCATGCTAGAAACTTGCTAAGAGAGTAGATTTTAAGTGTTCTTACTACAAAAAAATAAGTATTTGAGGTAATGAATATGTTAATTAGCTTCCTTTAGCTATTTCAGAATGTATACATATTTCCAAACATCATGTTGTACATAATAAATATATACTTTTTTTTTGTCAATTGAAAAAATACATTTAAAACATCTTTTTGGAAAAGGATTTGATGGTGGTTGACGGGCAAGCACTCCTCCTCCTGGGGCAGGCAGGCCTGCGAGGCACTATTCTTGGCTATGGACAGTTGCAGGTCCGGAATCATGAGAGGCTGCCCACTTTCCCATGGGGGCTGGGGTGCGATATCTCACAGATTGTTCAACTCTCCCTGGAGGCTCTCACTCATGTCTTCTACCGAAATAAAATACAATGATTAAATGAAATAAAACACAAGATACACGGCTGGTGGATGGCCCTGTCTTATTTTAAATTATGGCCTTTTTCTCTGTAGAAGAGGGCTGTGGATCATGAGGATCCCACGGAAGTCTCCTCCTGCAGCACCACCATTTTACGGTTGGGGACTTTGAAACACAGAGAGATCAGCTGGCTTGCCCATGGTCCCTCAGTTGGTGGCCAAGCTGGGACCAGAGTCAAAGCCTCCTGCCTTCCAGCCCAGAACTCATTTCAGAATATTGCAACTCCAAGACTCACTTTTTACCTCAAGAATTTTACTGCTAATTTGTTTTTCTTCTTATCCCATTAGCAGATGTAGTTTTTCCCCTCCAGTTTTCCTGTCAACTCAAGGCCAAATAGTTCCTTCCACATTCAAAATAAGTCACATATTTGCTACTATATATGAGGTCCTGTGCAAGAGCTTGGGGAACATTAAGGGTGAATAAGAGAGAAATCTAAATTCTCAAGACATACACATTTTAGTGGGAGAGACATGAATAATACACATAAACATACAGCAACGTGCTGGGGAGAATGCTAGGAAATGTTCAGTTTGTAAGTTCAAGGATAGGAAAATTTTGCTAAAAGAGAAGGGAGAGAGAAAAGTGAGCTGGTAGCAGGCCAAGCCAGGTTTTCATCTAACAGATCCACTTATGACTAAAAAGCTCTGTTTGGAGGCTCCTCTTGTCATTAGAAATTATCAACACTCTTGGTTTCCATGTTGGTGGGAAAAGCTGTGGCTGTCACAGAAATAGGGTGTGGATATTTTAAAACAACAGCTTGAAAAAAGTGTCTCTGTTTTCCATGCAATCACCATTTTGGGCTCTGAACAGGAGCCCCACATTGCCTGTAAGTTCATCTTTCTCCTTGAAGTTACTCTTCATAAATTTTCTGAAAGCCTCCTCTTTTGAATATATGAGGTGTCTATCAAGGCAGCACAGACAGGACCACTTGAATTTGCAACATAGAACAGAACAAACAAAAAGTTCTGTTTCAGATTAACTAGAAAATTTATTCAATGGAATATTTATGCTTTACATAAAATGTAATATTCTAACACACATGGTCCTACATTGTAAAATAAATATAATTTTTCCAGGCTGAATTAAATAGGATTTCCTCTGTGTTCTCACAGTATCTGTGCATGCCTCTATTACTCAGTGATAATTTGCCCAGGGTTTATTTAGCAGCTACTATGGTAATAGGTAGTGTAGTAGACATTGAGGTATAGAGACTTAATGAGAAATTGACATGGTATTCTCATTATTACTGAATATAAAATTGTAACCATAATTATAAGGTGCTGTGGGAAGTGTAATAAACCCTAAAAATATAAGTGGCTCAACACAATAGAAGTTCATTTTTAACGCCCATGAAGTCTAAAATGTGTTTCTAATTAGTAGGAGATTCTCCTTTCATTAGTAATTCAGAGATCCAGTTTTTTTCCCATCTAGTGACTCCATTATCTTCAATATCTGGCTTCCAAGTTTATCTGGAGTGTCAAGAAATGGACAGTAGAGAGGAGAGAGTGCATCTTCCTCAGAATTCCCTTGGCTTAGAAGTAGCCACTCGTCTCTGTTCATAATCCATTGATTACTTTTAGCTACTAGAGAAGCTGGGGAATCAAATCCCTGGCTAGGCTTTGATTGTTGTTGGCCTTCCAACAACAGCTGTATGCTATGCAAAGGGAGCAAGAGTCTTTGATGGCCAGCTACCGCCCATGCTGCTGTCTTGAGTTTGGTTTGTGTAGAAGTTGTGGCGTCCAGCTTCCTGTGTGGCTGGGGGATAGCCCCATAACTAAGTTCTGGCCAGTGGGAGAAATGTGGAAGTGTTGAGGAGCCACCTTCAAGAAATACCTTAATATCAGCTATGGCTCCGTTGTCCCTTTCTTCTTGATCACTCTCTACTCTGTGGCTGGAGCCACAGCCGCCATCTTGGATGCTGTGAGGTTGAGGACCACATCCAGGATGGTAGTGGTAGACGGGAATGTTCAAAAATGCCTGAGGCTGTGAAAGTGTTTGGAGCAGAGCAAATGACCTGGACTACCCCTCTCAGATTTTATGCGAGGAAGAAATAAATTTCAATCTTTTTACAACATGTGTGACTGTGGGATTTATTAATTCCAACTGAACCTAATCTTAAGTGATTTAGAGGGTAATGCTTGTAAAAGGCTTGGAATTGTATTGCGCTTGGAGTTACATGGGGAGTTCTGAGTGTTGAGAATCTGATGTTGCTGTGATGTAAGGCACGTGGCCTAGGGCAGGGGAAGGCAGACATTTTCCATAAAGGGCCAGCTAGTGAATATTTTAGACCTTGCAGGCCATATGATCTCTGTAGCAATTATTCACCTCTGCTATTGTACTGTGAAAGCAGCCATAGAAAATGGTGTAATGGAATGGGGTAGCTGTGTTCCAATAAAACTTTATTTTTAAAAATAGATGGAGAGCCAGATTTGGTCTTAGAGAATAATCACATTGAGCCCCTCAATACCTTGTGTGATGTTTTTTTTCTAGCTATACATACAGGTATGTGACATGGTGTCAGGAAGACAGTATAGGTTCGATGGCATCTGTGTCTGGTCAGATGTGTGGGCTAACCCAACCCTCCAGCTGTGCTTACTTCCACCTACTCTGGGTGCTGAGGGGATAATCATCTAATTTCCTCCTACTGACAGATTCCAATTTTGACCTTTAATAGGAGCTTTCAGTTTTTTAAGCAAAAGAAGAGACTAGTAGTGGAATGTTTCTAGAAGCTTGAAGTCAATAAAAGTGGGAAGTTTTTGGCCGGGCACGGTGGCTCAGAGCTGTACTCCCAGCACTTTGGGAGGCTGAGGTGGGTGGATTACTTGAGTCCAGGAGTTCGAGACCAGCCTGGCCAACATGGAAAAATCCTATCTCTACCAAAAAAAAAAAAATACAAAAATTATCCAGGCGTCGTCGCACATGCCTGTAGTCCCAGCTACTCTGGAAGCTGAGGTGGGAGGATGGCTTGAGCCTGGGAGGTGGAGGCTGCAGTGAGCTGAGATTGTGCCACTGTGCTCCAGCCTGCGTGGCAGAGCCAGACCCTGTGGGAAGTTTTTGTCATTAGGTAGCTGAGCTTTTTGGAATTTCTCTCTACTTATAGACCTGAATCTTATTTGAGAGATCTCTCTATCTTCTCTAACAGAGCATTAGTATATCAAAAAAGAAAATGTTGCAGTATTTGGGGGTATGCATTCATGATGAAAAGTGCTTTGAAATAAGGGTAGAAGCTCTTATTTGGTTTTTTACTTTGCTGGGGCAAAGTGGCAGGGAAAACCAGTTATTCCTTCTAAGCCTTAACATATTCATCTTTAAAACGGTGACAATGCTATCAATTTGAGAACTGTGCTGTGAGAATTAAAGTAAATTTAATCAAGACTACAAAGTGTCTATGTAATAAACAGGGGCTAAATATGCACTTGTGGCTCAATGGGTATTGCAAAGAAATTACATGAGTTTATTCCTCAACACCAAATCAGAAACGATAAATGATTTGGCCCATCTGTTTCACTCAAACTAGTGAGAGGCATTTATTTAACAAACATTTATTAAATTCTTCCCATCTGCCGGATGGTATAATATAGATATGAGTTGATTCCTAAGGTGGGGAATCTGATACAATTGGTGGCATCTCACAGGACTCTTTGTACGAGCTGTAGGAAGATGTTTGTATGAGCTTGTAGATCTTCAGGTCATGGCCAATTGCTCTGGAGTAAATGTCTAAGAAAACACAGAAGAAAGACATTCTAAAAGGTGAAGAGGGAAAATTGACCTTTGAAAATACATTAGGTTTTATGCAGGAAAGAATTCAAATCATTGATCCGTGGTCAGGAACCACACAGACAGGAAGCAACAATGTCAGGAATTAAAATGCTTAAACAAAATTGTGTCTAAGTAGATCAAAATGGAGTGTTTCTCAAATGGATCTAGAATGCCTTATATTGGGATTTGAACAAACATTTGGAGAACTGGAAAGGGTAGACTCTGCAGATGTTTTCCGCAGACTCAGTATACTTTAAAGAGCTGAGCAAACCCTAAAATTCAGGAAATGCTCAGATAAATAGGAAAATTGTTAAGTGGAGAAAAATCTGTTTGCTTTCCTGACACCCTCTCTCGTCTAAATCAGTGATGAACATTCATCTAACCCACGCATATAGGTCATAGAAACTTATACTGCTTAGAACTCTGAGAAGGTCTGGAATCAGAGAACTGTTAACTAAGCTTTTATCATTAATTGTTATGCTTCTTTTTTTTCCTTCTAAGCTTTTATTGAGAAAATTTCCCCACAGCTATAATTACGCTGAACAATGACAGAATTTATTTAATGAAGCAGAGAGCAGAAACTTTTTGAGACAGCAAAATTTGCAACCAATTAAATATTAATGAAATATAGTCTGTCTCAGAATCCTTTTTTCACATTTGTCTTATCTCATACTTGCATTTAATCTACAGAAAGTTCAATCATTATTTATATTAGAATTAGTGAAATAAAAATGTATGAATAATTTCATGATTTTCCCAAGAGCAATTTTTCTGTACCAATTAAGAATATGAATGGAAAAGAGGTTTAAAATCACTGTGAAGAACCGTACATTTCTAGATATTAAAATTGATGCTATAAAATTGTCACCACAATGAAGACAACCTTTATTCCTTGCTTTTTCCAGTTGTTGATTTCTATGAAAAGTTTTTATCTGTTAGTTGTAGAATAGATACATTTTGTTATCCATTTTATGCGTAACATCTCAATCGAGTCATATTTCATAAATTGACCAGGTAGTTTATTACATAGAGTATGTTACGTTAGGGTGCAAATTCCCCCTTTATTTTAGTTCTACAAATACCATACATAAAACCCAAACTTTCTTACCTTAGGGTGATTTGAAGAATTTTAAGTAACGAAAAGTACACAATGAACAATTATCAGTAGACTATGCATAGTAACTAAGAATTGATGACAAAAGGGTGTATCAAACCATCAGATGCACAGGTTTCCTGGATTCCATGTGGATACCAAGGCGGGAATTTTATCTTGTCTTCCGTAAGTTCATAGAAGAATGTCTGGCATAAAACAAATTGAAAAAGTGTTAATTGATGACAGGACTATTTCCTATAACTCTGGGGTTTTAAAAGGGGCCCTCTGCCAAATCACTCTTCCAATGTTGCTAATTTCCATATTGAATCTCTGTGTATCATTGTATGGTTATTTTTGTTATACTTGGATTTGTCCACTGGAAATATTCATCCTTAATTGTGGCAAGCAATATTCCAATCTGACCATTAGCAACACACTAGAAAAGTAGTTGAAGCCACACTAGCCACTTACCACTGACAAAATAAATACAACTAAGCAATAATGGCTGAGAAACAAAGACAACTGGAATCATGTTCAACCAGCCTGAACACTGAAGGACAGCAATGGAACCTGGAGCTTCAAGAATTTCTGAGATAGTTTCAAAAAGGGAAAAGGCAAGATTTGTTCATTTTGTCTCATTAGATACAAATGGACATAACTATTCAATTACCATCACAATGCCGTTGTGTACAGTACGGTACAATAGGGGACTTGGTTTTGAACTTTAAAAATATTGTCCTCTTTCATTGTGTTCCTGGTGTTAACCTCTTACTGTTTCCCTTGCTCACTATATTGAAGTAATATAATTTCTAATAGAATCTAAGCCTAGAATTTGATATGGGACAAATCAGATGAATTTCTGGATTTATACCTTCATCAGTTTTGCTCATTTTGTCTTTCCATCTTTTTCTAAAGCTATTTACACACAATTTCCTTAAAAATTCTTCAAGTTCCTCTCTGCTAACCAATTCTTCTAATATCTGCTTCAAAACTCGCTTTTTGAAATACTTCATTCCAATTTAATTTAAGGAATTGATTGAGTGTGTGCCCACTATGTGCCAGGCATTTTGCTGGGCACTGAGGTTAGAGTATGAAACAAAGCAGCTGTGATCTCTGCTTTCATGGAGTTAGAAAACTTTCTTGTAAGACCTGGGATCAAGTTCAGAACAGTCACTTACCTACATAGCAAGATTATTACCAGGATCAAATGAGTTTTGAAACAAAACAGCAAAAAGCATTAATAAAATGAGTAGGAATAAAAACTTATTTCCTTAACACAGTAAAGATTCAAATCCATAGGAGAATATTCTGAACAACTTTATCCCAATGAATTTGAAAACTTAAATAAAACTGATAATTTCCTGGAACAAAAGCATACATTTATTTTTAAAAGAGAAGAAAACTGAGTAAACTCATAACTGTTAATTAAATTGGGTAATCAAATTAGGTTACCGTAATTACATAATCAAAGTTTACCTTAGCAAGTGCTACCAGGCTTCCCTGGTTTTCAGGTGAATTTTATGAAACCTTCAGGGAACAGGTGACTCCCATGCCAAACCAACTGATTTGAGAGTAGCAAAACAGAAGTTCTCTAACTTATTTTATGAGCCAATGAAATTTCAGCACCAAAACAAGAACAGAAAATTGTGATCAACTACTCATATTAAAAATCCTCAATACTATGTTAACAAATACAATCTATTAATGTACACTACCGCATTCACCTTCTTGTCTTTGAGCTGCTGTTGTTTCCTTATCTGACTGTGGACAAAATACATACTTTACATGATTGTCATAAAAATCACACAAAATACTGTCAGTGAAAGTACTTAAAAATCTACAAGTTGTTACTGCCTTTTAATTACTGAGCTTGCTTGGTTGGGTAAGAGAGACAAAGCACAGTGAAAAACAAAATCCAGACTGATTTAAAGCAAGGCAAAACAAAAACTGGTAGAAAACAGGAAATGATGTCAGGCATCAAACCTTGGCTTCCTTTCCATGTTTAGAGCCATTTCCCATAAGAGAATATATATAACCGAGTGACTGGCAAACCGCAGGAAAGCTTCCATTTCCTTCCCGTCCCCGCTTAACTCCACTTAGTGCTCAGCAGTGGTTCCTCTGAGGCACTGCAAGGACTCATTAGTCCCCATACAGGGGATTTGCCCTGAGGTTCGTGGTTATTATCCTTGAAGTTGAAGAGGGCATGGGAGATGTTACTGTGTTTCCTTAGAGCAGGTTTCTGCAGTTAGGCATCACCTCCACTCAACGCTCCAGCCTCTCAGAGCACAGTGACAGTTCTGCCAGCAAGAATGCAAAGAGCAACCCACGGCAAGTAGGCCCTTTGGGCTCTGCAGGAATTCTGACCCAGCTTAAAGGGACAGTAATCACATTTATGTTACCAACTGCCCCCTGCCCTCCTCCTGAGTAAATCATTAATATATGTCTCCATTTTTGTTCAACCAGAAGAGGGATTACAAGGTTCTGGCACAAACTAATGTCTATCTTGATAACCAGAGTCTTTTTGTTTTTGTGAGAACACTTAACATGAGATTTACTCTCTTAACACATTTTTAAGTGTACAATATAGTACTGTTAACTATAGGCGCAATATTAATAGCGGATCTCTAGAACTTAGTCATGTCGTATAAATGAAACTTTACATCCATTGAACAGCACCTCCCCATTTCCTCCCAAATCCCTACCAACCACCATGCTACTCTCGGCTTCTATGAGTTTGACTGTTTTGGATGCCTCATATCTGTCGAATTTATATGGTATTTGCCTTTCTGTGACTGGTTTATTTTACTTGGCATAATGTCTTCCAGGTTCATCCATGTTGTTGCATATGACAAGATTCCCTTCTTTTTCAAAGCTGAATAATATCCCATTGTATGTATAGATTACATTTTCATTATTCATTATCCAATGTTGGACATCACTAATCATCAGAGAAATGCAAATCAAAATCATGAGATATCATCTCACACCTGTTAGGGTGACTATTCTAAAAAAAACAAAAGATGGTGCTATGGTTTAAATGTGTCCCTCAAAGGTCATGTGTTGAAAACGTGATACCTATTGTGAAGGTGTTGGGAGATGGGGCCTTTAAGAGATGTTGAATGCCATTATCAGAGAGTGGGTTCCTTATAAAAGGATGAGCTCAGGCCCCTCTTTCTCTTGCTATCACCACTTCTTTGCCCTTCCACCATAAGATGATGCAGAAAGAAGGCCCTCACAAGAGGCTGGCACCTGATCTTGGACTTTCCAGCCTCCAGAACTGTGAGACACAAATTTCTGTTCTTTATAAATTACTCAGCCTGAGATATTCTGTTATAGGAGCACAAAACAGACTAGGACAGTTGGCAAGGATATGGAGAAATTGGAAAACTTGTTCACTGTTGGTGGAAATGTAAAATGGTTGAGCCATTATGGAAAGCAGTATAGAGGTTCTTTAAAAATAAAAATAGAATTATCATATATTCCAGAAATCCCACTTCTGGGTATATAGCTAATAGACATAAAATCAGGATCTTAAAGAAATATTTGTTTGATATCTGCACTCTTACGTTCACTGCAACATTATGTATAATAGGCAAAATATGGCCACCTTTGAATTAGTGCTGAAAGCTCACTTTAATCTTTTCTTCCAGATCTGGGGTATTTCAATTCAAGTCTCAAGAACAGGGATCTGCTTTTCCTGTATCTGACTGTGCCTTTAACTGGCTGTACAACCTTGGAAATCGTCCTTTCTATGCTGCAATTTCTTCAGTGAGGAAATAAGTATAGTCATAGCTAGGTGATCATTGGCATCTTGACCCATAAATATATCTTCTCCAACATCATGCAGGCTGGAGTCATCACAGGTACCTGAGAACCGTGCTGCTACCTTGGCTAGGGACAGGTATTCAAGGATGTGTGCAATCTTCTATTCCAGAGCAAGGTAGCTAGTTCCATTGCCACTTACTGCTTTGTGGTGTTCCTAAGTGGGGTTGAAGCAACTTTTATACAGAACATGTTTTGATTCCACTGACTTTAACAAAGGGGATTTCCCAGATGGAGCAGGGTTGAATTGTTTGGTGGACCCAGTTTCCATGCCACAACATACACTCACCCATGATCTCCTTCACAAGAAAATAGGAATGCATCATTGTTCTTTTGCACTCAAAAGCATTTGCAATTGGCACTCCTGTCTGTCACAGTGACATGGATTGACCTACCCTCTGCAATCTATATGACTCCTAGGAACCATGGGACAGAAATTACAGTCGTTGAGAGGTCTCATGACATTCAGCTAGCCCATTCATCAAGGTCTCCACTTGCTTGCAAATTACACCCTGTTGCTCTCATCAAATGAGTCAGTGAGTTGAGGACATGCACAGTTTTTGCTTTAAAATACAAATTGAAAATGGCAGGAGGGATCTTGTCAGACAAGACATTAATGAAAAATTTGAAATATTCTGTAAAATCGAATGTTGTACCGTTTCATTAAAATTTAGTGAACTAATTCCAATATAGACATTTATAGATAGTAAACATTTTTATTACTGATTTTTATGTTTTATGAGCTCAAATTGATCTAAATTTCTCAAAGAAAGGCTAAGAATAAAGAAAAGAGCAGGCAGTAGAGGCATGTGGGAGGAGTTGCTCATACTAATTCTGAAAATGGGTTATCATCTTCATTTGTGTAGTCCTGCATATAAACGTAGAAAGATTTACAAAAAACCAATTTTCACTACGATTTTAAAATATCTTGAAGCAAAAACACAGCCTTCAATTTTGATAACATTTTTGTGTGATTAGATAGTTAAACTACATGAGGAAAAAGTGCTACATTTGGATTGGAAGAAAGAACAGAAACAACTCTAGAATGTATTGAGAATGCAGTTTGTATGGGGCTCAGTGTCTCTTTGAGAGTCCAAGTCACCTCTTTCTGCAGAGCAAGAGCTTGATATTTGAAGCCAACTTGAAGCAGCTCTGCCTTGACCAGTGGAGGTTCACAAAAGCCTAAATATCCTCTTTATTTGTAAAATGGGATTATTGCAGAACCCATCTTGTAGAGTTCAGTAAGAGTCAAATACAATATGACCTGCTAAATACCCAGCACTTTCTGAGACCCTTGATTAATTGTAACTATGATTTACTTTATCTTTCCTAGGGTGGCAGCTGTAGTCTTCACTTGAAATTTTGATTTTTATTCCGTTCCCAAGTAGACATGATAAACTATAGCTAATTAAATGGTTGTGTTGTATAAAATGAAAACAATCAGCAACCCAGAAAATATCACCCCATCTTGAATATACAAAACATAGGCACAAACTTTGTCTAGTGAGCATGAAATGGTTTCTTATTCCCAGGTGGGCGATGTTGCCAGAAAAAGACAACATTTATTTCCAGCCTTTATAGTTCAGGAGATATTTGAAAGTGAGATATAAGGGAAAAAAATTAAATCCAGTGCTGGAAGCAAGTCATTCAGACAGGACCCTATCTTCTGGGTAAAAGAAGGACAGTAATGTCCCTCCTACCCCCACCACACACACACAGTAGTCAAGCAGAAGGCGTTTGGATGAGAATACACAAGGAAGTCCAGCTTCCTTGAACAATTTTTGTGTGCTTGCAAGATAGCAGTAAAAATATAACTGAGCAATGGAAGTGGTTTGTGTGTGAGCCCTGAGAAAAGAACTGGGACATTAGTGAGGCTGAGAACTTGCCAAAGCAAAAATGCTAGAGGCAAAGGTCACTAGTAAAAATGAGGTGAAACTTAGACACAGAGAGCAGATGTACTTCAGTAATTACTCACAGCCTAGGCAGTGGATACTGATGCTTGTCACTGGGTATAACTAAGGGGTAGACCAGTGCCTACTGTGCTGTTTATAAATGAAGTTTAGTGTTTTTTACCCCCTTCCCCTAAAATTCCCCGACCTTTTAAAATTCTTTGGAAGCTTAAACATCTTTTATAGGTAGGTGTGTTAGTCCATTTTTATGCTGCTGATAAAGACATACCCAAGACTGGGTGAATTATAAAGAAAAGAGGTTTAATGGATTCACAGTTCCGCACGGCTGGAGGGAATCATCACAATCATGGTGGAGGGAAGGAGGAGCAAGTCACATCTTACATGGTGGCAGGAAAGAGAGAACTTGTACGGGGGGAACTTTGCTTTATAAGAACATCAGATCTCATAAGGCTTATTCATTATCCTGAGAACAGCACAGAAAAGACCTGCCCCCAGGATTTGATTACCTCCCACTGGGTTCTTCCCAGGACACATGGGAATTTTGGGAGCTACAATTCAAGATGAGATTTGGGTGGGGATACAGCCAAACCATATCAGTATACTTAAAGAGAGAGGCAGGAAATGAATGGTTTTAGTAGTATTGCTCACACTTAGCATTTCAGTGCTGTGACAGGGTAGGTAGTGCAAAGTGAGGGAACTAAGTTTGTGGGGAAACTGCTATCTACTGCTACATGACAGTATTACCACAAACCTGGAAGCTGGAAGCCACACACATTTATTATCTCAGAGTTTCTGTGGATTAGGAGTCTGGGCATGCGTTAGTTGGGCCCTTTTTAAGGTTGCAAACTAGGTGTCAGTAAGAACTGAGTACTCATCTGAGGCTCAACTGGGGAAGGATACACTTATAGGCTTAGATGGTTACTAGTAGCATTGAAATCCTTACAGGCTGCTGAACTGAGGGCCTCAGTTTCTTGCCAGTTGTCCTCAATTTTTTGCCACATAACTGTCCATAGGGCAGTGCACAACATGACAGCTTGTTTTCTCAAAACCAAGAGGAAAGAGAGTTTTTCGGTGTGATAGTCATTACAATCTTATACAACATTGTGAAGGAAGTGAAATCTGTTCCTTTCGCTGTATTCCATTGGTTAGAAGCAAGTCGAACGTCCCACCCACAGTCAAGTGTGTGAGTTCTACAGCAGCATGACTCCAGGAGGAGCACATCATGGGCGCCAACTTAAGTCTGGTCAACAAAACTACTGTGGATGGAGAACTATAAAGACATTGAATAATTAATTTTTTAATTTCACTCTGAGGCACATATTAATATGATTTTACAGATGAGTAAGACGAGCTTCTCAAATATGAAGACCCTTATTACTCCGCACTTGGTCCATAGCAACTCCCTGTAAACTTGTTTCTTTCCTTCTAGAAAATCCTCTCCAGTTCCATTTTCTACACAGCAACTAGAATGACAAAACAAATGTGATCACATCCATGTTCTGTTAAACAACCTTAGTGCTCCTCTTACCTCTTTAACATGATGGATACCATTGGCCCTTCATTAAATTGTCCTCAAACTACTGAAGCTTATAGTTTTTGGGGTCCCCTGGTGCCGTCCCCACAATGCACAATGCTCCTACACTTCCCCCATCTGAATGCAGGCCTCTTTTCCCTGCACACACTGAGCTTCATCTTCCTGACCCTCGGAGTTATCTGAGGCACCTGACTCCAGGTTCTAGAAAGTGAGATTCTCCATTATTTCTTCTCCCCACATTCCCTGGGCCTCACCTACCTGGAGATTATCTAGAGCTCTCAGCATGCTGCATGAAGAGCCTCCAGGTTTGAGTGGACCCCAGCTCCTGGGAGGCTCTCAGACTCCTTAGGAGCAACCCCAGTGACACCTTTCAGCATCAGGCGTCACTGCTGCATGCTCATTTCCTTCGCCAATCACTGCATAAACATGATTTATCTGTTGTACAGAGAGGCAACAGAAGCATTAGAACATTTGAGCTCCTTTTCCTGGTTGGCTGGAGGGGGCACTTACTTCTAGTAAGCGAGGTATTTAACATCTCTAGTCTATCATACACCAATTATTTAATATTAATTTTTATACATGCAACATTGGAGGACTAGGATTTGCTTACCTGTAAGGCCTTTTCTATCAGGATAGCATACTTTAAAGAGCCTGGAGAGGAACATAATTTTCCTTTTAAAAATAACAATTCCTGCCACGGAAGATGAATCCTGTAAGCATGCGAGCAGAGAAGCTGTACTGGATGAAGAAATCCTGTGCCCCTTTGGGTTCCCTTCACTATCTGACTGTCTCCTTCCCTCTAAAGCACAGCCTGCCTCCCAGACCTGCTTACCAACAACCTCTGATGGGACGTCCACGAGATGGCTGGAAGTCCCCAGCCTGCCTGGCTCACAAGCCCTGCACACCAAGCCCATCTTCAAGGAGACACTTGTCTACTTCCAGTAGTGGATGATGCACTCTGTGCAGGGCCAACTGTGCACACAGTGCTTCATCCACTACTGGAAGTGTCATGAGCTACTGTTCAGGAGTCCAGTGCAACCTGGAATTCTGAGGGTGTTAACTGTCCAAGTGGCAAATGGATCAATGGAAACAGGAAATAGGAAGGAGCTAGCTGGGTTATTCCCCCTCCTGTGTTTCTCCCATGTGCTACCCCAAGACAGAGATATTCGTTGTAATTTTCCTGGACAAGCCTAGGGCTGCCAGTTGTAACTTCAAGGCTTGTGGGGAAGGAGCAGCAAGGTGATGCATCACTTCACCTGGCATCCCAGATTTCTTTGCCTTTACTTCACTTCTTCCTCTCTTTCCTGGGTTTGCACATCCCAAATAAAGTCTTAGGTTTTTTTGTCTCAATGGCTCAGGCTAAGACAGAAGCCCAACTGTGAAGGCTACTCACGTTCTCACCCTGCTGTATCGTAGAATGGAGCTGAAATACAAAATTGAGATTCAACACATTCAGTCCCGACCAGAAACATTTCAAGGAAATCTGTGCTCACAGCAAGATTGAGTGATGGGACACAGCGCTTGAGATTTCAAGGCAAATGCTTTTTATGTCGTACTCAACATGATTAGCTTCACACGTTACCAAAAAAAAAAAAAAAAAAAAAAAAAACAAAAACCAAAAAAACCCCACAAAAAACTGACTCATAAAACATGTATTGATGTTGCATTTGGGAACAGCTGCAGCCAGCCTGTGTGCAGAAATACACAAAAATGATTATCTTCCTAAAATCAATCTTTGCAGTTCTGGAAGAAGACAGAAGACGGAAATAGCTCTTTGTGGAGCTGAGTGACATGTTCTGGCCAGGCATTCTTTGTTAATATAACAGATGAGAATTAGACAAATTGGAGCTGGAAAGCGCTCCTGTCATAATGTGGCTGATGGGTCTGTGGAACAGCAGCAGCCATGCCTGCAGGATGTGCTCACTGCTTTCCTGAGCTCCTTTTAAATAATCCAAGCTGTGACACTTCCCTAAGTGGAAGCTGATCTCTAAATTAGGTGAAATGTTAATATTATGTAGTTTAATCCATCCTTGAAGTCAGAGAGTTTGCAGAGGGGGTGGCTTGGGAGCCTCCTGATGGATTGTTCATTCATTCTTTCAGGCATTTATTCATTCATGTATTGAATTCAGAACTGCCCAGTAGAGCTTTCTGCTGTGATGAAGGGTCCCATAACAGCACTTTCTGATACTGTAGTCGCTAGCCATTTGTGACTACTGAGCACTTGAAATGGGGGTACAAGATGAATTTTTTATTGTATATGATTTCAGTTAATTTAAATTTGAGTAGTTAAATGTGGCTAGTGGCTACCGTATTGGATGGTGTAGCTAAACATTCATTCATTTAAAAATATTTACTGGATATCTACTAAAAGGCCTCTTAGAAGGTGCTTGGTAAATATTTTAGGGGAATAGTGGGTACTCAATATATATATTTTTAGTGACATGAGGAAGGCAAGCTGGGTCCACAAATATTTTTAGTAAAACAGGGACTAAATATTGTAAAACACACATACAATTTTATGAGACTAGATATACATATATCTGATGATAGAATAACTTATTTTATTAATTTATTTTTAATTCTATTGGTTTAAAATGGGCAAGGCAAAGATTAGGTATCTCTTCATGTCAAAGATATATTTGTGTTGAACCTGGAATGGAATTCCAAGCAGAGAGAACAGAGAAGGATGAGTAAAGGGTCCCAGAAATAGCTCTTTGGTTCATAGTGGATAAGACAAGAAGGGTCTAGAGGTTACACAAAGAGGCATAAGGATTGTGCACTATTTCCATCCAGGAAATATAAAGGCAAATTTTCAGCATGTTCAGATTAGAAAATTTATTGTAAGAAAAAAAAAAAAAAAAACACAAGAGAATTTCTGATTAGGATACAGAAGTTGTAATCACAAGTTGTTCATCAATCTTTTGTCATCCCCCAAACAAACATTGGTGGCTTTTCCAATGGCCTAGATCTACCGACTGAATTATGGCAAGAGAGTCCCAGGCAAAAATCACAGGACCCCTTGTCCTTAGCAGATTGTCTCAAGCACCACTTACTTAAATGGGTAGAGTCAAGTTCCCCATAAACAGCAAACAGTGATATGGCCTGGTGTTCACATTTGAGGAATTATTATTTTATACTAGTAGCAGCGATAAGTTTTTGAGTATAAGTAGTGATGATCACATTCTAATTGAGCCACAATTTCAGTTTTTGAAAATGGAAATTGTGGTGTGGGGACAGAGTTTCTTTATCTTCAAAGGAGAGAAATCTTTGCAAAAGTCAAGTCATAGATGACTATCATCCAGTAACAAGAAAAAGGAAGCAATCTTCCTGAACTTCCCCTTCTGCCTGCCAATGTTAACAAGAATAGCAGGAGAGCCGTGTTTGAGCTCATGGTGACCCTGCACATGACAACCAACGTTGCATTTAACCTTCACAGTCCCATGAGGTAGATCAGAAAAGTCTGAATTTATGGGTAAAGAAGTCGAGCTCTGCGCAGGCTCACAGCATTTTTTAAGGTTATACCGTGAGTCTGTTTCAGACGAAGTGAAGTTGGTCCTACTCCAGATCTGTTTGTTGTCTTCTAAGAGATCATGCCTCTCTTAAGCTATCCATTGCCCACGGTCTCAAGTGTCACAGTACAACTTCACAAGCTGATGAGTAAGAAAAAAATAAGACAATTATGTAGATGATGATAATGCATGGTGGAGTGTGACGATATCCTTAAAGAAAATGTTTATGGAATTTAAGTCCAAGCCAGGATGGGGGCACATGTGGTTGAATGGAACAGGGGGCTTCATGGAGCAGGTCAAACGCAGGTGAGATTCGACTGTAGAGTAGAGGGAGTGTGTGGGTTGCTGGGGAGAGAGGCAGGCAGCCGAAATGACAGAAATACTTACTGAAATATCTGTGTCCCTTTCGGCTGGAGACTGAGAGGGAGACTACATCTGTGAATTAAGTGTAACAGAATGCTCTGTGGCTGAAAAGAATCCTCACGTGTACTTAATATATGTTCACTTAGAAGAAGGTAAAACCTGCCATTTCATAGCTTACAAATCTCTCTCTATATCTGTGTTTGTGTGTGTGTGTGTGTGTGTGTGTGTGTGTGTTTAATCTACCAAATAATTCAGAATTTAAATCTGGGCCAGATTAAGTCTTTGTTTCATTCAAAGATATTAATTAAGCGAACTTGGCCGGGCACTGAAGGTAGGCAAAGGAGAAGAATGTGGCTCCTGCAGCCCTGGAGCTCAGGAATCTGTTTGGAAAGACAAGCGTTGCCTGTGCTGTAAAGAAACACAGACTTACGTAAGAATGGTGCAAGGAAAACAACTGGTTTCAAATATGTAAAGAATTTCTGGGGGAGGATGCTGTTCAATTTTCTCTCTCTTGGGAGGATAGAAGAGGAGCGAATGGTTTTACATCGGAGCCAGTGTGTATAGTTAGTAAGTAGGAAGCCCGATCCTGTTTATCAACTCAGATGTAAACATTGCAAAGGCCAGAGGTGGTCCTGACATTGCTTGGGGATGCTGGAGGGGAGTCCTCAGAAGGTCACCTGGAGGTGCTTGAAGGATAGGAGGAGTTTGGGAGACTCAAAAATGAATGGTAGGACGGAGAGAGATCGTTGTCCAGACAGATGGAATAGCATGTGTGAAGGCGCTAGTGCCGAGAATCACTTTAGGTTCTTGGCCTTCTTCAACAATGGAAAGGAGGCCCCTGGTGCTGAAGTGTGAGGATAGCAAAGCAGACAGCAGCAGGAGGAGAGGCTGGAGAATGTCCAAAGGCCAGAGTGCTCACAGCTTTACTGGGAGGAGAGAAGATTTTCCCCTGAGCACCATGAATCTATCTGTTCTACAAATGCAAAGCAAATGCCGCCTATTCTCAGGAAAACTAAAATCATCTTGAACCCTAACACAGGAAAAAGAAATATTCCAAAAGTTGCAATGAAGTTTGCAGAGAATAAAGTTCCCTAAAAACACACAGAATTTGCAAACTGTAAACCTAGCTCCTCAATGTATGCATCAGAATTCAGGTCAATTTTGATTTGCTCTTGGAGAGAGTAAGCCTCTGCATGTTTTTGTTCATGCATTTGCTTATCGGAGCCTGAGTACCAGGAGCCACATGGCTAAAGGCGAAGCATGCATGGCTGCTTTCCATTTACTTCTAGCTGGAGACCATGTAAAAGGACAGAATCAGAGTTTTTCCTGCTGCACGGTTGATGTCCTGCTCACAGTATTCAAGACTAAGTAACCTCAAATGTACTGGAGTTCAAACATTTTGCTCCGATGAAATTTTATTTTCCTTTTTGGACTATAATTCAGGACCACATTCTTGTGGGTGATAATGGGGTTCCCCCAAAGAGGAAGTAGATATTTCCATTATCAATCCTGCTGGAATAGGATGGTGGGGGGCAATGTTGGACAGAGAAGACAAAGCTCTTTTCTCTTTGAGGTCACATGAGAGTTAGGCATGAGAACTCTCATGAGAGACAAAGCAGCTTGCTCCCTGTTATATGAAGGCTGATAAGGATCACAGAGAGTCAGGCCAGGATCACAGAGAGAGAGAGGCCAGGATCTCAGAGCAAAAGTCCCATCAGAACCACAGAGGATCAGGCCAGAATTGCAGAGGGAGAGGCTGGCCAGAAGTACAATGAGGATGCCAGGATCGCAGAGAGGCCACACTGCATGGGATGGAGAGATGGTGGATCTGAGTTTGTGGACACTGAACGTTATGAGATATTTTAACCGTTGCAACTTATCCTCTGTGTTGTTCTTTTATTCTGTTTTCTGGGTAGTGTATTGCCTGCATAAGGGAAAAGCGTGGGGGCTGGAAATGCAGCTGAGCAGAAAACCTTGGAGCACTTGTTTCTCATCTCACATGAAGTAGGGGAGTTAATGGGAACCTGGGTGTGGGAGGGGCTGAAGGATGGGGATCTTGCTTTGTAATGTGAGAATGTAAGAAGAACGTGACCTTCTACTGTTTTCCTAGGTTGGAGGGGACCGGCCAAACCCCAAGGAAAGTGGAGAGAAGAAAGGCATGGAGGGGTTCTGTGGAGGGTGTGGAAAGGGAGGATGTGTAAATCCCAGCGTGGGTTTGGAGAACCTAAGTAGGTTGGCTTCCCTGGGGTTTAAATCACAGAGGTGTTGGGAGGTGAGCCCGAAATGGAAATAGGCCGCATCTTGAAGAATCCCACGTGCGGTGCTGAGAAGTTTGCATATGGAACAATGGACTAATTTTAAACAGGGGAATGGCATAGTCAGATTTGGATTTCCAACAGATTGCTCCAGTTTCAGTGGAGAGAATGAAGCAGAGGCGGGATCTTTGGTGGCAACTGTGCAGGTGCAAGGCGAGGAAAGTGCAGCCTAGGTGAGTGAGAGTAAAACTAGGGAGGAAGAGTTGGATATCTGATATGGCAGGAGTGGAACCATAGAAACTGGAGATGCGTTGGGTCGATGGATAGAGGTTTGAGTTTCCCAGTTAATGGACGTACTTCTTTGCAGCCATTCTGAGCAACCAGCATTATCTATCTCAAAAGGATGAACAAATGTTTCTCCCAGTCAAATTGTCTAACTTCCTAGTTAGTGTGAGTTTATATCTAGGTTGTTCAAATATTCATCTAGCAATTATTAGAATAAAAGGACCAAATTCCCTTTCCTGTTTCAAAAGAGAATGCGTAGGCATTGCAGCAGATCCATGGAGATGTGACAAGAGAGCTACATTAGGTGAAGAAGGGAGGGTTTCTGCTAAGCCTTAGGGAGTAGGGATCACATAGTGAATAATGGTCCAAGAGGCAAAAGGACTGAAAGCCAGCTAATTGGAATGTTTAAGACTCAAGTTCATAGTTACATTTAGATGTTTTCCATCATAAAGCCATAGGAAGCAACTGGTTTCAAACATGTAAGGTGTTCCTTGGGGAGGATATTGATATGGTTTGGCTCCATGTCCCCATCCAAATCTCATGTTGAATTGTAATTCCCAGTGTTGGAGGATGGGTCTGGTGGGAGGTGATTCGATCATGGGGGTGAACTTCCCCCTTGCTGTTCTCACGATAGTGAGTGAGTTCTCATAAGATCTGGTTGTGTAAAAGTGTGTAGCATCTTCCCCTTTGCTCTCTTCCTCCTCCTCCAGCCATGTAGGACGTGCCTGCTTCCCCTTCCCCTTTTGCCATGATTGTAAGTTTCCTGAGGCCTCTCCAGTCATGTTTCCTGTACAACCTACAGAACTGTGAGCCAATTAAACCTCTTTTCTTTATAAATTACCCAATCTCAAGTAGTTCTTTATAACAATTGAGAATGGACTAATACAGATACTGTCCAATTTTTTTTTTCTCTAGAGAGGGTGGAAGAGGAATGAATGCTGTTGCATTGGAGCCAGTGTGTGTGGTCAGTAAGGGGAGGATGAATCTCATCATCAGCTCTGATTAAATCCTGCAGAGGCCATAGGGGAGGATGATGTTGAGACTGATGTCCTGGAATGTCCTCAAATATCTACAGCTCTCCTGGATGCTTTAAGAATTGTCTCATCTGGAAGCAGGAGACTGAACTTACCCCTTCAGGAATCTATTCAGCTCTAATATTTTGTGATATTCATTCTACTATGAGGATCCCCCTTTTTCTTTTTCTTTTTTTTTTTTTTTTTTTTTTTGAGACAGAGTCTTGCTCTGTTGCCAGGCTGGAGTGCAGTGGTGCGATCTCGGCTCACTGCAACCTCCGCTTCCCAGGTTCAAGTGATTCTCCTGCCTCAGCCTCCTGAGTAGCTGGGACTACAGGCACGCACCACCATGCCCAGCTAAATTTTGTATTTTTAGTAGAGACTGGGTTTCACCATGTTGGCCAGGATGGTCTCCGTCTCCTGACCTCGTGATCTGACTGCCTCAGCCTCCCAAAGTGTTGGGATTACAGGTGTGAGCCACAGTGCCCAGCCAAGGATCCTTTTATATTTGCTAAAAAGTAAAGCCAAAGCATCTTTAGGAGGAGAAATTGTATCTTGGCTCCAATTAAAAGTTATCAGCATATATATAATACTATAGTATTTGCAATGCTCCTTATCCTTTTGAAGAAATAGTCATTTGACACCAGTGAACATTAATGACCTGAAGAAAAAACATCTTAAGTTTAGGTCTTGTTAATTTATAATTTGTAATTATCTGAAGTAAAGTAGATCTAGAAATTACATTTGCACCATCTTATGGAAAAAGCAAGGACTTGATGTAGTTGTGGAAACAGGTCTGCTGAAAGGTAGTTCACTTTTATCAAGTGCACTTTTAAATTATTCATAATAAACCTATAAATATAATATCCATCTCTTGCGCTGCCCTGGGATACATGTGTACTTTCTGTAAGCTGCCTTGACCCTTTTCCTCCATGTATTGGGAAACATTAACCTCCACCTTCTCCCATTACTTTCTGCACTTCTAATGCAGAGGTTGTCACATGACGTTAGTGACATAGTTTGTCTATGATTTGTTGCCACCCAAATCTCATGTGAATTGTAATCCTCATTGCTGGAGGTGGAACCTGGTGGGAGGTGTTTTTTTGGATCATGGGGGTGGATTCCTCATGGCTTGGTGCTGTCTTTACGACAGTGAGTTCTCATGAGATCTGGTCATTTAAAAGTGTGTGGCACCTACTCCCCAGCACTCTTTCTCTCTTGCTGCTGCTTTCACCATGTGACATGCCTGCTCCTGCTTCATCTTCTGCCATGATTGGAAGCTCCCTGAGGCCTCCCTAGAAGCTGGGCAGATGCTGGCTTCATGCCTCCTCTACAGCCTGCAGAACTGTGAGCCAATTAAACACCTTTACTTTATCAATTACCCAGCCTCAGGTATTTCTTTACAGCAATGCAAGAACGGCCTAACACAATTAGTAAGCTGTGTTTATGGGCCTGTCTCCCCATTAGATCCAGAGCTCCAGGATATCATGGGGCAGGACTTAGTACTCTCTCTATTACTGGCTTCAGGCCTAGTATCTTACATAAATTAGAAGTTCAGTCATTACATGTTGGATAGAAAAGTCGTTCTAAAAAATTGTTAATGATGAATTGTAGTATTATTCTTCTATCTAACTGAAGGCAAAATAACTCTACAGCAGAGTACTACAAACTGAAATGCTGTGTGTATATATAATGCATATATATGTATATGTGTGTGTGTGTGTGTATATATATACACACACATATATTATATATATACACACACTCACACATATATGGTGGCCAGGGTGAAAAACAAGAAAGGTTTATGTGGCCATGTGGCCCATGGTCCAGCCGAGGAAGGCATACCTTCCCTAAAGACCTTCTTAATTAAAAGACAAAGGAAGAATGAAAGCAAAGCATTAAGGCATCCATGAGCCACCTTGTGCATTCAAATTATATAAGAATGCAAGCTCCATGAGGCAGTCATTTGGTTTATTTTATTCACTGCTGTATCATTAGAACTTATAAGAAGTATTTCCTGTATGAATGATTGAAAGAATCAAGTGACTGAGTCAAATAAGACGTGTCTGTGGCTTGATTCAGCCCCTGGGAAAGCCAATGTATGACTTGTTTTAGAAAGCATCCTCTAATTCATCCTTTTCCCTAATTTGGACTGGCTTTATTCTTCTTCAATCTCTATCTCCATTAAAATCACAGAATTTTAGCACCAAGTAGGCCTCTGAAATTATTTCAATTAGTATCACTTGTTTCTGTTGGTCTTGGCTTGGCTCTATAACTTCTGATAATATTTGTTTCTTAAAAAGAAACCAACAAACCAAACAAAAAGTAGCCATGGAACCCTTTTAATGGGTTATTCCGGGAGTCATAGAGCTTCTTTGAAACTCTGGGGCCTTTGCTTTTTTAGCAGTGGGACGTTGAAAGACTACAGACTCTAAAACATTGATATTTACACTATTAAGTGGATGAATTAACTGAGTTTTCTGGTGTGGCATAGATTTAGTTTCAGTGTGGGTGGCACATTATTGTCAAAGCAGATTTCCATTCAATGTAACAATAAAAATACCCTGAGAGTTAAGCAAGATTGGATAATTGATAATATTAAGTAAATATTTTTAGGTGTGATGACAGTATTGTAGTTATGTTTTTAAAATATCTTGTCTCTTAATTATACATATTTAATTATTATAGGTGATATGACACTGGTGATATGGCTTGGTATTTACTTTCAAATAATCGAAGAAAAAATGGAAGTGGTGGAGTTAGTCCATTAATTAATCCATTCTCTCTACTTGCATATGTATTTAAATTTTTCCACTTTCAAAAAAGTAAAAACATCCAGAACAATATATTCAGATGCACCACTAGTGATCAGATTGTCAATTGGATCTATGTCTTAGCTTAGCTGCTGATTTCTATTATGAATCCTAATGATTCAGCAAGAATATGAGGTCATCATATTTAGCATCCTTACTTTATGGGGGTAAGAACTTGAGCTCAGAGACGTTAAGTATTTGTTCAAGGTTATGTTGGTTAGTCTCCCAGGTTTGTGACCATGAGTTGAGGTCTGGAGTTGAGTAGGAAGAGAATGTACTGAACCTAGCCTAGAAAACCTAGTTGAGTACCTGAGGCAAAGTAGAGCCAGCACATTTCTAGAGAGGAAAGGAGACAGTGAAAATGTTGCCATAGGAAGATGATCTAATATGCAGACCAGACATCAGCTGGGGAATCTGCCTCAGGCTTTATAGTTCTTCAGATCCAAGTCCCATTGACCTCTGATTCCAGAAGTAGCTGTGAATGTGGAAAGGAAGAACCTAGGAGACGGAGCAAGAACCCCCTCTTAGGAGCCTGTGCACCCCTCTCCCCCTGCCCCAAGCATAAAAATTAAGGAAATTCTTAAGTTCCTTCAAGGGTAATTTCAGAAACCTAGCTAGTCTTGAGAAGCAAATAAGTAACTTGTGGTGTTATGATATATGTTGGTTTTCGTCCACGGTTCCTGGCTCATAACTCCCATTGCTGTTGTTACAGTCTTTTATTATAATGGTGGGTGTTAGGCCTTAGGAAACAGAATCTCTCTGGCTTTCTCCTGCATTCCTTTCACCTGTACCAAGGCAGGACTCTAATCATCCTCTACCTTTCTAATTGTGGGTATTAAGACCCTCTGCAGAGAAGGTCCTGCCCTATATTCTGGAGGAAGGAATGCCGATGTGACAAAGCTTCCATAAAAACCCAAGAGCATTGGGTTCAGAGAGCTTCAGGACAGCTGAACACCTGGAAGTCCCTGGAGGGCAGCACCCGGGGAGGGCATGGAAGCTCCATACCCTGTTTCCTATACCTCGCCCTACGCATTTCTTCATCTGTCTCCTTTGTAATATGCTTTATAGTGTGTTGCCCTGAGTTCTGTGAGGCACTCTAGCAAATCAATTGAATCCAAAGAGGGGGTCCTGGGAACCTTAACTTGAAGCCAGTTGATCAGAAGCAAGTTCTGGAGGCCGGCACTTGCAACTGGTTTGTGTGTCAGGGGTTAGTCTTGGGGACTGAGAGCCCAACCTGTGGGATCTGACACTATCTCCAGGTAGAGTATGGGAACTGAATTGGAGGACACCCAGTTGGTGTCTGCAGCTTGGTGAGTGGGGAAAACTCCCACACATTTGGTCACAGAAGTCTTCTGTGTTGATGATGGTTGTTCTGGTGGTATGAGATGGAGGAAAAAGTTAGAGTTTTCCCTACAAATATCTTGATAAGCAAGAAGGTAATAGAAGCTTAAAACAATAAGCAAGGAAGTTATAGTCAGAGATATTTGATTCCCCTGTGGAAACTAAAGATAACCTCTAAATGTCACAGTAAGTAGCTGGTCGGACATGAGAGGTTGGGAGAGAGCTCCCCCGACTCCCACCAGGAACGTCCAGCAAACATTAGGTGATGGTCAGGAAGTTGTTAAGCTCTCCCTCTAAAATAATAATTGGTTGCAGCCAGCACCAAGGAAAGGCAGTCTCTCAACAGACAGAAAAACCTGAAGCTGGTGATCAGCTTTCTGATAAGATCTCAGGAGGTGGGTAAGTGGGCTTGAGCATGAGCACTAAGAGGCAAAATGGCAGCATTTAACTGATATATGACCTTCTAGGGACATTGTAAGGGAAGACCGCCTTCTAGGGACATTGGTAAGGGGAGAATGCCTCAAATGAGCATGTGTACAGCTCCAGTAAACACTGCACATGCGGCCCCTCCCAAGTGCTGGCAGGCCACTGTACATGCGGGCAGCCCGCTTCAAGGGAAGAATCAGGGGAGAAGGGACGCAAGTCCCCAGCAAGCCAACATATAAAACCCTATGCAAGTCAAAGGTCAAACCCTGCACTTGATCTCTCAAGTCACCCGCCTGGGCCTCTTCCAAGTACACTTTCCTTCTTTCTGTTCCAGCTCTAAGGCTTTTTAATAAACTTTCACTCCTGCTCTAAATCTTGCCTTAGTCTCCCTCTGCCTTATGTTCCTCGGTTAAATGCTTTCTTCTTAGGAGGCAAGAACTGAGGTTGCTGCAGACCCGTAGGATTCGCCGCCACTAACATTCTTTGGTGCCACGTGACTGGGATACGCTCCACTGCTAACATTAGCGAATGTCCCTGAGTTTTTTTTCAGAAACTGGGACCCACCCCGCCCCCCGGCAAACAAATCTGCTGCCTCATAGACCTCAGATAAGGGGGAACTGGAGACTGAACTCTAACATTCTTTGTTCTAAATTAACATCCTTAGGAACCTGGAGGAGGTCAGGCCCACAAGCCCAGCTAGCATTCTTTTCTACCGATTCCAAATTTTTTTTTTTTTTTTTTGAGATAGAGTCTCACTCAGCTGCTGAGGCTGGAGTGCAGTAGCACGATCTCGGCTCACCGCAACCACCATCTCCCGGGTTCAAGAGATTCTCTCATCTCAGCCTCCTGAGTAGCTGGGATTACAGGCACCCGCCAACATGCCTGGCTAATTTTTGTATTTTAGTAGAGACAGGGTTTCACCATGTTGGCCAGGCTGGTCTTGAACTCCTGATCTCAGGTGATCCGCCCTCCTCAGCCTCCCAAAGTGCTGGGATTACAGGTGTGAGCCACTGCGTCCAGCCGATTTCAAATCTTTGGACAAAATTTTACCTCCTTAGCCAACTGCAAGTCAGAAAATATTTGAATTTTCCTATTATCTGTGGGCCCGCACTTTAAGATGCCCCATCTTTTTAGGCCAAAACCAATGTGTAAACATCATATATTGATTCATAATTTTGCCAGTAATTTCTGCTTTCCTGAAATTTACCTCTGCTCTTAAACACCCTCACCTACAAGCCATCAAGGAGGTCAGGACTTAAGCATGAGCCACCTGGTCTTCCTTGCTTGGTGCCCTGCAAATAAACACCTGGCTGTTTCCCACTGCAAACCTCGGTGTGGATATCTGGTCTCACTGTGCTGGCCAAAAGGACCTCAGTTCTGCTCCACAACATCTGGGAGAACATGCTGAGGGCTTATCTACAGGCTTTGTGGTTCATTAGATTTACAGGACAAAGGAGAGGAGAAGAGAGTGGAAAGGATCCTTGTTCATGTAATCTCAATTACATTTGACCTCCTCAGAGGGAAGATAAGAACTAGCGGCTATGTGCTCAAATGCAGGCAAAGAGAAAACCAACAATATCCTCATAGAAATGAATATAATAATTCATTCAAACCTCATACACCTGTTATGTGCACATAGTACCAAAATTGTACTTGCTTAAAAATAAATAGATGTTACTTATCAACAACACAAAATTAAATATTATATGTACACGTGCTGGCTGAACAACAGCTGTGTTTTGCTGCTTTCAACTAGAGCACAGCAGGCATTTTTCCACACCATTTCAGTTCTAAGGAAAAAAATCCATAGACACAGCAGGGAAAATGGACAGTAAGCCACATGTTTGCACTGACTTTGAAAAAGCCTGGCTTTTAAAGAACCAGAGAAATTAAGATGGAGACATATATTCCCATTCATGTTACCCCCTGATTACTTACAAGGAGTAGAAATAAATGTGTCCAGGATTATACCCTAAAAGCTTTCCCTAATGTTGTATCATGCCTTCAAAATGGGCCAGTCTGTATTTTCAAATATTATTTAGTTAAAAAAATTTGACTTTGGAGTCAGTGAGGTTAGATTGAATTTCAAGCTAGATGAGCAGAGGTAAATTACTTGAAGCCTGTGGTTTCTGATTGTATAATAGGAAGATATTATCCACCTTGCAGGTACTATGAGTGCCTAACAGGCCCCTACTTTAATGTTCCAAATCATGAAATAATTTTTTAAAACTCCAGAGGTCAAGGTGGTTTGCTTTTGAAACATGAGGAATATCGATATGTAGGTTTCATGTGAGAACATACATCCTTGGACTCTATGCCAGGGTCAGTGCCTGCAAGACGGATGGATGCTCAGTAATGCCTAAGTGCCTTGGTTAAAAGAAAAATAAAATTATTTGTGCAGTTATTTGTATCATCAGTTGATGAACTCCATTCCTCTTCTATTACATTCCAGGGATCCAAATCTTGAGAACACATCCTTAAGTATATCTTTTCTGAGAAGCAGAGGTTAATATCAACTGCTGAAAATACATGCAGGCATAAGGCTAAATGTACTAACCATGCCAAAATATGATGTGATTGGCAGGAGAGCAATAATACACAAATATTTCTTGAAATACCCATTTCCTTTCAAATAGAAGGTTTATTTTTCTTTCATGCTTTCCTCAAACAGAAACCCTCAAGCCTTGTTATGTTCCAATGCCACAAGCAAAATGTACAGTTAGAAACCACCGGATCTAGCAGGGCCAGCCTGCCATTGTTATTTTGCAGAGGGAAGGGTAATATTCTCAGGAAGCTTTGTTCCAACAATATAATAAAGGCTACACGTTGTGAGTATTATCTGTGGCAGGCAGAATGACTCCCCAAAGAAATGCCCATGCCCTATTCCGTGGAACAGAATATATTACATTGCACGGAAGGAGGAAGTTGATAGATGAGAAAATATTCACAGACTTTAAGATAGGGAGATTTCCCTGGCTTATTGGGATGGGCTCAATCTCATCATATAACCCTTAAAAGCAGAAAATTTCTCAGCAGAAGAGTTAAGGCAGAAGGAGAAATCAGAGAGATTCCAAACATGAGAAGGACTCCATCTGCTGCTGTTGGTTTGAAGATGGAGGGGGCAACTAGATAAGGAAGGCCTGCAGGAGCTGAGAACAGCTCCCAGCTGACAGCCCACAAAAAAAAATAAAAAGAGGCCTCAACCCTATAACCAGAAAGATTGATTTCTGCCAACAATCTGAATAAACCTGGAAGTGAATCATCTCCCAGAGCCTCCACATAAAAGCCCTGCCAGATAACACCTTGAGTTCAGCCTTTTGAGACATGAACAAAAGACCCGGCCAACACTATCTGCGCTTCTGACCCACAGAACAGGAGGATAATACATTTATGCTGTTATAAGCCTCTAGGAATATGCTAATTTGTTACAGCAACAATAGAGAACTACAATAGAAAAAGAGTGAAAATACAATACAGAATCCTGGAAAACTAGGCTTGGAGAGTGGGATCCTATTAGCAGCAGAAGTGGACACTCCTCAGGAGGCTGAAGTAGGGGAATCGCTTGAACCTGGGAGGTGGAGGTTGCAGTGAGCCGAGATCGCGCCACTGCCCTCCAGCCTGGTGACAGAGCAAGACTCTGTCTCAAAAAAACAACACAAAACAAAAAAACAAAGAAGTGGACACTCCTTTAGAGGGATCTGAATAACTTATGAAGAAGACACCAGAGACACAAAAATGGTCCAGCAGTTTTGGAAATACTTTTGGAAAATATGAAGCTTGTTGCTGGTGGTGAGTGTGAATGTGTGTGTGTGTGTGTAAAGAAAGGCTTCAAAACTGGAATTAAAACATAGAATATTTGAAATAACAATTTCTGGTTTTGAATACCTTTTCTAAAGGTAAAGTCACATTTTTAAATAAGTCTTTATAATAAGCATGTATTTGAATGTGCAATTTAATTTAAGTAAACTAATTACACATTTATAAGTTGAATTCATTTTTAAAATGGTTTAATTTTTGCAACAATCAAAGTGACAATGTTCTGAACTTTATGTAATCAACATTTCAAGATTTAGCAAACATTTCTTGAATGCATATGTGCATGTATTTATGTGTGTGAGTGTAGAGTGGGATGTCTAAATGGTGTGAGCAAATGGTACCAGGGTATACAGCAAAGCTGCTTGAAGCCACCAAAACCATCGAGTATTTTCATTCCTCGATGAAATACTGTTTAATCTGTGCTTTGAACGTGAGATAATCCTGAAGGTAGAGGGTGGGGAGTGTACTTTGTAAAGGCTGGGGCCACAGAATTCTAGGGAGTAACATCTGTAAAGTCATAGAGGTACATATGAGGATGGCTTGTTGAGGTGATACGGAAACACTGTGAACTTTCTTCTGGGGTCTCCCCTGTAAGAGGCTGCTCCCTCTCTGGTACCCTGCCCAGCAATTTCATTCTAGCTATTTCAGCAGCTTTGAACTCTGATCTGATTCCTAAGCTCATTAGGCCTATGATGTTCTCTACTTCCTCTATACCTCCCTGGGCTACAGTTAGGAGACTGTCCCTGAGCAGATTGCTGGATGAAGGTGAGGCCCACCATACGTTTATTTATTTATTTTTATTTTATTTTGAGACAGGGTCTCACTCTGTCACCCCAGCTGGAGTGCAGAGATGCAATCACAGCTCACTGCAGCCTCGACCTCCTCAGGCTCAGGTGATCCTCCCACCTCAGCCTCCCAAGTAGCTGGGACTACAGGTGCACACCACCATGCCTGGATAATTTTTGTGTTTTTTGTAGAGATAGGGTTGTGCTATGTGGCCCAGTCTGATCGCCAGCTCCTGGACTCAAATGATCTGCCTGCCTCGGCCTCCCAAAGTACTAGAATTATAGGTGTGAGCCACTGGCTCAGCCCCACATGTATTTTATTCTCTAAATCAGGCATCCCTAATGCCCAGACCATGGACCAGCACCAGTCCATGGCCTGTTATGAACTGGGACACACAGTAGGAAGTGAGTGGCAGGTGAACAAGTGAAGCTTTATCTGTATTTACAGCTGCTCCTGATTGCTGGCTCTGCCTCCTTTCAGATCAACGGTGGCATTAGATTCTCATAGGAATGCAAACCTTCTTGTGAACTGCACATGCGAGGGATCTAGGTTGCCTGCTCCTTGTGAGAATCTAATGCATGATGATCTGTCACTGTCTCCCATTGCCCTCAGATGGGACTGTCTAGCTGCAGGAAAACAAGCTCAGGGCTCCAACTGATTCTACATTATGATGAGTTGAATAATTGTTTCATTATGTGTTACAATGTAATAATAATACAAATAAAGTGCACAATAAATATAATGTGCTTGAATCATCCTGAAATCATCCCCTCACCCACCCCATCTGTGAAGGATTGTCTTCGACAAAATGAGTCCCTGGTGCCAAAAAGGCTGGGAGTGCCACTCTAAACGATGATGCTCTTGCACTCCCTATTAACCAATGCCTAAAAACAGTCACCTCAAAACTGTTTGTTTATTTATTTATTTATTTATTTATTTATTCATTCATTCCAGATGGTGTCTCATTCTGTCGCCCAGGCTGGAGTGCAGTGGTGCTATCCCAGCTTACTGCAACCTCTGCCTCCCGGGTTCAAGCAATTCTTCTGCCTCAGCCTCCTGAGTAGATTAGCTGGGATTACAGGCGCATGCCACCATGCCCAGCTGATTCTGTATTTTTAGTAGAGACAGAGTTTCACCATGTTGGCCAGGCTGGTCTCGAGCTCCCCACCTCAGGTGATCCACCTGCGTCAGCCTCCCAAAGTGCTGGGATTACAGGCATGAGCCACTGCACCTGGCCAAAACTGTTTTATGTTTATATATATATATATATATATATATATATATATATATATTTATAGTGAGAAGGCTAGTCTGGTACCAGTTAATTTCTTAAAATAAGAAGCTGAAGCCAAACGTTTTTGAGTAAAATGATGACATGATGAAATTTCTATTTTAAAAAAGTAGCAATTATACCAAAGAGAAAGGGAGAGGATAATGCTTATTGGGATGATGTTTAGTGGATAGAATTATCGATTTAATTGAGGGTGAGGGAATTGGAGGAATTCAGAATGACAATGAGAATTTTAGCAGAAAATTTTGTATACAAAGCGGAAAATCCCAAAATAAGAGCAAGTTTCATTTGGTAGAGGAGATGACTGTGATTGGAAAAATCTCAAAAATGGATACAAATTTCCTTTCTACCACCTTTTCTGATCTTGTCACTTTGGCTTAGGGAGATGATTATACTACATGCTGTTGAGTGTCTGAGATGTTTCACAAGCAAACATTTTGACTAAAATTATCCAACATTGCAACAAAATCATTAAATTTCCACTTAGAAATCTGCAGAACAAATTCCATTAAGTCATTTAAATTCTGAATCAGTGTTCTATACAGGTCACTCAAGCTGTTTTAAATATTTTCCACTTTCATTTTCACTGGGATCCATTATTTTCCCTGTAAATTTTTACAATAAGGATCTTTTTTATTGATGGTTTTGGTTTCTAGAAAATATGATGAGTTATAAATTTTGCTATGTGCATTTTAATGTGGGGTTATTATTTCTCATAAGTTCAATTCTTCTAGGTAACATTTTACAAGTCTACATTCTGTCAATATTGTTTCTTCTCTCAGTTGAAATGACTATTTAATTTTATCAGTTAGAGGATTTTTTTCCTGTCATCTTTACGTTGGTTTAATATTTTGCTACTAATGTTATTATGTACTGGATAAAAGACTAATAATTTATATTCATGTCATAGCTAATCCATGAAAAAATGGAAAATAATTGCAGCATCACTGTATTATTTAAACTCTTTGCCTGAATCAAAATTACTTTTTCAACTTTTAGGTATTTCAGTTATCCTGGCCTTGTTCTCCCTTAAGTAGGGCTGCATATAATTTTATCCTCTTCGGGGCTAGAGTTTCTCAATTTCACCAATTAGCTTCAGATTGCAGGACACCTGCTTTGGAATTTGCTTGCACAGATAAAATGCAACTGGGAAAATTTTTAAAGTCACTTCGTCTTGGTTGATCTTTCATATACTGACTAGACCTGGAGAAGAAAACAAACAAATTGCTAAGTCCCAAGATACCATGGAAGTCATAAATGAGTATATTTGGAACAACATAAGATTAACTGAAGCCATCTGGCATGTTGACTGCTGACTGTTGAAAGCACAACAGGTCAAAATGAACCCAGATTTGAAATTGGCAGGGTTAAAACATTTTGCTTCACTCAGAAACTATTTCTAGATTCCAAGAAATTAAGAAAAACTAATTTCTCACCTCTAGAGTTATAAAGATAATATAATGTTCTAGAATGGGCATCCTGAAAAGGCAAACTTTATGGCCACAAATGCATTTTTCCCTGAAAATTGGTCAATTAAAAATGCAAATAGCAGCCAAACTCTTGGATATAGCTTTGCAGCTTTCCCCACCATCAACTTTCTTAAATGCGTCACATTTTCTGAGAATTTACTTTCAACAATGGCTGAGGCATCATTTTAAGTCTCAGTCTTATGAAAACAAAGATTTTCCTGAAACAGGGTTATCTTTTTAACTGTGTAGTGTATTTCTTGATATGGTGTGTTTCCAAAATCATCCAACTTCTTCAATGTGGTATAGAAATCAAAAAGAAAGAGAGAAAACAGTGTCTGAAGAAAATATTGCTGCCTGTGTGATCCAGGGTTTTGCCCCTATTGATGCAAAGGGTTGAGTGCAGTGGGAGCCAGGTGGCTCGATAACAGGAACGCAGCCTGCATTTCTGAAATATGTTTTATATTTCCAAAACTAAATCTAAGTGCACTGCTAGCTGTGCAGGTCTAGGAAGTGTCATTATGTTTCTGCCTTTTAATTTTTTAACCAGAATATTTGTAACAGGAAAACTCAGAACACACAATGCTACTACTACTCTGTATACATACATAGGGAATCTTATAGTTCAAGCCTCATTGTCAAAGTCATCACTTCCTTTAACCCCTTCTACAAGAGCTCTTTGTTAGCTATTAGGATTCCTGCTTAGGATGAAGAAGTGGTTAAGCACAACGAGGACCAGATTTTCTCAGCCATTCTTTTAACAACTGTACTGTTCCATCTGGCTTGCAATCTCTATCTCTTCATCTAAAATTATTATAATTTCCAATTTTTTTCAGCAATTTTTTTAACAGATTTTTTTTTTACAATTTATTTTATTTTATTTTTATTTTTATTTTTTGAGACAGAGTCTCACTTTGTCAACCAGGCAATCATGCAGTGGCACAATTTTGGCTCACTATAACCTCCGCCTCCCAGGTTCAAAGGATTCTCTAATTCTCCTACCTCAGCCTCCTGAGTAGCTGGGATTACAGGTGCCCGCCACCATGCTTGGCTGATTTTTGTATTATTATTATTTTTTTTTTTTAGTAGAGACGAGGTTTCACCATGTTGGCCAGGCTGGTCTTGAACTCTTGACTTCAAATGATCTGCCTGCCTCAGCCTCCCAAAGTGCTGGGATTATGATGGGGAGCCACCGCACCTGGCATTTTTCACGAATTTTCATTGCTTATTTTAAATAATGAATGCTATACACTGAATGTTTGTGTCCCCCAAATTCATATGTTAAATCCTAGTCTCCAAAATGTGATGGTGTTAGGAGGTGGGGACTTTGGGAGGTGATCAGGCATGAAGGTGGAATCCTTATGAATGGGATTTGTGTCCTTATAAAAGAGACTCCAGAGAGCTTTTCTGCCCCTTGTGTCATCTGAGGTTATAACAAGAAGACAGTCATCTGTGAACAAGGAGACTGGTACTAAATATTCTGGCACTTCGAATTTTGAATTTTCTAGGAATTCCCAGCCTCTTGACTGGTGGGAAATAAATCTCTATTGCTTATAAGCCACTGTTGTGACTTTTATTGTTATGTTTTCTTTCTAATGTTGTCTTGAGGTCTCTCTTGAGAGTGGCCATAAGCCCAGATAGCCACTTTCTGGGAGAGCCCTGACCAGGGGATGGTTAGGATTTGGGTGTGCCGGTCAGGTGAGATTCGAGGAGGTGTGGTGAAATAAAAATGCATGAAACAGGAGAAATTCATTGCTTACAGGTCCTGGAGAGGACAGGCGTGCTGATGGGAGACTGATGCGAAGTCTGTAGGTTGTGGGGAGCTCAACCAGTGGGTGAGGGAGAGAAATACTGAGAGAGAGAGAGAGAGACAGAGAGAGACAGAGAGACAGAGAGAGAGAGAGACAGAGAGAGAGAGAGAATGAGCTGGGACATGCCTGTATTAGTGTTCCATGGGCATTATTCTGAGGCTTTCCCTTGATGGTTGTGGATTGAGCAGTTTAAAGAAAATGGCCGCAAAGCAGGGAGCTTATTAACATAACTGTGGCATTGACCATTAGGTTTTCTCTTGGTCAGAAGCTATGGAGTGTTTGGAACTTGATTCAGATGAGGAACAAGTGGACCCTATGGCAGACAATCACACAGGGAGGGGATGTTTTAATTAGGCCAAAGGTGTTGGGATACAAGTGGGTGTCAAAAAATTTATGTCAGGCCTAAAGATGCATGCGGAGGCAGCAACTGTATTAAACAAATTCAGGACAGCTACCCAGTCTTTGGTAGTTTGTTAGAACAGCCCAAACAAACGGAGACAGTGAATATCACGCCTCCTTGAATCTGTGTTATGGGAAGGGTATACTGATCAGCAGCAATACAAAGGTAGGTGTTTTCCACATCCTGTCTTACCAGTGAGAATGCCGTCAAGCCTTTACTGCTCACTGTGCGCTCCTCTCTGACCCAGTTCCGTCTCTATCCATTCCGCACCCCACATGACCGCCACCCTGAAGTTTCTGTCTATCATCATGTCCTAACTTTTCTCTGTAGTTTATTTGCTGATGAATATATCTATGGCTAATATTCAATGTTTAAGTGCCAGTATGCCTGTTTGTAAAATATTAAAATACTTCCTGACCAGTTAGTAAACAGTCACATCCCAAACCCTGGAGGACCCACCCGCCCTGGCTGTTCAAACCTATTGTTTGGGCCCTTCTGGACCTTCCCATGATCCAGAAGGTAAAAGGTTTCTTCCTGGCACAATCAAGCACCTCCAGGAACCTTCTCCAGCACTATGGCCGGCATCTATTCTGTCTGGTCAATGCCCACATGGTACCATTCATTAAATATTTTGAGGATCCCCCTTCAAAATATTCTCAAATAATGTATTGTTTAGATTTTTGTGGCTTTTGAAATTGTTTGGTTGTTTTTAAATGGCTGTAGTTAATTGTCATTTGTGTCTACTATTCCATTGTATGACTATTTCAAAATCTACTTACTGTAGTAAATATTTGTGTTGTTTATAATTATTTGATAATATGACAACTTCTATGAATATTTTTATATGTTTCCTGGTGCACCTGTGTAAAGGTCTTTCTAGGTAAGTGAGTCTGGGAGATCGATAGGTTAGTGGGTTTGTGGGTCTTCATATTGGCTTGAAAATGTTGTTATTTTTCAAAATGGTTGTAACAATTTACACTCTCATCAGTATCACCAAATACTTCCTATTACCCACATCACTACCAACACTTTATATTACCAGGCTTTTAAATGTGGGCCAAATTGGTAGGTGGAAATGATATCTTATTGGATTTTAAGCATTTCCCTGATTACTGGTGAGATCAAATATTTTTACATGTTTATTTCTCATCCATGCATTCTCTTCTTTGAAGTTCATATTCAAGTGTTTTGCTCATTTTACTAGAGTATTTTTGTTCTTTTTGTTATCAATTTGCAGGATTTCTTGATATGTTCTTGATACAAATTTTTTCTGTTACGTGTTACAGTCATTAGCTCAAGGTTTTCAATTTGTCATTTCCCTTTCTTTATGGTATCCTTTGAGGAACAGAAGGTTTTTAATTTTAATATGGTCAAAGTTATTGATGTTTCCCTTTTAAAAATTTGTTGAGTGTGTATATGATGTTCTTCCCTGACTTTAAAATATACAAACTTTTTTTTGTGTTACCTTCTAAGAGTTTTCTATTTTTACTTTTCCCACTTAGATCTTTAAGCAACCTATATATTTTTAATATGATGTGAGGTAGGAATGCAATGTTATCTTATTTTTTCCAATACAGATAGATAATTGTTCCAGCATTATTCATTTTTACTTTCTTGTCTTACTGGTCTTAGTTGCCACATCTGTCAAAACTGAAATTTCAGTAAGTATTTTTTCTGGGTTCCTTTTCTCTCCTCCAGTGGTTTATATACTTTAATGTCTTAATAGCTATACCTTCATAGTAATTATAAACACCCAGATTGACAGGTATCAGAGCATTATCCTTTCATCTTTACAGATCATTTAAAAATCAGCTTTACTGAGGTGTAATTTACATATAGTAAAATACACTAATTTAAGGTACATAATTCAGTAACTTCTGACTCTGCAGATACCTGTGTAACAACCATCATAATATTTATGAAACCACTGTTTTTAGACTTGGACAACAAGCATCCCAGGACTATGCCCTCAAGAGAAGAGATCACACCAGAGAAGTGTTAATGACTGCTCTGGCTTTCTGCCTAGAGGCACTTTCAGGAACATGGGAATGTGGTGTACGTATGGAGAACCCAAGCAGATTACAACAATCTTGCTGAATTAAGAAAACAGAGACCGGGATTCAAGAATGTGGAGGCAGCTGTAATTTTTAGGACAGAGTACTGAAGAGGAGGGAGCTACATAGAGAAAGCTCCAGAAAACTGTGTAAAGCTCTTCATGAGTTTGTCACCAAATATCAAACCAAACATGTAAGCTAAGCAATTCCAAGAGCCCCACAGGACTAGGGACAGAACTCTGACCAGACAGAGTAGAAAGATATCACCGAACACCTGGGGCATTCAGTAGAGCTCCAGAAGGGCCACAGCTTAGTGGTATGTCTGTGTCTAAGACTATTTAAGATAAAACAACAAAATTTAGCTCTCAATAATGTAACACACTGAACAGCATGCAATAAAAAAGTACTAAATATGCAAAGAGCGGAAAATGTAACACATAGGAGGAAATTTTAACATAGAAACAACCCAGGAATAACAGAGTTGATAGGATTAACACACAGGAATTTTAAAATGTTGTTTTAAATATGCTTAAGAATGTGATAGAAAACATAAACAGTACAAAGAGAGAAATGAAAAACAGAAAATATAAAACTTGTAAAAATGAAAAATACAATGAAATAATTATATTGTACGAGATTAGCAGATCAGACACTTTTGAAGAAAGGGTGTTTTGTGGTTAGAGATTCTCAGGATTTCTCTCTGCCCTACCCCAATATTGAGATGGGCAAGTTTCCTTGTTTTCCCCTTCTGTAAGGTATGCATTTTTAATTCATCTGATATGGTCTGACTTTTTGTTCCTACTCAAATCTCATCTTGAATTGTAATCTGAATTGTAATCCCTATGTGTTGTGGGAGGGACCTCGTGGGAGGTGATTGAATCATGGGTGTGGTTCTCCCATGCTGTTCTCATGATATTGAGTGAGTAATCATGAGATCTGATGGTTTTATAAGGGAGTCTCCCCTCTTCACTCTGCACTTTTCTCTCCTGCTACCTTGTGAAGAAGGACATGTTTGCTTCCCCTTCTGCCATGATTAGAAGTTTCCTGAGGCCTCCCCAGCCACCTGGATCTGTGAGTAAATTAAACCTCTTTTCTTTTAAATTACCTAGTCTCAGGTATTTCTTTATAGCTGTGTTAAAACAGACTAATACAGTAAATTGGCACTGAAGTAGTGGGGCACTGCTATAAAGATACTTGAAAATGTGGAAATGACTTTGGAACTGGGTAATAGGCAGAGGTTGGAACAGTTTGGAGGTCTCAGAAGAAGATAGGAAGATATGGGAAACTTTGGGACTTCCTAGAGACTTGTTGAATGGTTTTGACCACAATGCTGATAGTGATACGGACAATGAAGTCCAGCCAGATAGGGGCTCTGATGGAGATAAGGAACTTGTTGGGAGCTGGAACAAAGGTCACTCTTTAGCAAAGAGACTAGTGGCATTTTGTCCCTGCCCTAGAGATCTATGGAACTTTGAACTTGAGAAAGATGTTTTAGGGTATCTGGCAGAAGAAATTTCTATGCAGCAAAGCATTCGAGAGCTCACCTGGTTGATTCTGAGAGCTTTTAGTTATATACACTCACAAAGAGATGGTTCGAAGTTAGAACTTATATTTAAAGGATAAGCAGAGTGTAAAAGTTTGGAAAATTTGCAGTCTGATCACGTAGTAGGAAAGAAATACCTGTTCTCTGGGGAGGAATTCAAGCCAGCTGCAGAAATTTGCATGAGGAGCTGAATGTTAATAGCCAATATGATGGGGATAATGTCTCCAGGGCATGTCAGAGACCTTTAGGGCAGGCCCTCCCATTATAGGCCTGGAGGCTTAGGGGGAAATAATGGTTTCATGGGTCATGCCCAGGGCCCTGTTCCTGCTCTGTGCAGCTGCAGGAGTTGGTGCCTTGCTTCCTGGCCACTCCAGCCATGGCTAAAAAAGACCAGGGTACAGCTCAGGCCATTGCCTCAGAGAATGCAACCCCCACGCCTTGGCAGCATCCACGTGGTGTTGGGCCTGCAGGTGCACATAAGTCAAGAATTGAGGTTTGGGAACTTTCACCTACATTTCAGAGGATATATGGAAATGCCTGGATGTCCAGGCAGAAGTTTGCCACAGGGGTGGAGCCCTCATCGAGAACCTCGGCTAGGGCAGTGTGGAAGGAAAATGTGGGGTCGAAGCCCCCACACAGAGTCCCCACTGGGCCACTGCCTAGTAGAGCTGTGAGAAGAGGGCTACCTCCTTCCAGACTCCAGAATGGTAGATCCACTGACAGCTTGCTCCCGGATGTGAGACATGGAATCAAAGGAGATTATGTTGGAGCTTTAAGATTTAATGAGTGCCCTCCTGGATTTAGGGTTTGCATGGGGCCTGTAGCTCCTTTGTTTTGTCCAATTTCTTCCATTTGGAATGGGAACATTTATCCAATACTGGCACCCCCAGTGTATCTAGGAAGTAACTAACTTGCTTTTGATTTTAAAGGCCCCTAGTCAGAAGGGACTTACCTTGTCTCAGATGAGACTTCGGACATGGACTTTTGAGTTAATGCTAGAATGAGTTAAGACTGAAGAACTATTGGGGAAGCATGATTTTGTTTTGAAATGTGAGAAAGATGAGACCTAGGAGGGGCCATGGTAGGACTGATATGGTCTGGATCTGTGTCCCCACCCAGACCTTATCTTGAATTATAATCTAAATTGTAATCCCTACATGTTGAGGGAGGGACCTCATTGGAGGTGATTGCATCATGGGCCGTTTCCCCCATGCTGTTCTCATAATAGTGAGTGAGTTCTCATGAGTTCTGATGGTTTTATAAGGGGCTCTTCCCTCTTTGCTCTGAACTTTTCTCTCATGCTGCTTTGTGAAGAAGGACATGTTTGCTTCCCCTTCCACCATGGTTGTAAGTTTCCTAAGGCCTTCCCAGACATGCAGAACTGTGAGTCAATCAAACCTCTTTTCTTTATAAGTTACCCAATCTCAGATATTTCTTTAGAGTGGTGTGAAAATGGACTAATATATTATCCTAAGAGAAAGCATACTTATCTAGTATTCTATATTTACATTGAGATGTTCTATTTGTTTCTGTGCCTTGGGGGAGTTCTCAACTTTATTGCCTGCTGTTGCCACCTTATGCCTCAAAACAAAGGCTCAAATTACCATGGTGTGACTTCTATGCTTTTATGCAAAAGCAAATTTTAATGCTTGCTTACCTCCCAAAGTTTATTTTTTCACAATATTTTTAGCATGTGTGCATTCTTTACTTTCTTGCCAGGTTCGTGATTCCTTTGAAAACCTTGTCTTAAACATTGTTTTCATCAGTTTGAGTTATTTTTGCATGATAAACACTCACGGTGTCTGTATTAGTCTATTTTAACATTGCTGATAAAGACATACCCAAGACTGGGTAATTCATAAAGAAAAGAGATTTAATTGACTTACAGTTCCACCTGGCTGGGGAAGCCTCACAATCATGGTGGAAGGCAAGGAGGGGCAAGTCACATCTTACATGGAGGCAGGGAAGAGAGAAAATGAGAACCAAGTGAAAGGGCTTTCCCATTATAAAACCATCACATCTCATGAGACTTATTCACTACCATAAGAACAGTTTGGGGGAAACCACCCCCATGATTCAATTATCTCCCACTGGGTCCCTCCTATGACAGACACATGGGGATTATGGAAGCTACAACTCAAGATGAGATTTGGGTGGGGACACAGCCAAACCATATCAGTATCTAATTGATCATACTGTCAGAAATATAAAAACTATGATAGTTTTTTCAAAGAGCACCTACTACATTGTCATTCCACCATGTGAAACATTTAATCTCTACATTGTAGTGTTACATTATTTTCCTTTGTCTAACGTAAGCTGTGGTCACTCCACTGCACTGGGTCCTTCGGATGTCCAGGAACAAAGGTGTATTTAACTTCTGTACCACAAAGCAGCTGATTTCAGGCATGTGAACACAACATAGAATTATCCCAAGAAAAAATGATGGTTTTACTAACTTGGTGATAAGAGACTATGACATTCTGAGCCAATACACAGGGCAGAGGAGCACAGAGAGGCAGCATATTCATGGGCAGAGCACTATGACAGGCCTCTAGTGTCAGAAGACTAGGTTTACACTTGGCCACTGATATGGTTAGGCTTTGTGTCCCCACCCAGAATTTTATGTTGAATTATAATCCTCATAATCCCCACAATCCCCATGTGTCAAGGGAGAGACCAGGTGGAGATAACTGAATCATGGGGATGGTTTCCCCTATGTTGCTCTTGTGACAGTGAGTGAGTTCTCATGAGATCTGATGCTTTTATAAGGGGGTCTTCCTTCTTTGCTTGGCCCTTCTCCTTTCTGCCACCTTGTGAAGAGGATACCTTGCTTCCCCTTTACCTTCCACTGTGATTGTAAGTCTCCTGAGTCTTCTCCAGCCGTGCTGAACTGTGGGTCAATTAAACCTCTTTTTGTTATAAATTACCGAGTCTCAGGCAGTTCTTTATAGCACTATGAAAATAGACTAATACAGCCACCTACTGTGCATGACATTTTGCCCCAGATGATTAGCATTTCTGAATCTCAATTATCTCATTAACAAAGAAGTAAAGAATCATATACATGAAAACTCACTGGCATAATACCTTATAATTCATGTAATATCAGTTATTTTTGTATACCAGGTGTGACCAATGTCATTCACATGGGATTTAAATGAGATCTTTTAAATTTTTTTGAATTAAAACCTGTTCATGATCTCATGTGCCAAATTAGTAGAGAGTAAAATACTTGTCTCTTGTGAATTCTTTCTTCCCTAAATTTTCCATGAAACGTATGGGCTTAGTCCAAAGATGTTACTCTTCCCTCTAACTGCCATGTAGTGAGACAACTGATGAAATAGAGCAGGTCTCAAGTTTTCAGCTGCCATGGCTTCTGTTTTGTCCTAGTGTCACTGTATAAAACTGCCTCTGTATTGTCCAGTGCAGCTTTCCCTGTTATTGGAATGTCCAGATCCCTGCTGTATCCACTGCTGGTCTTTGAGAGAGGACAAAAACACTTTCATAACATCAGCCTCAGCCAACTGTACTTGTGCTTGGTATCTGAGATTAATAGTTTCTGCAAACAACCTAAGCCACATGGCTGCAGCATTGGCAGCAACACACCCTGTCAGGACCTACTGTCACATCCTTTTGCCTTTCCTTACCTGATTTTTAAGAATCATGACAAAAGAAATTTTTTTCCAAGGTGAAAAGCTGTTTCTTTTCAGGAAAACAACTGGTGCATTCCAAATCACATACTTTTCAAGAACATTCCATCCAACCAGGAGTTCAGCTGCACCATTATGTATGTAGTCATATTGATGGTGGAAAGAAAATAAAGAGGGACAGATAGGGAGGTATTCTTTTTTGTTTCTTGAGACAGTGTCTTGCTGTGTCATCTAGGCTGGAGTGCAGTGGTGCAATCTTGGCTCACTGCAACCTCCGCCTCCTGGGTTCAAGCAATTCTTGTGCCTCAGCCTCCCAAGAAGCTGGGATTACAGGTGCATGCCACCACACTCAGCTAATTTTTGTATTTTTAGTGGAGATGGAGTTTTGCCATGTTGGCCAGGCTGGTCTCGAACTCCTGGCCTCAAGCAATCCACCCACCTTGGCCTCCCAAAGAGCTTGAAGTACAGGTGTGAACCACCATGTCTAGTCAGATAGGGAGGTATTCTAATTACATTAACAATTTCTCTAGGTTCTTACAGACTACTTGAACTGCGTTTCCATGGGACATTCACAAGTGATTACATCTGAAAATCCCTTAGGGAAATCCCCTTGGTAGGTAGGGTCTGAGACCCATGACACCATCATGTAATACTCTCTTTCTTTTAAGAAGAGTAGAGATTAATGGACCATGGTGGTTATTCTCAGTAAAAGGACCTCAAGGTCTATGTGTACTTTATTGAAAGGTTGCATTTTGAGATGGGCTGGTGAACACGGAATATGATTATAACTTACTACTTAATGCTATCTAGAAACCATGCTAGCTTGATTTTAAGGCTCTTATAAAATTAGAAAAAAAATTATTTTTCTTTGTTTCAAAAAAAATTTTTAGAAAGATATGTTGGTTGTGGGTCCACAATTTCTACTTTGAGTGAATTAATAAAAGGGGCAAGAACGCCTCCATCCCCTTCTCTTTTTCCTGCAACTTAATATTAGGAACTGTAGGGGGAAACACCCTCTATTTTCTACCCATATCCCTAAATGATTCATGTCAGTATTTTGCGTAGTACAAGAATCCTATTTTCAGTGGACTAGAAGTAACAATTCTTGGCATATTACTCACAGTAGACTAACTGCTGTAAAAACAACCTCCAAGTCTCAACAGCTTAACACAAGGCAAGTTTCTATCTCTCTTTCATCATATTGATGAAGGGCAGAAGTCTCTGGAACCCAGGGCATTTTGATTTTACCCTTTTCTAGATGCTGAGATTGAGAGTCTTCTTCATTCGGTTGGCTGATGAGGAGAGAGAGAGAGACAGAGGCAGAGAGACAGAGAGAGAAAGAGAGAGAGAGAGAGAGAGAGAGAGAGAGAGAGATGGGTGACGGGATGATATTTCATGGGCCCTTCCTGCAAAGGAATGAACATCATTTCTACTCATATTCCACTGCCAGCACTTATCCATATTGCCACATGTAAGTGCAAAGGAAGCTGGGATATGCAGCTTTGATATATGGCCAGAAAAAGGAGCACATGGAGATTGATGGGCACTTAAAATCTCTGCCACAGTTCACCAATTTAATCACCAAATACTATATCCATTGCATTTTTCTTCACACTCACCCCTCTCAAGGTGAGACAATATAAATTCTATCAAACTAATTCAACGATATCCAGCTCAAAGTCCAGGATCTCTGGGGTGTATGCAGTTTCCTCCTTCAGATCTTACTCGCACGTCTTGTGGCTTGGCAACCTAAAAACCAGGGGAAAGACATCTGCCCAACCCACACCCAAAGTTTAATAATAGATCAAGGTTAGGATATAATGATTGTTACTTAAAAATGGGAGAAACACATCTAACACTGATGCATAGCATTTGTAAAATCCCACTAAAACAAGCACCATGAAGGTGTTCTACTATGGAAGCAGAGGAAGTTTCTTTCGTGAACCTTGATTCTGCTCTCTGGGAGAAATCCCTTGTCCTTTTATAATCATGGCATTTTAATCTGCTTGTGGGAGTTTCTTTGTTGATTGTTTGTTTCTTCTCCATTGCCTCATGTGAGGTGTTTTAGAATATGCCTTCCTTGAAGGCAGCTTAAGCTTCCTAGCTCTCCTCCTGATAGTGGAATATGGGGGCCCTAAGTTGTTTAACTCTCAAATGGTCAAAGGCATTTATTTATTGTTGATTGATGGACTAGTTGATTCATTGTTTAGGCTTATGATTTCTTTGGCAATCCAATTTCCCCAGATGCTTGGTAGGCAACTCATCTTTTTCCTTACGGTTGCCTCTTTATGACAATAGCTATACATCATTCCTAGAATAATTTTTTAACTTTATGTATACCTTGGCTTTCTGGTCCACTAACCTTTCTCTTTAAACCTAATGGAACTACCCTGAGTCTATCTGTGAGAATGAGCTTTAGTGGAAATCACACTCTTAATTTGATTTTTAACATAGGGCTGTGCTTTAATGGACATTTGTTACTGAAAACACTTTTCCTACCTTTTGTTACTGTTTTAGGTCTAGAAGCTAAAATTTGTACCAAACTTCAAATTCAAAAACTTTATCTCATTCCATTCTTTCATACCAAGCAATTTTGATCCAAACTTAAGATTTTCTTCTAATACCTTGCTAAGTGCAGCCAATAAAATGCAATAGACAACATTGACCTGTTTTCCAATCTAGTCTGGGAGGCATTTGTTCTTCCTTCCCAGTTATCAGTGAAAGAGTTTTAAATTTTTTTCCCCAAATCAAAGGGCTTCTTTAGCCTTCTATTTTCTGATATTGGTTTTCTTGCTGCCTACTACTTAATTGCTAAGTCAATGCCACATACTTTAGTTTTTGTTGCAAGACCGATTTCTCTATTACTTAGTACAGGCTCACTTTTGTAACAAAGAAGTCCAATATCTATGGCTTTACACAAGAAAAGTTTATGTCTTTTCTTGTGCCATAGTCCAATATGGTTATTCTAGTTGATAGACTACTTTAAGTGATTATTTAATTAATAGAAATTTTGATTAGTAGGGAATAGTTGAAGAATAAAATCTTAAATTGATTTTAAGCATTTGGATCTTCTCATTTTTGTCTCAGTGTGGTAACAGCAGGGAGTTAAGAGAGCCCAAAATTTGGCAGGCCAGCAGACCTAGTTGGTGCTCACAAAATGCTTAATCTGTAACCAACATTGCCAATAGAACTTTCCACAATGGTGGGAATTTTCTAGATCTGTATTGTGAAATATGGTAGCTGCTAGCCATATGTAATTAATAAGCACTTGAAATGTGCCTAGTCTAAGGAATTGAATTTTAAATTTTATTTTTTTAATTAATTTAAATTTAAGTGGTCACATGTGTTAGAGAGCACAGAATATCAGTCCAAAATTTTCAGAGGCCAGGGGGCAGAGTCCTGTTTTTTCTTAGAACTTTTCTTGAAATTTTTTAATAGAAAAGAGGTTGTGGGTAAGTGAACAGGGCTGCCTCTTCCCTGCTGTCAATATTAGCTATGGAAAAAAATTGCTCTCATCTGACAGTATACTTCCCATACACAATAGGTTCAGTAAAGCTAACCAATCAAATGCAAACCCTTTCTCTGACTGTGTAAGTTGGTACATATTTGTCCGAGTGTGTTGGATTTGATCTGTTCTACACCAGGGGTGTCCAATCTTTTGGCTTCCCTGGGCCACACTGGAAGAAGAAGAATTGAGAAGTGTCTTGGGCCACACATAAAATACACTGACACTAATGATAGCTGATGAGCCAAAAAATAAAAAAAAAAAAAAGAATCGCAAAAAAAATCTCATAATGTTTTAAGAAAGTTAACGGGTTTGTGTTGGGCCACGTTCAAAGCTGTCCCGGACGCATGTGGCCCACAGGCCATGGGTTGGACAGCTTGTTCTATACTTTCTTCAAAATAAAGCCATCTGAGAGACAGGAGAACTTTGTCTTAATTGAGTGGTACCTCCATGCCACATCCTAGATTTGCATTTCTACTGAAATCACTGTGAAATATACAAAGACAATCCTGCAAGAAAAAGAAACTCACAGACTCCCCCTGAAACCTGCATATAGGTTGGCTTCATAAAAAGCCATTTGGCTGTGTAATGACAGCCCTTTTGTTCCAATGGAGCTTTCCTTCATCTGGCAGTAGATTCAGGATCTTATGTGGGGCACATCAGTCAGAAAGCATCTTCAAGGGTGTCAGAATATTTGTTCAGAAATGAAACTGTCTAGTCTTGTAACAAATGTGGAAAAAAAAAGTTCATTGATTGTGATCCCTGAATAATCCTACGCTCAAGTAATTTCCTGGAGCCTTTCAAAAATATTATCTGTTTGGCATAATAGAGATAAAAATGATGGGCATTGTAGCAATTCTCCTAGAAGCAACAAGAGAATGAGAAACTTGAAACTCTCCCCACTCCTGCTTACCCCACTTAGTAGACTAGTTATAAGTTTCAAAATACAAAGAGATATTTTTAGAATTAGATCTGTACACACATTGTACCCAAGATGGGTTTTGAGTGAACTCCAACACAGAAAAGTCATCTTACAATCTGGAACCATATCACGTGGGGAGATGTGTTAAATAATACTTTTCTTTCCAAAATGATTGTATCTTGTATAATGAGTTTCTTACCTCAAATTCATTTTTTTGTTGTTGTTTAAAAAATCATCTTCAGCTACCACTACCAAGTTTTAACTGTGGTTAGGCAAAGATCACATTTCCATTGTAGATTCCAAATTACTTTGCATTTTGCTCTAATGGACTCTTCAATTAGTACCCTTTTTATTCTGCCCCAGCATTCATACCACTACAATATTTATCGAAGTTTAATTATGTGCAAAGGCCTAACCTAGCACAGATGGCCCGATGAGGTCACTTTGTGCTTTGCTGTTCTTTATCCTCACAGTGACTCTGTAAATGGGCCCATGAAGCCTCTTAGGGTTATGTAATTTTTTTTTTTTTTTTTTTTTTTAAGATGGAGTCTCACTCTGTTGCCCAGGGTGGAGTGCAATGGTACGATCTCGGCTCACTGCAACTTCTGTGTCCTGGGTTCAAACAATTCTCCTGTCTCAGCCTCCCAAGTAGCTGGGACTACAGGCAGGAGCCACCATGACCGGCTAATTTTTGTATTGTTAGTAGAGATGGGATTTCACCAGGTTGTCCAGGCTGGTCTCAAACTCCTGACCTCAAACTCCTGATCTGCCCACCTCAGCCTCCCAAAATGCTGGGATTACAGGTGTGAGCCACCATGCCAGGCCCAGGTTATGTAAATATTTAATTGAGATAATCCACATAATGCATAAATCTTAGAACATAGCAACAAATCAATAAAGAGTAGCAATGGTGTCGTCACCTCTGCCACATTCATCAGCAATCAAGGTGTGTGCCCCATCAGTCAGTGGCCAAGACAGGGCTCCACATGTCCCGCATCTGCTCATACCCAAGAGCGAACTTTCCTCGACTTCCTGCTTCATCCTCCATGGTCTTTGTTGAAACAAAACTTGAACCAACAGTTCAACAATAAACCAGAGTATTTTACTTTGTTTTCTTCTTTCCCTAGATAACTTTTTATTATCTTCAGAGACTAGGGCTCTGTCGTCAATAAATATTTTTCAGACAAGGGGAAGAAGAACACTAGGTGAAACACAAAACCTTAGGAGAAAGGTTACCACATTTATTTTGATGCCAATCCCACTGAAAGTTAAAGTCAAAGCATCTGTTAACCAGATCTGATGACACCTTTGGCATCTGCAATCAAACACCGAGAAGAACTGTGGTGACGTGAGTTTTAAGTTCAGAAGGGGAATCTACATAGAAAGAAGAAACAACGGGAAGAAGTATTCCAACTCTAAGCCCCCACTAGGTACTGCTTTTAGAATTGTGCATTTTCAAAATATTTAGAGTTTAGTGTAGATATTTAATTATTCCTTTTCTTTTAATCCATAGAATTTCGAGGTAGAAATTTTAGTGTCTGGAAGGCAGCCTGTGGCCGGGTCCTAGTCCAACTTAAGCACTTATTTGTTTTATTTGTAGTATGTCACTTCTCACATCTGTGAATCTGTTTCTAAATCTGAGGATTGCAGATGATGAAATACACTGTTATTTCTGGAAGACTGATTAATGAATCTTTTGTGAAAGCAATTTAAAAATGCAATACAAATGTATGCCATTTTTCAGAGATTGTTTTCCTATAGCATACCATAAAATAATTCACTATTGTTGTTTGTAAGGTGAGATTTAAAGACAAGGGCACGTTCATTCCGTTTGTCACCTTTGCCTTTGGTACACAAGAGGATACCATTAGTGGAACGACCAGATTGGGTGATTATAACTTCAGATGTGAGTTATTCAACTTTTAAATGAGTGCTCTGCAGGCCAGCCTGACTCCTCAGTCCTCTCCACATTACAGAAGTCAGTGGCCCAGAAGACTTGGCTGATTCCACTGTCGCACAAGATGATGATATAAACTCCTTATTGTTCCTGTGAGTGAGATCCATTGATATCTTGGGTATCTTTGGAGATGATGCCTTTGAATTCTTGTGGAGCATCCCCAAGTTTATATTCATTCAGATGCTTTTTAAAATTAGAGGAAAAATTCTATATTTTAAAAAGGAACAAGAATATGTATAAGTTTTATGAAAAACTACAAAACATCAAACAACAAAGGGTAGGGACAATATCTGCCACACAGATGACGGAAAAAAATGTTGTTTTTCTGTTACACAGAGCTCCTGGAGATTGATGAAAAAGAGACAAATAGGAAGATGGACAAAGTACTTCACAATTTATAGGAGAGAAAATGAGAATGACCAGCATACATATAACATTTCATTCATTCTCCCTACTAGTCAGATAAATATAAATTAAAGAAAAAATGTGCTATTTTTAACCCTCAGACTGACAAAAATATAAAAAGGATGAATAGGGCTGGGCACTTTTATACTGGTGAGAATGGAAATTGCCGTATCTCCTTTAAAAAAAGACTATGTACTAAAATTAAAAATACAAAAATACTTTGACACAGAAATCTCCATTTTGGGAGTTTAATAGCAGCTAAAAAGGGGAGTGAGAATGAAAATGAATGGAGAGTGGATTATTATCTTGGAACATTTTTGCATTCTGTTGCTTGATAGAATAAACAAGTAATACCCATGTGATTTAAATCCATATGTATATGTGTGTGTGGAAGAGAGGTATGTGTATGTGTGTCTGTGTGTGTGTGTGTGTGTGTGTGTGTGTGTGTGTGTTTATGATCAGAACAAGTATGCCACAATGTGTACGTCCTCAAAACGTTAGGGCAAACCTAGTTTGCTTCATAGGTATTTATTCAGTAGGAGTTCAGAATAAGGTAAGTTATAGTTTTTCCCATTATCTGGTGGACAGATCATATATTGTGTCAGCTCAGTTCTAAATGTTGGAGGATGACGTAGATATTCACAAACTAAAGAAATTCCAGAAAGGGGAAAACAAGATGAAGAAGGACTGGAAATCATATCTCCTATGCAAAGGTGTGATTGATTACCCAGTGATCTAAATCAATAGTTTCCTTTCCTTTACTCCTCACCCCTCTGCAGGGAGGTAGGCATCAGGCCTTGTGATCCCATGTCTTATTCATCAAATCCATGGGCGATTTTTCTTATCTGGGTTGTTTATAGCATTTGATAATATTAATAAAGACTTCCTTCTTTTTTCATTTATAAACTTTACTTTTTAAATATTACGTGCTAATGTGCTTATAATGAAAAGCATTAGTCCCTTTCTTTACTAACCCTAAATTCTACTGTACCAGAGATAATTTTTAAAAGCGATTTCCGATTTCAGTTTTTCTGATGTTCACCTCCATATTTCTTATTCTTGAGTTAGCAGCTTTTTGCATACTTCAATGACTTGGTCCTAGGAAAGCTGAAAATATCACTTATACTATGCTGTGTTCAGTTCTTTTCCAAATTTTTTTCTAGTGTGTTTTTTTTTGTGAAACAAATACTGCTAATTGTTCCCAAACATCATCACAGCAGAATCTAGATCTATTTTTTTTTTTTTTTTAGATTTTAGATTTGGGCTGGGCACAGTGGCTCATGCCTATAAATACTAGTACCTTGGGAGGACAAGGAGGGAGGGATTGCTTGACAGAGCTCAAGACCAGATTGGGAAACATAGGGAGATTTAGTCTTTACATAAAATAAAAAATCATTAGCTGGGAACAGTGGCACATGCCTGTAGTACCAGCTACTTGAAAGGTTGAGGCAGGAGGATTGCTTGAGTCTGGGAGATCAAGGCTGCAATGAGCCATAATTGCACCACTGCACTCCAGCCTGTGTGACAGAGTGAGACCCTTTCTCAAAAATAAATAAATAAAATAAAACACAATTTAGATTTATAGAATAAGTACATTCCCCAGCTTTCCTTGTAACTAGATGTGGCCACGTGACCAAGATTTGGCCAATAACATTAAGAATCAAAGCTGTGTGTCAGCTTCTAGGGACTTTAAAAAATCACTTTATGTGGAGTGTGGGTTCTTGTTGTATCCTTTCCTTCTTTCTGCTGGTTGGAATGCAGACATGATTGCTGAAGTTCAAGTGGCTATTTTGGACAATAAAGTAAACTTGTGAGAGATGACTCCCGCAGCAAAGAAACAAAACGAGATAAATCTAAGTCCCTGAGGACTTTGTAAATTAGACTTGCCAGGCCTGTTCTGGACTTCTTTCTGCCAGGTTTTTACATGAAAGAGAAATAAGTTTTTATTTTGCATAAGCCACTGCTATCTGGGGTCTTTGCTGCTTGCAGATAAGTTTAATTTTAACTAGTACATTTGGTTGCCTTTATAACTTTAAATCATCCACTTAAATTTCTATTTTATGATCTTGCAGATTTGAGTACCTCTGAAGATAAAGCTTTTGAATGCTTGTGAAAGCACCCAAGTTTTTATTCACTCAAATGCTTGTCAAAGTATATACTTTGATTTAAAAATAAGCAGAAAACTTTATCGATACATTCTTTGAGAAAATGTAAAAAACCAAAATATAATTGACCAGTATTTACAACACAAAATTAAAAAGCAAAAAAGAGACAGGTATCTCTTGGCTTACCACTGAATTTCCACAAAAGGCCACAAAAGTGTCTCTGTATCTCCCTCCCTCTCTCTCTCTCCTTATTCTCTTGCACTTCCCAGGCTCTATCAACTTTAGATGACACTTATACTCTGATTTGTAACAATTAGTCGTCCAGGTTTTGTTCACTTTTTTCTAAAAACTAAAAATGAATAAGCAGCATTTACGTCATTATGACTGTGAAATAGGATTCACTGCAAAGCCACGAACTGTGCTGACTTCATTTCTTTTTCTATGGATCTGATGTTAAGATTTGTGTGACTTTAAAGCAAGTGTTTCTACTGTTCAGGGTAAAGGGATTCCTTTTACTTATGGTTAATAAATGTCTTAAAATCATGCTACATTTTAGTTTGCTTCATATTTGGGTCATGGCTTTCTATATTTTTGTTGCTGTTAATGCTTTGTTTTTCCTAGACTATTTAATTGATTCTTTTTTATTTCTTGATGGGAGAAGAGATATGTGCTTTCTTCACTGTGCCACTAAATCACTATCTTATCTAGCTTCTTAGTCATTCTATTTATTCTTTGGATTCTATTTCATCTTCATCTTGAAGACATTCTTCTTGGAGCCCATTCATTTTCTGTTCTAACTTTGGTTGCCTTCCAAGCTTACAGCGCAATTAACTTCCTGGGATTTAGTTTGCTGAACTCCTGAGTTATCTCATCATTTTTTCCATCATATGTTTTCTTTGCTTTATTTTTCACCTTCATTTGGATGGTATATGAACTCAAGTAATTCACTCAGAAAAGGCAACTAAAGAATAAACAGTCCTGATCTAAAATGTCTGAAAATAACCATACTTTGTCATTATAATTTGCTGTTAGTATAGTTGGCTTTAGATTGTGACCATGGAAATGATTGTCTGCTAGAACTTTAAAGGTCATTTCCTCTTTGCAGAAAGAATGGCTGGGAAAATTAGACCTTTATGTTCTCTTTTTGGTGATCCCCAGTCCCTGAGCCACATGGGATAAGTCCTGCCCAATTCAATTTCTCTGCCCACCACAGGCCCCCAGGTTTTCTACATCCCAAGTTGATCACACCCATTTATTAACAACCTTTCAGATTTCTATATGCCTTCAAAGACCTATTTGAAACCCAGAAATCATTTGGTTTATTTGGATGTACCAGCATATATCTAACATAATCAAATATTCATTGATTTAAGAAGTAAAACTCTTAGTTTGTGGGAAGCATATCATTTCTTGCAACTCCAAGGCCTCCAATGCATACTGTATAGTGTATTATCTTTAGTCTTAGCTCATTGGCTTTATGTGTACTGTGATCTTATACCACCTATGAAACCTTATTTAGAGTCAAAAATTTTAAGAGGTTGAATAACATACTGGGCCTAGATAACATCTCCATTTTTCTGATTGACATTCAATTTCTAATAAGCACTTCCACTAGATATTGCGCTACTCTTTTATCTTTGCCTAACAATCATAGAATCTAATCTAATATGTATCTATACATTTGAATTGTGTTTAGCTTGAAAACACATATAGCAAGAACTATTGCATTTTGTAAAAACTCATGGGTGTTCTGATACCAAGAAAATTGGCTAAGGTAGGGGAAGTCCCATTTTATAAATTTTTTACTTTTGTAGAAAAATATCAATGCAGAATAGTGTTACAAATGTGGATTTTTGGAATAAAACTGTTAAACTGAATGCCCGTTTTATGTCTTACTAGCTTTGTGATCTAAGGCTAGTTCCTTACATCTAACATCTCAGTGGCTCAGTCTTCACATCTTTAAAGAGTGCTAAATAATATACCTGCCATTTAGGACTGTTGCAAAGATATATGAGATGATATCTACAAAGATCTAGAATCGTGTCTGGAATGTAGAAAAGTCTCAATAAATAGTATTATTATTGTTGGTGTTTTTGGAGGGTTCCAATAAAAAGCAGTCTTCTCTTACTCTCTCGTTCTAAATTTAATGGCAAATAAGGCAAGGTGTTGTCAGACAGAGACCAAAACGTCACTATGTTGATCACTATAGCCTAAGATCGCAAATGTACTTTCTGAAAGTAAATATCAAAATTAGTGGGTCTCATCTATCTTTAGACAAGCCACAATAGACCAGTGAGTTTATCAAGGTCTCGATTCCAGTAACAAAGAAATATGTGCCTTTGAGTTTCCTTGTTCCCAAGATAAAGAGGAAAATGGAAAAACATTAATGTCTCTTTTCAGTTTTCAAACACCAATCTGATAGCTCAACTGCCTTTTCCTGGGACAGAGTGAGCAGAAGAATGGAGATGCCAGGAGTGATAAGGTGACAAAGACCATCAACTCCTTGGCCTAACCTTAAGCTGGCTCCTCTGAGCCTTCCTTGCAGAATCCAGTTTTAGCAGGAATCATGCTGTGTCTGTCTAGTGAAAATCTTCCATCCTTGTTGTCTAACTACCTTTGATAGCTGATCAGATTTTTTATTTTCCTTTCTGGGCATGCTATCATCCAGGCCTGCCTTCAACAATAATCCTGTCAAGCCTGTTTTGGCCAAATTCCCCTGACCGCTGATATTTTCTCTTAGATTTCCATTCACTATAGCCCATCCAGCTCCTTGGCTGTAAGTCTTCAACTGTCCTTTTGGTACTGGGAATTGAGCCCAGTCTCTCTCCCCGACTGCAAGGCACGCTTACAGGGGTTCCTATACCTATCACAATAGTTACTACTTGATTAAAGTCTTCCTTAATGTCTTTAACAACTGTCATTAATATTTCTTTCCTTTGGCAAAGGTAATGAACTTCCTCCACATGGAAGGAAACATCTAGACTGGGGAAGAATCATCTCCCCAAACATATAATTAAAACAGTGACTACGTTCTCTGGGTCTCAGCTCACACTTGAACTAGATCTATAATGTTCTATATAGGCTTATCAATGTAGATCTATATTCTGTTCAAAGATAGGAAGAATGATTTTCGAGGGAAATCTGAAAGAAAAACGCTTTGCTCTTCTATGCCACATGCACAAAGATGAACACAAGAAACTTGATTGCAAGGAAGTGATGAAGGGGCTCAAAAACATTTTATAATGTCTTCACATGACTAAACAACTACTGAACAAAGAAAACATTACAATGAATACTTTAAATCAATAAAACATTAACCAAGACGGTTATTTTAAGTTATATTAAAATAAATTGAATAGCAATGGGTCTCATTCAGCATGGCCAAATTGGAAAAACAAATTAATTATTGGTTTAAGGTGCAATAGATACTAATTATTGTTCTGAATGGATTTTAAAATATTTTCTAATTATTTTTAAAAATTATAGTGCACACATTTGCATTTGTAAGCCAAAATAATTTTCAAGTCAAATTTTGGAGTGTCTCCCTTGTCTTCCTTCATCAATTTCAGGCAATCACAGAAATTAATTCAAAACTCTTCACTTGTAGTTCAAGGTTACCAACTCAAAAAGTAATATTAATATTGCTTTTATGCTCAGAAACGTGTAAGAAAATAAAGTTGCTTCATGTTATGAAATAGATACACATCACTTCATCTTTTAAAATAGGTTCAAATTAGCAATAATTATAAAGTGTTAAAATTAGCGTTTTTCTATACATGGATGGTTAAAGGGAAATTTTTTAAGGAAGTATATTTAGAAAAGATTGTTTTATCTACTAGAAGAGTGGGGCATAAGTTCAAGACTGGAAGAACTGTCGTTCCAAAAAGTGTAGTGATGACAAAGTAAGGAAACAGTACAGGCTGTTGTCACATACCTCTTACTACCTTTGGCAATTCAAGCAATACTTCTCTGCTGCATATATTTCTGTAGTTTATGACCCTTGAATCAAATGAAACCTACCGTGCTTTCCTGGTGTTGGTTAACTGGCCTAGAAGTTAGTGAAGAGCTACCAGAAAAAGCATGAGGGAAGTCAAAACATCAAAAATGATGTGGCAGTAACCATCCATGTCGGATAGTAGCAACCAAACCCATGTCAATGATAAATCCTGTCTTCTTGGAGGCAAAGATGTTGGGAAAAAAGAGAAGGTGGGTTTCATGAGTCAGTTAACAGTCTGAGTACAGCTGAATTACATTTTTCTATGAGGTCTCTGAGTTTGGGGCAACCGCGTGGCTGTTGAGGTGACTGCTTCCAATACAGCTTCTCATTTTCCTTTATTCTGATAATTAAGTTATCATGGAAGGTAACTTAGGGTTCTTGTATCTTTATGTTCTAAAATAGGCTGACATATTCATATTGCTGAGTGCTGTTGCAGTATTTTTCTTATGTGATCTTTCAGCAGCATTTGGCAGAGTTGACCATCCCCTTCTTGAGAAACTTCCTTTTCTTGGCAAGCCCCTTTGCAAACTACAGTAGTTTTCTCTCTACATGTGCTCTTCTTAAAGAAACTCATCTACTCCCATTGCTGAAACTACCATGTTTTTGCAGATGACAACCAAATAAGTACTTCCCATTTTTTCTGAACCCTGGACCACAACTCAAATAGCTTATTTGTTCCACAGACTTCACCAGCTCAACATGAACTGGTCTGAAATGATCACTTTTCCCCACAGTCTATTCTTTCTCCTTTTTACCCCAATTCAAAGATTAATTCTGGAATTCCTTCTCCATGTTCCTTCTCTTTCCTCTGTGTCGTATTAGAAAATCATGGGCAATATTTTCCCAAGTTTCGTTAGGCCCCAGTTATAATAATTATCTGCAATTTTGAATGACTCATTTTAAAAGTAAGGATCTGCATAATTCAACTATTAAAGTATTCATATTTTTAATAACAATTGAAATAATTATTTCTATCATGTAAAAATATATAAAGAATATGGCCATGTACCAGCTTAAGACATAGTTTAACTGAAGTGCCGCATGGTTTCTCCCTTCATTGCATTCCCTGCTCTCGAATCCCACACCAAATGTAATCAATAACCTGGATTAGGCATTTATTATTCAGATTAATTTCCATTAACTTTTATGAATGTATGTCTGTATCGCTAATAAAATATCTGGTATTATTTTGGACAGTTGATATAAATGGCTGCATACTAAATGTGTTCTTTTGTAACTTGATTTTTTAATGCTCAGCTTTTCCTTTGTGCAATGTATTTGTATGTGTGTGTATACACATTTCTTTGTGTAACATGCAGTTAACCCTTAAACAATGTGAGGATTAGGAGTACCAACTCCCCTGGGCAGGTGAAAATTTGCATATAATATTTAACTCCCCCAAAACTTAATTACTAATAGTGTACTGTTGATCAGAAGCCTTATTGATAATATAGGTGGCCAATTAGCACATACTTTGTATGTTATATGTATTATATACTGTATTTTTACAATAATGTAAGTGATAGAAAAGAAAATGTTATTAAGACAATCATAAGGAAAAGAAAATATATTTACTACTTATTAAGTGGAAATGGATCATCATAAAGGTCTTCATTCTCATTGTCTTCATGTTGAGTAGTCTGAGGAGGAGGAGGAAGAGGGATTGGTCTTGCTGTCTCAGAGGTGGCAGAGCAGAAGAAAATCTGCGTATAAATGGACTTGAAAGTTTACATCTGAGTTGTTCATGGGTGAACTGTACATGTTTATGTAAGTTAGCGTAGATAATATTAGCTATAGTTGCTTTATTTTCATTAACTGGTAATAGTTCATTAAATGAAAATAGTTCTGTTTCCTTGTTCATCTTTGGATGTAAACATATATAATTTCTGACTTTGGGTTATTAAAATCAATGCTGACCTAAACAATCAGGTACACATCTTTTTGTGCATATGTTTACTACTCTTTCTAGGGTATATGTGCCTATAAGGAAAGGGCAAGATTTTAGAATAACAGATATTTGAATGTATTAGTTATTACAGTTTCTCTTCAACTTATACTCTTATCAGCAAAGTTAAACAGTTTCCTTTGCTGCATATTGTGGCCAAACATGACATTTATAACTATAAATTTTCCTCTATACATTATTTTCTCTGCATAAATTTTAGTGTATTGTTTTTATATTTTTGTTTATAACAAGGTATTTTCTAATTTCCCTGTGTTTTCTTCCTTGACTCATTGGTTATTTAGGAGTGTGTTGTTTAATTTCTACACAACTGTGAATTTCCTAAATTTCCTTCTGTTACTGATTTTCCTAATTTCCCTTAGTGGTTAAAAAATATGACTTGTAAAATTTCAATCTTTTAAAATTTATTGGGAAAGGTTTTGTGGCCAAACATATGGTCTATCATGGAAAATGTTCCATGTGCACTAGAGAAAAATTTGTATTATGTTGTTTTGGGGAGGATATTTGTATAGATGTCTTTTCAGTGTCATTGGCTTAGAATGCTGTTCATGTCTTCTACTTCCTTACTGATGATGGGCAGCCTAGTTTTTCTATCAATTATTGAAAATTTACTATTGAAGTATCCAACTGTTATTGTTGAATTGTCTACTTCTCCACTTCAATTCTGTCCATTTTGGATTCTGTTATTAGGTGTGTATCTAATTATTGTGTCTTCCTGATGGATTGATTCCTTTTTATTATAAAATATCCTTCTTTGTCTCTAGTAACAATTTTTTACTTAAAGTCTATTTTTTATGATATAAGTATAGCTCCTCCAGTTCTCCTGTAGTTAATGTTTGGATATCATTTTCTATCCTTTCAATTTCAATTTGTTTTTGTCTTTAAGTTTAAAATATGTCTCTCGTAGAGAGCAGACAGCTGAATTTTTTAAAAAACTATTTTGCCAATCTCAGTCTTTTGATTGGAGTTTTTAGTCCATTTAAATTTAATGGAAATATTGCTAAGGCAGGATTTACATCTATCACGTTATTTGTTTTTGATAAGTCATTTGTCTTTTTTTGTTTATCTATTTCTCCATTACTGCCTTCTTTTGTGTTACGTAGATATTGTCTAGCTTACAATTTGATTTTTCTTGTCACTTATTTTTTTGTTTTTTTTAAAGTTATTTTCTTTTTGATTGCCCTGGTGAATAAAATTGACATGTTAAACAATTTAGTCTGGTTAATATCAACCTAATTTCACTAGTATACAAAAAGTGCTCCAAACACCTCCATATCTTACGTCTTTCTTTATGCAATCATTGTCATTTAGATTACATCTTTCTTTATAAATTATCTTCCCATCAATTTTATACTCCCTGCTTTACACAAGTTTCTCTTACATGAGATAGTAGAAAAAAATGAGTTACAAACACAAAGTTACATTTATACTGTTATTTATATTTACCTATATGTTTACTTTTATCAGTGTTCTTTGCTTCAGTATGTGGATTTCATACACATCTATTGTCCTTTTATTTCATCTTGAAGGGCCCCTTTCATAGTGACAAGTTCTCTGTTTTGTTTATCTGTGATTGTTCTAATTTTTTCTTCATTTCTGAAGCATAGTTTTGCTATACATGGAATTTGTTTGTGGTGAGCAGGTCTGTGCAAACCTAACCCCAAAAGCCGAGAGAGCTGAAAGGCTGAAGGCTGACAAATCCAGTTTCCCAGAAAAAAAGCATTTAATAGGGACTTACAAACAAAAGCCACATCTTGGGTGGCTGCAAGATGGTGAATCCTGCACCCGCCTTCCAGGAAGGAGTCTTTATAGAGCAAGCTTTTAGGGTAAAACATGTGCAGATAGTCACATCTTCAGACTTTCTTGCCAAGACTTGTGACCACTGGGGAGGTTAGAGAAGCATCTTTATGGGAGATTATTTATCATACAGTAGTTATTCAAGATCTTACTGCAGAGCATGTTGGTATGTGAGGGTCAAACACTAGTCATCATGGTGCTTTTGCTTCAAGATGGCATCAGTCTGGTCATGCAACAGGCTATGTTCCACAGAATCCTTAGCTGACAGTCTTTTTCTATTAGCATTTTGACTATATCATCTCATTGTCCCTTCCTTCACTCCATCCACCTCTCCTTCATTTTTAAATTATACGATGACTATCTTGGTTATCCCCTTTCCGGAATGGCTATAGGAAAATGATTAGAGAACAACTAGTTTATATAGAAAGTTCACTCTGGAAAGGTGTTAAAGTAAAGACCAGGAAGGGAACACAGCCAGTAACAATTACATTATCAAGTTAGTTACCATAGAAAGGAATCAGAGAGTAATCCTACTGGGGGGAGCCATGCGAGGCAGTGCAGAAATGAAATCTCAGATTTATCCACTTGAATGGCGAGGGAGGCAGAGCATTTACATACCAAGTCATATTAGTCATTCTTTGAGGGAGTATTATTTCTACTGTTTCTGGATTGCCATTAGCAAGAGAAAGTGGATTCCACTCCCCCCAAATATTCTTATGCAGTTGGGAGTCACAGTGCCTTGCATCGCAATGGTTTTGCCTGAGGAGTTATGGACAAGGCTTTGACACTGTCTACCCAAGAGTGATGCCCTCTTGAAGCACAAGCAGCATGATGACCAGTGTTTTACCCTCACATACCATTGTCCCAACACCATCAATGAACAATTTATTCTCTTTCTCATTGATTTTCTACACCAATTCTGTCATAGATCAATATCCATTATATAGGTAGGGAATGTTTCTGAGCTTTCTACTCTGCTCTATCAATCTGTTTTCTATCTCAGAACAAGTCCTACACTGTGTCCTCTGTCTCTCAATACTTGTAGTGCTTGTCTTCTCTCTATTTTTGTCTAATTTGTTTGGCAAGCATTGCATGAATTTTGTTGGTTGCTTTAAAGAATAAGCTTTGATATATTGTTTTCTATGTTGATTTTTGTTTTCAATTTTATTTATTTCTACTGGTGAATTTATTATTTACATTCTCCTACTTTTTAAAATTTAATTTACTTCCTTTTTTCCTCTCCTTAATTTAAGGCGGACACTTTGTCCATTTATCTGTTACTTCTCTCCCAATATAAGCATCTAACACTGCACATTTCCCTCTAAGCATTGCTTTAATTGCATCCCATAATTTTTGATATGTTGTGCTCTCATCATTCAGTTGAAATTATTTTTAAATTCTTTTGATTTCTTCTTTGGCCTATATAGATGATTTTGATTTTTAATTTTCAAATTTTGGGGATTTTCTAGATTTTTTTTGTTATTGATTTGTAGTTTAATGATGCGGTTCTAGACCATACTTTGACATTTTCATTCCTGTTTTCTTTATTCTTTTTCTAAAATTCTGCTATTTGGACATTGCGCTTTCTAAACTGATATTCTAATTGTCTGACTTCTTCTTCTTTTTTTTTTTTGCTTTTTATGTCTCTATTCTACTTTCTGAGAGACTTCCTTTATTTCATCTTCTGCATTGTACTAAAATTTTTATTATCATGGTATCCATTCCTTTTTAATTTTATTTTTAACAATTTGATTTTGTGTCTTACAAGTGCAAATTCAGTTAATATTTATCTTGTGTTACTTATATAATTAAATTTCTATCTTCTATGCTGTATTTTATTTTCTATACATTCCACCCTTTCTTTCATCCTTCCTGATGTTTTTTTCTTAATTGATTGAAGGTTTTTAAAATTTGTATTTCTCCGCTAGTTTTGAAGTTATAACCTCTATGCTTATTCCACCAGTGGTTACTATTGAAATGGTAATACACATACCTATCTTACAAAATATATAGTTAATAAAATCTCTCTGTCAACCTCCAAAATTGCAAAGACTTCAGCAGACTATTTTATCTTCGGTCACTATCTCTCCTCTACACATCATGGTACTTTTTATGCTTATGAATTCTTAGAAGAGACTTTTTCTTCTTTTAAGACATGAGTCAAAAATTGGAAAGTTCCTTAGTTGTTGATCTTTCCTGGTGGGTACATATTTTTAGTCCCTCATTTCTGTTAGGTTTTAGCCATTCAGAGTACTGATTTGTGATAGGAGATCTCAGCTCCAGCTCCCCACATTTTACTAACCCAATAAAATTTCTCATTTTCCCCTTGAGTAATCCAATAAATTTTCTTATTTTCCCTTTGGGATTGTTGCATCTCCTGGGTCTAGTTTAATCAGGTCAGCTGATGCTACTTCAGTAGCATTGAGTTCAGCAAAACAAACAAACAAACAAACAAACAAACAAAAAACTTAGCAATCTGATTTCTACCTTTTAAAAAAAATTTTGGTATTTTGGAATTTTTCTTATTTTTTTCCCTTACAAACTCATGTATATATTAAAAAGATTCTTCTAAACTTTTATCTTTCATTCTTAGTGTTTGAACTGACAGGATGTTTTTTGGTAAGTCTTTTTTTCTATATTGCCAGAAGCAAAGTCTTGAATTAGCATTTTATTATTTTAATCTCTTTTTTGATTTCTTTTATCTTTCTTCATTATTTCATTCTAATATATTAAATGTAGTTTTCTGATGCTGTCTGCCTTGGTGATAGATCCTCTAATGGTTATGCAAAATTAATGATGAGCAGCAGAAATAATGCATAAACTGCTTTACAAGTGCTGAGATACTATATAAAACTTTTATCACATTTACCAAGAGTTTCCTATGTGGCAGATATTTTGCTAGGTTCTTTGCATGCATTAACTTTACACTTCATACAACATTCATTCATCACCAAGTGCTGCAAGAGAGTAAGATAGAGGTTAATTTTCCCAACATCACTTAACCATGTAGGGGGTCGACCTGGGGTTTGACCTTAACTTCACCTGACTCCAAAATATGTCCTGTTCCCACTGTACCTCAGAGTCTACAAAAAGATCTGCAGAGTGCTTTGGAACATTTGAAGAGAATACTCAATGAACACAGAAGCAGTTTCCTAATGCTGAGACCACTGAAGAGCATTGTGTCTCAGTGCTAAGAAAAAAAAATTAATCAAAGTGGACACAGTTTTCTAGAGAGTAACAATTAGATAATAATTCCCTATATTTGCTCAGAATTATTTCATTTAACACACCTATTTAACTACCTGCTCATAATATGTAGGGGGCATTTTGGATATTTCAGTCCTGTGTTTTAATTTATATAGTAGATATCCAGCCCACACTTGAGTAAATCATTGGAAAAAGGAGACAGAGTTTAAAATATAGGTGCCAGAAGTTACCAGTGGTAAATTTTCCACGGAGGAATGGATTCTTCTGGTCATGCGTCAGGAAGTCTGAGGTGATTCTTAGACTGTTTCTAAAGTAAATCATTCTCTGTCAAAAACATCAGAATGAATAAATTCTGAATATCTATTATACAGCATGTGACTATAGTTAATAATTATGTATCATATACTTGAAAATTACCAAGAGAGTAGATCTTAAACATTCTCACCACACACATACACATAAAGATAACTATGTGAATAAATTGATATGTCAATTAGCTTGATTATGGTAATCATTTCACAATGTATACATGTATCAAAACATCACATTGTACCATAAATATGTAAAATTTTCATTTTTCAATTATACCTCAATAAAGTTGAATAAATATATGTGTATATATATATATATATTTAAAAATAATGATTAAGAAGATCAGGTTCAGTAAATACTTGATTGGAATCGTTTGATTAAATTGACAAAACTAATTCAAACTTCACTGCAACAGCTCTTCTAGAAATAGACTGCTTTCAAAGGAAGAATGGAGCTTCCTCTTTTGTTCAAGATTAACATTTAGGATACAAAATATATGTTTTGTCATGAAGAGTTCACTGTTCCACAGTAAAAGATAATTCTGGCATGTTTTTTGTCCTTTCCGTACTCCTACCTCTAATATCCCCTTGACATATGCCTTCTCTCTTGTGTTCGTATTGTTGCTATAATAAAAGGATAAATCATGGATTTTCCAAGTATTGGAAAACATACTGAGTAAATTATTAGAGAACTTTAGAGCTTAACGAAATACTTTTCTTTAAATACTGGGAATCATTGCTTAATTAGCTCTAATGGAAAGATGAAGGCCTGGTTTATGCTACTGTCAAAGATTGCATCTGCTGGGGATTTGACAGTATATTACTTGCCATTCTAACTTGCTTTTATTTAAAAACAATAACAAAAAGCCCAAACAGATTGCTTACCAACCATCTTTAACTTACAGATGAGCATCACATTCAAATAACTGTCAGGTGGAGGATCAGGAGGAGGAAGTGCTGGGCTTGGTCTTCTCCCAGAGTTTGCTGCACATTGGCCATGGATACAAATGTGCAGAGGGTAGGAAGGCCTGTCATCTTTCTAATCTAATGGCCTTGATCACAAACCACATAATGTCCAGCTGTTACTTTTATTTATATTTGTCTTGGGTTAGAGAAATATGGAAACAACAGGCAGGGGGGAAAACAGTCTTTTGGTTATCTTAATGGAGAGAAGGGTAGATTAGGGCTCAAGAAACCTCAATTTAAGGCCTTATAAGAACTGATGAGAAATGTGTCCTTGGAACATACATGAACCTCATTGATCTGACCTATAGCATGTGGCCAATATTACCTGTCAGATTTTTCTGAGTATTAAATAATATGCCCAGGGTTAGAAAAAAATATATATAATATACTCAGGGGTTGGACCAGAAATGGCAAGTGCCATGGGTTGAATGCATCCCTACAAAATTCATGTTAAAACTTAATCCCCGGCCGGGTGCAGTGGCTCATGCCTGTAATCCCAGCACTTTTGGGAGGCTTAGGAGGGCGGATCACCTGAGGTCGGGAGTTCGAGGCCAGCCTGACCAACATGGAGAAACCCCATCTCTACTAAAAATACAAAATTAGCTACACGTGGTAGAGCATACTTGTAATCCCAGCTATTTGGGAGGCTGAGGCAGGAGAATCGCTTGAACCCGGGAGGCAGAGGTTGTGGTGAGCCAAGATCACACCATTGCACTCCAGCCTGGGCAACAAGAGCGAAACTCCATCTGAGAAAACAAAAAACAAAAAACAAAAAAACAAAAAAAAACTTAATCCCCAGTGCAATAGTATTACAAGGTGGGGCCTTTTGGAGGCAGTTAGGTCATGAGGGCTCTTCCCTCATGAATGGAATTAGCGCCCTTATAAAAGGGCTGGAGGGAGTATAGCCATTTTGTCTTTCACCATGTGAGGATACACCAGCAAGGCACCATCTTTGCAGTAGAGAGTGAACCCTCACCAGACATCAAATCTGCCAGCTCCTTGATCTTGGATGTCTCACCTTTTAGAACTGTGAGCAAATTAATTTTTATTGATTATAAATTACCCAGTCTGTGATACTTTGTTACAGCAGCCTGCACAGACTAAGACAATTAAGAGACAATTTAGGGAAAAGCTGTAAGCAAAAAGATTAAGTCTACTCAGTTATTTTGTAATAAAATTTATATTTCAGAGAATGTAAACATTTAATTTCCATTCTAAATAATACAAAGGGCTTATTTTTAATGTTAGTGTATCTTAGAATAGTTACCTGCTTGCACTTTACCAATGCTACTGTCAATACCCATAGCAATTTTTTCAGAATATCATCTTACGTAGCAGGTCATTATGTACAAACATCTCTTAGAAACAAAACACACATCATAGGAGTGCTCAGCCAGGTCCTCAGAGAGGACTCACCTGCACTTTCAATAACAAGGGGCTCACTTGAACACCAGCTCTAATTCACTGGCAACTCCTTGGATTGGGCCAAGATAGCATTCTTGTAATTTTCAAGCACTATCTTTCCCTGAATATGACATGGAGTATATTTAAACATGCTTTGCACATCCATCTCTGTGTCCTCTTTGTACCTACTAACTATTTGTAGTTCTTTTTTTTTTTTTTTTTTTTGAGACAGAATTTCACTATTATTGCCCAGGCTGGAGTGCAATGCCGTGGTCTCGGCTCACTGCAACCTCTGCCTCCCGAGTTCAAGAGATTCTCCTGCCTCAGCCTCCCAAGTAGCTGGGATTACAGGTGCCTGCCACTGTGCTTGGCTAATTTTTGTATTTTTAGTAGAGATGGGGTTTCACCATGTTGGCCAGGCTGGTCTCAAACTGCTGACCTCAAGTGATCTTGCCACTTCAGCCTCCCAAAGTGCTGGAATTACAGGTGTGAGCCACTGCACCCAGCCTACATTTTTTTTTTTTAGACGGAGTCTAGCTCTGTTGCCAGGCTGGAGTGCAGTGGCACGATCTCAACTCACTGCAACCTTCTACTCCCTGGTTCAAGAGATTCTCCTGCCTCAGCCTCCCAAGTAGCTGGGATTACAGGCACGTGCCACCAGGCCCAGCTAATTTTTGTATTTTTTTTTAAATTTTTTTTTAGTAGAGATGGGGTTTCACCATGTTGGCCAGGATGGTCTCGATCTCCTGACCTTTTGATACACCCATCTTGGCCTCCCAAAATGCTAGGATTACAGGCATGAGCCACTGCACCTGGCCTCCCTGTAATTCTTAAAACATTCTTTTTAGGCAAGCTTTCAAGATAATGTATTGCATGAGACATACTTACACTAAAATTTCTGTTGTTGTTTATCTAAACTTCAAATTCAATTTAGTGCTTTTATTTTTATTTTCTAAATTTGGTAAATTTGTAGCTTTTAGAATATTAATCATTCTGCTAGTCTCTTGTTTGTTTTTTTTCTCATATAAAACTCAGACATACATGGTCAAGTCCAATTTTATTATTTATAAGCTATGTGATCTTTGACAAGTTACATTATTTCTCTGAACCTTAATTTTCTCATCTATAAGACTGGCAAAATGTCTCTAATGACAAAGACATCATCTGCTCACTAAAGTGTATGCATACCCTTCTTCCTGGGTACGCCACTTGATACGGTTTGGCTCTGTGTCTCCACCCTAATCTCATCTCATAACTCCCATAATTCCCACACATTGTGAGAAGGACGCAGTGGGAGATGATTGAATTATGGGGGTGGGTCTTTCCTGTGCTGTTCTCGTGACAGTGAATGGGCTCACGAGATCTGACAGTTCTAAAAACAGGAGTTGCCCTGCTCATGCTCTCTCTTTGCCTGCTGCCATCCACAAAAGATGGGACTTGCTCTTCCTTGCCTTCCGCCATGATTGTGAGGCCTCCCCAGCCATGTGGAACTGTAAGTCCAATTAAACCTCTTTCTTTTGTAAATTGCCCAGACTCAGTTATGTCTTTATCAGTAGCATGAAAATGAACTGATACACCACTAGACTCAATATACCAGCCCCTTTTGCAATTAGGAGCAGGCTTGTGGTTGACTTTTACAGTAGAGTGGGAGCAGTAGTGATTTACGCCATTCAGGGCAAGGCTTTCAAGAAGAGATTGTTTCTTCTCCATACTCCATGTTCTTCTTTTGACCAGCTGATTGCCGGGAGTGCTGAGTCCTCAGGGATTAGTGGGGTCTTAGTATGAAAGAAACCCAGGTCTCTGAGTCACCATATAAAAAAACAAAACAAAACAAAACAAACCACTTAAATATCTTTCATGTGAAAAAGAAATAAATTTTTGTTATATTATGGCACCTAACTTTGGGAGTTCATTTGTCACAGCTGCTACTAATACCATAACTAATACAAAAATTGCTACTAGAAATAAAAATGCTGACTTAATAAATACCTAAAATAGGTGGTATTGACTTAGCAGTTAGGCAGAACCAATAATAAAAGATATTGTAGCCTAGAACAGTAATCTATTGATGTGATCAAACTATTGCCTAGAAACAGATGACATTCCTACTGAGCCCAAATCTCCAGGGAAAACGGTAAGAACTATTGTGTTAGTGAGTTTTGGCCTTTACTTTGCAGTAAAGTATTACAAGAAAGAGATAAGCTCAAGAAAGGACTGACTGGTTTGAAAGAAAAAGCATAAGAAAATAGGAAGAGTTCAGAAATTTGAGATTTTGCCAAGTTAGAAAGCAGATGGCATCTAGATCCTAAATGGGAAGAGATAATTCTAGAAAAGGATGTCAACAATAAAAGGACCTATTATGTCTATTTGGCTAAACAAAGAGAATCAGCCCTATGACAAAGATCTGATTAAGGGTAAAACCTTTCCACTCAAGCCTAATGTTTCAGATGGCTGCATGATATCAAACATTATGTCAACAGATACAGGCATGGGGCTTAGAAAGCAGAGAGATAAAGCAAACTTTGTTATTATGTATGGAAATGAACTTTAAGTCTTGTACATAGGACTGACCAGTAGAAAATAGATCAGAAACTTTTAAAGGAACTGTATTAATTTGATAGAGCTGCTGTAACAAACTACTACAAACTGGGATGCTTAAGCAACAGAAATTTATTGTCTCATATTCCTGGAGACTAATAGTGCAAAGTCAAGGTGTCAGCAGAGTTGGCTCCTTCTGAGGGCTGTGAAGACGCATCTGAGGCAGGCCTCCCCTCTTTGTCTGCAGATGGCCATCTTGATCTTCACAAGGTATTTTCCCTGGATACAAGTTTGTCTCCAATTTACCCCTTTGTAAATTTAATTAATTAATTAATTTATTTTAGAGTCAAGGTTCTCTGTTGCCTGGGCTGGAGTAGTACAGTTACCACTTGTACTACCACTGATCATGGCTTACTGCAGCCTCAAACTTCTGGGCTGAAGTGACTTTCCCACCTCAGCCTTCAGAGTAGCTGGGACTACAGGCATGCACCACCATGCATAGCTCCCAAATTTCCTGTTTTTATAAGGACACCAGTCATATTGGATTGCAGCTCACCCTAATGACCTCAGTTTAGCTTTTTAAAGACCCTGTCTCCAAATAAGGTCGTATTCCAAGGTACCGGTGGTTAGAACTTCTACATAATCAATTTTGAGTGACACAATTCAACCCATAACAAGAACTTTTTGAGGAAATTATATTGCTAAAGAAACAATTTTCCTGGATTTTTAAAAAAATGCCAGTTATTATAAAACAACTCTTAAATCCTAACGTTCACAAAATCAGAATTGTACTGCAAAAGCTCCTCCGCCTCCAACACCCATGTGACCATGGAAGATAATGAACGAGGATCCACATCCCACAAGCCAGAACCAGGTCATGGATGAAACAGACAAAGCAGTTCCTCCCAGAAGGCATATCCAGGGTCTAATCCCAAATAACTTCCTCCATGTCCAGATCAAGAATCACTTCTCCAGCAGGAGTGCATCATGAAGAAGGACAAGTGAATGCCTTGTGTTTCCTGTTCTTCCCGTTCTCGGTGGGAATTTCATCGTTCTTCTACTGGATCTGCTACACTCTTTTCTATTATATGTATGTTTGGGGAAGAGATGCCCAAACTCATGATCTGGAGTTCATAGATCTCCAGATCGTGAGCTACTTCTCTCTCTCTCTATGTGTGTATATATATACATATATATGTATGTATATATACACACATACATATATGTACATATAAATATATATTAATATAAATATATATTAATTATAATACTATTTAATAATATAATAATATTAATTAATTATAATTATATATATATACTTTTGGGAGTCAGGGTCTTGCTCTGTTGTCCAGGCTGGTATTGAACTCCTAGGCTCAAGTGATCCACCAACCTAAGCCTCCCGAAGTACTAGGATTACAGGTATGAGCCACCACACCCAGCCCTTGAGTCACCTCTAGACTCAAAGGAGAGGTTACTCTATACCCTAGAGATCATGGACTTCCAAGCTGCTGAGTAACTCAATGGTGAGAGTATCTCTGGGTAGGAGGAAGGATGATCTGCTTATCAGAAAAATGAATGGAAACAGAATTTGTTCAGTGTTCACAATTTTAGGTGCTTTCCCTTACATTCTCCTGTTTCCAAAAGTTAAACCACTACATGAGAATTTTACTGATGAAATGTAAGTGGAAGTTATGTGTACCATTTTGGGGTCACAGCTTTTAAGAAATGGGGATATCTTTTATGCTCCCATTTTCCCTTCCACAAGCAATATCCTGAAAATGACTTGACTTGACCCTTACAAAGCTTTAAAATGAAGAGACTGGATCCTTTGATTAGTATATAAAGAAAAGTGTCCTCAAACCAAAGTAAGAGTATTTGACTGCAATTTGAAAGAGAAATACATTTCTCTTTTGCTAAGTTGCTAAAATTTGGGTGTTTATTTGTTGTAGTAGCTAGTGTTTCCCTAGATAATACTTCCATCTAATTTTAAGGCCTCTTTGAGACTTAATATTTTAAGATTCTACAGTGAGTTTCCAGGGCTGTGACACACCTGAAAACAAAAATAGCAGGACTGCGATTTGTTGTTCCAGAATTTTCTAGTTTTGCAGAGTATTTACTCTTAAAAATGAAAAGTAACAGTGGTACACAACTATCTGATAGCCGGTTGCTGCTGCTGTTATTTTTCATGGCGTTAAAAATTCAGCATAGACCAAGGAAACACAGAATTTTGGAATTTCAGATGAGGAAGGACCAACAAGTTAGCAGACATTTTCATTTTACAGATGAGGACTGTAGCTTCAGAGAGGTTAAATAAGTTTGCCTACGTTTAAACTATTAATAGTGACAAAGATTGGACTTTAACCCAGCTTATACTCCAAGGATTCTGTGCTCGCTAACTGTACAATACTGTGTATCTGAGGTTTCAAACATTATTATTTACATTGCTAGCCTTTCTTTGTCAGTCTGGTCTTGCAACCAAGCAAAATCTCACTCAAATCCTACTCAGCCACCTGCCAGCTGTGTGGCCTTGAGGAATCGTTCAACGTCTCTGAGCCTGATGAACCTCATCTGTTATGTGGACATAATAATAGTAGCCAATACATACAGTTGTTCTGGGGATTAAAATGTGATAATGTACACAAAATGCAAGAGCACGTTGTGTTCTAGGCAGAAAGTACTTAGTGATAATTATGGTCATAATAATGAAGATGGATTTAGAAAAAAAGAATTTTTTAGTTCAATGTCACCTAATCTTTGAGGAAGAATGGAGAAAAGACTCAGAAAATTACCTCACGTATTTAGTTTATAGTAGAAACTTGGTACTCTTATCATGAACGGGCAGTCTGTGTCTATTTCACTTTAATTTCAACAAAGGGATTAACCTCACAAACTTGCCATAAGTACAGATAAAGGTACGTACCCTAAAATAGAAGTAGGAGAATTCATCCCTGATATCTTTAAAACAGGAAAGTTATCAACGTGGTGTGATTATGAAATGCCAAGAACTAGAAATGGGAGGCCTCCCAATTTAATCTTAAAACAATTTTAAGTTAGCAAAGCTCAAAAGAATTTACATAACAAAGACATCAACACAAATGGAATGCAAATTGTCTTTTCAGGCTAGTGTGAGAGATGAGGTTACAAAATCAAAAGAACTGTATATGATATTTCAGAGTTCACAAAAAGCATTTTTCACATTCACAATCTTATCTGGACCTCCCATAACTCCATAAAATTGGAATTGATTCTAATCCCTGTTTATCCATGAAGTTTCTGGGACTCACAGGTTTGAAATGACTCGTCTAGTATTATCTACCTAGTAAGTGGATGAAACTCAGAATTGATTCCAAGAATCCTATGTATTTTGCTTTAATAACTCATTGTCTCTCTGGATATAAGACCTATTTCAACAGATAAGAAAACTTTGAAGAAATACAGATTTGAGCTGCTGTTGTAGCACTTGATGGAAAGTGAACATTTGTTAAAGCAAGTGATCTACGACATAAAACTGAAGCAAGCCATGTGGACAAAGGGAAGCCAGTAAGAAAAGGATTTGCTTGCTAGGAAGAGAATTCTAATCAAAAGTATGTGATTGCCTCTGAGATAGTTATAGGCTAAACACATCACCTAAAACTATATCGACTAGTATAATAATCAGTGCTCTTTTAGCGTAACTAGATTCTAGAACACCACCTATCCTCAACATTTCCTTTCATTAACGTTACATATGGTTATTAGGACTAAATCTTTGAAAGACACTTTCTCCTACCTACCTCTCTACTTTTCCAAGTTTGCCTTTCTTTCTTCTCACCAATCTGTATGTTGGACTCCTAAGATATTTCTCTTCCTTAACACCACCAGCACGTACTCACATAAGCACACTTTTGTGCTCATGCTTACTCTGCATGTAATATCTTTTGTTACCTGATTTATTTGATTGACCATGGCTTGATTTGAGTGTAACCTATTGTCCCAGATTCCACTAACTTAGATATTTCTCCTCTCAGCTCAGCTCCTGTGACACTTTTTTTTCCCCTACAATCTATAGAATTTTCTGTTCATTCATCTCTCTTTTGTTGTCTTCGAGACCAAGTAATTGTCCTTTTTTTAGATGCAAAAATAAATACTTATTTAGAATGAAAAAAATCACAAGTTATACATTTAAAAAGCTGAAATATGCTACAAAAACACACAATACAGAAAGATAATACTGTATTTTTACTTATGTTTATTTATCTTTTGAGGTGTGGTCAACTACGATTTCCTCTTTCTCTGACCACCCCGTGTGAAGGAACCAGCCCCTTTTCCATTTGTTGATATGCACTTACCCTGTTTTCTGTTATTTCATAGCACTTGTCCCTTGAGCTGCCATCTCTATTCCTATTTGTTTGTTTATTGTCTTTCTTCCCCACTAGAATGTAAACTTGATGAGAGCACAGACATTTTTGTCTAATTGGCCATTTTCTGCCAACATCCAGAACATGGTAAGTGCTCAATGAATGTTTGTTTAGTAAATGTTGAAAATTTTCACATAGAATTCTATATTTTACAAAAAGTATGAAAAACATGATAAAGCTGTTAAAAAGTAGTAATATGTATAAGAAAAATATCAGAATTAAATCAAACTATTATAAGTTACTATCTCTGCATATAAAGTTAAGGAATATTATTTTCTTCATCCTGTTTTTCTAGGTTTTTTTTTCTTTTATGGTAACTGCACTTTTCATCTCTGTATGTCAGGTCTTGTATGATACAATATGTGGGCCTTATGTGCTGGTGTTCTTCGAGGCTGTATTGTTAGACTTCACTTCCCTTTCCTTGAAATTATTTTCTTGTGTGTTCTTATTTATTCCTTCAAACATCACCTACATGATATTGATCCCCAAATCTTTATTTCTAATCCCTAGCTTTTCTTGAGCTCCAGACCTTGGATAACTCCATTAAGGCATCCAAAAGGTACTTTTAATACAATTTGGCTAAGTGCTCACTCATTTTCTTAAATAGATGTGAGCCTGGCACTGTGATAGATGCTTTGTGTAAGCTACTCATCACCACACTATAAAACAAATGAGAAAATCAAAGCTAAAGAAGGTTAAGGGACTCACAAAATTACTAAAGAATCTCATTTCAGGCAGCTGGAGAGCTTTAGTTAGTCCAGAGCCCTTTGAGGCTTGATGGGCAGCAGAACCCAAGAAGACAGGTCAGAGGTACTGTCAGCTCAGCCCTGGACAAACAGCCTTTTATGAAAAGGTCACGTTGGCACAAAATCCTTCACAAGCGATATCAGCACAGGGATCAATATTCAGTTGGTGGATATTACTTTCCATTCTGTCCGTGCTTTGCAGCCTCACAGATCTATGCCTTGGCTAAGCTGTTGGCTGTTTGGATTGTTCCTCCTTCTCGACTCCATCAATTACAACCTTCCTTTATCCCTTAAGTCCATTCTAAAGGACATCATCTACATTAGCCCTACTCCAATTCTTACGGTAAAAATAAATACTCCCTCTACTTCCTCACACAGTATTCTTCTTTCACTTCCATTGTAGTTCTATTCCAATTTTCCTGCTGTTGAAATTAGCTGTTGAATGGCTGCCAGTAGAACTGCCTGGCAAGCTCCTTGCAGAAAGAGTTTCTGTCCCGTTCATTTCAGGATCCTACACATGCCAGCATAAATAATTGCTTAGATAAATCTTCCAAAGCTTGTATATTTAAATAGTTGCCCAATAAATGCTGTGACAGTTATTCCTTTGGGTTATTATAATATTTATTAACTAAATAGAGTGACTTGTATATTGAAACAAACAAAATAATTTAACAAGACTCTCAATAGCAATCGAGTTAAAATTCGTTGAGCGCCTAGCCCCTGTTAGGCTAATTCATATTACCTTTTACCTTCAAAACAATTCTGAGAACAGTGGGAGAAGAAACTATAGCAAATGATAGAGATAGCTGAACCCATTTAACTGTAGAATTAAGACTACAATAAACTTGAGAATTATGATTACTGAACACAATTATTCCATAAATAGTGTAGGAACAACTGACTAACCATGTGCAAACAGTAATACAGATAGCTCTCTCACAAGTTACAGTGAAATAAGTTATAGATGAACCTGAATTCAAGACTTAGACATAAAAAGTGAAACTGTATACTTGAAGAACATTAGAGAATTAAAAATAAATGCTAGAATGAGAAGGCCTTTACAAGTTTAAATTCACAAGTCATAAATTTTACTATACGAACAAACAAAAAACTAGGACAAATATCTGCATAGACAATATAGACAAAGTGTTAATATTATATATAAAGAGCTTCTACATATTGAATAGAAAAGACTAACAATGGAATAGATTAATGAGAAAATAATGTTATGGAATAATTCACAGAAAAATACATATGAATGGGCCGGGTGCAATGGGTCACACCAGTAATCCCAGCATTTTGGGAGGTCAAGTTGAGAGAATGCCTTGAGGCCAGGAGTTCAAGACCAGCCTGGCCAACATGGCAAAACCCCATCTCTACTAAAAAATACAAAAATTAGCTGGGTGTGGTGGCATGCATCTGTAGTCCCAGCTACTCGGGAGGCTGAGGTGGGAGGAGCACTTGAGCATGGGAAATGGAGGTTGCAGTGAGCCAAGATTGCCCCACTGCACTCCAGCCTGGGTGACAGAGACTTTGTCTCAAAAATAAAAGAAAGAAAGAAAAATATATATGAATGTTTCTTAAACACATAGAAATATATTCAAGAAACATATTCAACTTAACTCATGGGAAGAGAAACAAAAATAGAAATTACAACTCAACATTTCCTACCTGTCAGAACGGCAAAGGTCAAAATATTTGATAACCTATTATGATAGTGAGTATGTACAACAACTTGTACTCTTATTAATTTTTGGTAGGAGTTTAAATAGTATAATTCTATTAAGAATAATTTGGCAACTTATATCACAAATGGATATACCTTTTGATTCAGTAATTCCACTTCTGAAGTGTTATCTTACTAGTAGATTTGCCATTGATCACATACACATTCAAGGCTATTAATTACAACATTTTTGTTTTGGAATCATAGAAGATTGAAAATAAATGCCAATCAATAGGGAGCCAGTTAATAATTATGATAATCTATATTATATAATAATATGCAACCATCAAAATGAATGATCCAACAGATGTGGAAAGATCTCAGGATGAAATTAAAACAAATTGTTAAGTGAAAGTAGCAGGGAGAGAGCTAATACGCATAATATATTTCCATTTGTGCAAAAGTGGAAGAACATGTACCTACATGCTTATAAAAACAAAAACAATTCCAAAAGAAAATTATGCTGAAAAGGTCCATTTAACAGGTAAGGAAATAAATAATCAGAAATGTTATGAATTGCCTTCAAAGGCAATCAATTAGCAAAGTCATAGATTTAACCTAAGTTACCTGACACAAATCGTTTTGCTTTTCTGCCTAGCTAGATGCCAGGTTCTCCAGTGAGCAATGGGAATTCAGAGACAAGAGATGTGGCTCTTACATTGGAAGAACTCATAGTTGGAGGGGCGGAGACATATAACTGCAATTACACAGAAGCATAGTGGCAGTCATAAGCTCAGGGCTCTGTGAAATCACCAGGGAGTTGGAGTGCTGTGAAAGGATGTAGAGATTAATGCTTGAGTTGAGTTTTGGAAGGAGATTTATGAGTTTATCATCTCACAAAGAGAAGAAAAGACTAAGGTCGAAGAAAAGAATCAGCATGACCCTTCAAAGGCTCAGAATGAATGAATAAATGAATGAGGGAATGAATGAATTCATCCAAAATATATTTATTAAATATCTATTGACTCCTAGGCATGAAATGATAACCAAGTCAGAGAAGGTACGCAGCTTCATTGTCATATCCTGGGGAGGGAAGACAGGCTGAAGATGTAAACAGATAAGATAATCTCAGAATAGAAAAAGCTATGTAGATTTACGAAGAAAACAAAAAGCATTATATGACAATGAATGAATGAAGGTGGTGAAAGGGGTGCTTTATAGACTAGCCAGGTAGGGTCTTTTGCAGAAGATGGCATTTGGACAGAGATTTGAATCATGAGAAAGAGGCTGTCAAGAAAACAGCAAATAGGAGAGGTTTCCAGACAATAAAGTAGGAAGGGCAAAGGCTGTATCAAGCCTGCTTTGCTCAAGGATCAGAGAGAAAACAAGTTTGTCCTCAGGAGAGCGAGCAATAGGAAAATTAATCACAGATGGCATTGGAAAGGTAGGCAAATGCCGGATCATGTAAAGCATGATAAAGAGTTTGAATTTTGTTCTAGGCACAGTGACAAGCTGTTGGAAGCTTTGAGAAGGGAAAAAGCAGGATGTGATTTGTGCTTTTAGATCACCAACTCTGCCAGGTATGTGCAGCTAAACTTTGGGAGGCCGAGGCAGGTGGATCACCTAAGGTCAGGAGTTTGAGACCAGCCTGGCCAACATGATGGAAACCGCATCTCTACTAAAAATACAAAAATTAGCTGGGCATGGTGGTGTAATCCCAGCTACTCAGGAGGCTGAGGCAGGAAAATCGCTTGAACCCAGGAGGCACACGTTGCAGTGAGCCAAGATCACGCCACTGCACTCCAGCCTGGGCAACAAGAGCAAGACTCTGTCTCAAAAAAAAAAAAAAAAAAAAAGGCTGGAGGCAGGGAGCCCACTGAAGAGGCTGTTACAGTAACCCAGATAAGAGATGGTGGAAGGTTATTCTAGGTGGGATGGAGAGAGGAGGAAAATTCAGCTCTTTTTCAGAATTAGAATCTATAGACCATGCCTGGGATATGAGGGAAAACACAAGAGAAGGATCCTGAATGATTCAGGTTCTTAGTCCCAGCAACTGGTGATTTAGCATCACCTGCGATGGGAAGGTGAGGTTGAAATAAGTTTTGGTTTAAGACAGAGGAAGAGATCATTGTGACAACCTGTAGTCAGTCCCATGATATTCATTTGATTGGAATGTGGAAGGAATAAAAGAATGGGGAAAAATAAGAATATAGGAGTGAGAAAATAACTGGGCACAAAAATAATGAGGATATTGGATGCCAGAAAAAGAGTTTGGGCTTCATCTTGTAATAAAAATATTAAAAATATTTTTCTTGGGTATTTAATATTCCCAAGAATCCAAAAGCAGCATTACTATTTTTATTCTCACATTACAGATGAGGAAATGGAAGCACAGGAAATTTACTAATATGATCAATGTCATATAGAACAACAATAACAGCAAAAAGTCAGGGTTCAAGATCCAGGCGATATGAGTCCAGATCAGTCTCTCTTTCTCTCCGTCTCCGTTCCTCTTTCTCCTCCTTCTCCTTCTTTGTCTTCATTTTTGTCTTCTTCTTTTCTTCATTCTCAATCATCTATCCCTCTGTCTATGATGTAAACCACATACATCATTTACAAATTTTTAAGTAACCACATTAAAAAAAAAAGCAGGTGAAAATAATCTAAATAACATATTTTCCTTAGTCAACTATATCCAAATATTTTCATTTCAACATGTAAGTATAAAAATTATCAATTGAATGTTTTACATTATTTTTCACACTAAATCTTCAACATTTAATTTGTATTGCACACTTACTGCACATCTTATCCACACCATCCACATTTCAAGTGCTCAGTAGCCACAAGTGGCTCACTGATGCCATACCGGACAGCTTAGATTTCTACCCGTACAGAAAATTCTAGAGGAAAATGCCAGGATTATTGTTTCAAAAATATTATGTAAGATTGTAGAGCTTCAGTGGTAGAGCAAACCTAGCAAGAGTTGAGACAGGAGGAATTAAGATTGTCTTAGTCTGTTTTGTGTCACTATAAAGAATATCTGAGGCTGTGTAATTTATTAAGAAAAAATGATTATTTGGCTTATGATTCTTCTGGCTAGAAGGTTCAAGACTGGCATCTGGTGATGGCCTCAGGCTGCTTCTACTCATGACAGGAGAAGGGCAGCCGGCCTATGCACAGATCCCATGGTGAGAAAGGAAGCAAGGGGGAGAGGGAGAGGTACCAGGCTCTCTTTAACAGCCAGCTCTCTCTTGCAGGCATGAATAGAGTTAAAACTCATTCACCCCCAGGGGAGGTATTCCTGAGCCATCTGCCTCTCCATGATTCAGATACTTCCCATTAGGTCCCACCTTCAACACTGGGGATCAAATTTCAATATGAGGCTTGTAGGGAACAAATATTCAAACCATAGTGGAGATGAAGGATTTGTGGATTTCTTATTCCCAGGCTTTTTCTAGGCTCTACCATTTCTTACTGCGAATACAATACCCCAACACCCCTTACTTGTCTCTCTGCTTCCTTTTTTTCTTATGAATGAATGGAGGTGACAAAGGATTTATGACTAAGAGTATTGGTAACAGTGCTCACCTCTGCACCCAAGGCTTACCAACATCGTGTTTTTGTATATACAGGCTGAATACATAACATGCAACCAGGTGGTAATAAAGAATGTTAGTGTCACTTTGTACAAGGACATTATTATAAAAAGTACAAACCATTATCATCTTCACAACTTAGGAGTCCTTTTTAAACTTTGTAATATCCACATGAAGCAAATCTATAGCCTGAATTTCCAAATCTCTCTCTGAAGAAAACAGAAGATCACTTCCTTTCTAACATGAATAATATTTATGCTTACATGTAGGTCAGAGTCAGCCAAACAGCTCTTGTGTCTGAAAGTCTATTTTAGACTTGGCTGTCATGACAACCATGAGATTTGGCCCAGGTGTCTTCTCTCTCCTGACACACAGACAGCAGGTTTGCAGGCCTGGCTGTGAATTCTGGGGAGCAGCACTTAGGAACTGCCATAGGATGATTCAGCCCACTTGGTTTTGGCAGGGGTGCTGACCTAACAGACTGCAAAAAATTCCATTCCACATGGATTCTTAATTTATCAATTTAGAAGAGGACACAGTGGGGAGGGTTATGATCACTAATGGGCAAAGTTGTCATGGTACTGCACGAGCAAGGAAGGCTGGGAAAGAGTGAATAGAGTGAATAAAGGCTATCATTTGAGAGGTGCTCGAACCTAGAATCCAGATTTGAGGTTTCAGTCCTCTGAGCTCACATCCCAGTCCAAGGACATAAGTTATGAAGTAATTCCCTGGGAAGGAGGCCTGCCCTGGCACAGCTCTGACTGCCCATTCTGAATAGCCCATCTCCACTTCATTCTAGTCCCAGGAATCCAGGGGGGTTGGTGACAGCCCTGTCTCTCCTGCCCACCAAACATGTGTGTTTCTAGGATCTCCTATTCTAGGAGACAATGGTTCTCAAATTTGGCTGCATAACAAAATCATCTGGAAAGAAGTTAAAACTCCAGATCCCCTAGTAAAACCCTATATCCATTAAATAAGAATATCTGGGCTAGGAGGCTGTGAAAATCAGGTCAGTACTAGTTTTTCAACCTCCCTAGGTGACTACAACGTACAATCAAGGCTGAGATGCACTGATCTAAAATGAGCTGGGAGTGGACTGTGATATCACATAGAAGCTTGATTTATAGATGTTTTTTAATTAACATAAAATACTAACATAGATTTTATCTGATTAGCCACAACAGTGGTTATCAAAGGGTTGGTTTTACAACGCTTTTTACTCTTAAAAATTACTGAAGATTCCATAGTGCTTTTATTTATGTGGGCTATATCTATTGATATTAACTGTACTAGAAATTATACCTGAGACTTTTTTTATAGCACAAAAATGCAAAAGCACATGTTCTGTTAGCCTTCAGTTTTCTGAAATGCCTTTGAAGGCTTTTCTCCATTGTCTTACCTATTAGCACTTGGCTCCTTTTTACTCATGCAAATTTCTGCAGCCCACTTGAATTCCTCCCTTGAAAATGGGCTTTTCTTTCCTACCACATAGCCAGACTGCAAATTTTTCATACTTACATGCTCCACTTCCCTTTTAAATATAAGTTCTAGTTTTAAGTCATTTATATGATCTTGCACCTGAGCACAGGGTGGTAGAAGCAGCCATGCTGCACTTTGAAGGTTTTTCTTTTTAGAAATTTCTTCCACCAGATACCCTAAATCATCACTCTAAAATTCAAAGTTCTGCAGATCTCTAGGGCAGGGGCACAATGCAGCCAAGTTCTTTGCTAAGGCATGACAAAAGTGACCTTTGCTCCAGTTCCCAATAAGTTCCTCACTTCCATCTGAGATCTTGTCAGCTTGGCCTTCAATATTCATATCGCATATCACTATCAGCATTTTGGTCACAACCATTTAACCAGTTTCTAAGACACTCTGAACTTTTCTTCATCTTCCTGTTTTCTTCTGAGCCCTCCAAACTCTTCTAACCTCTGCCTGTTACCCAGCTCCAAAGTCACTGCCACATTTTCAGATATCTTTATAACAATGCCCCATTCCACAGTAATAATTTTCTGTATCAGTCTGTTCTCTCATTGCTATAAAGAAATACCTAGACCGGATCATTTATAAACAAAAGAGGTTTAATTGGCTCATAGTCCTTCAGGTTGTACAGGAAGCAAGATGCTGGCATCTGCTCTGCTTCTGAAGATGCCTGAGGAAACTTGTAATCGTGGCAGAAGGTGAAGGGGAAGTAGGCATATCACATGATGGGAACAGGAGCAAGAGAGCGAGGAAGGAGGTGCTATACAATTTTATACAACTAAATCTTGCAAAAACTCACTTACTCTCATGAGGAAAGTACCAAGTGGATGTTACTAAACCATGCATGAGAAAACTACTTCCATGATCCAATCACCTCCCACCTGATCCCACCTCCAACATTAAGGATTACATTTCAAGATGAAATTTGGGTTGGGACACACATCCAAACTGTATCAGACAGCCTTTACTTCTGGCCTTAGATTAGAGGACAGAAGAAGTCCATGTGTCTCCTCTGTGGCCCTCATCAAGGTGGAGGCCACATGAGACTTTGTGGCTGAATCAGAGGAACACCAGTAGTTGTAGTGGATGCCTGAGCAGATATCTGGAATCTTGGATGCATGGAGCAATCAATATCTAACATGGTAATTCATATCCTAGAGCTTTCTGTTTTCCCAGGGATTATTTCTGCCACTTTTTTTTATGGCTAAACTTATTCATACTGCAACATTAAAATTGAATAACACTACCCAACTCCTTGGCCATCACCCACCGTCATGTTTCTCTGTTAGGTCGCTCTCCACTGGCTAACACAGAACCTGTACTTGCCCTCTTTCTGGCATTCTCTCTTATGAAATTCTATTTACACAGTCAATCCACCATGTGCCACTTGGCATTTAAGGTCAAGGACCATATTCTTAAACTCTTTATCTAGTTTGTAGCATAAAACCTGTCACACAATAAATGCCCTTTAATTTTGAACTGTATTCATATAATCCTACTATTTACATAAAATAACAGATAATGTATAAAAGTGAATGATACCCAGAAAACACTCAAATCATTGTTATTCCCATTCTATGTTAAAACATAAAATTAATTAACAAAAATTTTTAGGACACTCGTTAACATAAGATTTTATCCACTGTAGACAGAGTTTTGTGCTTTTGGAATTAGCTGCTTAATACCAACAGGAACTTGAAAGCTTAATGCTTCTTTTTTCCTTGTGGTTTCTATTATAATTTTTAGTGGTTTGTTGATCAATCTGAAAAAGAGTACATATAGTTTTGAGACCTCTTGCCTTTTAGCATATTTGCTTTTGAGTCAGCCATGAACTGTCACAGTTGAGAAATACCCTCCTCTGTGTCCCTCTGAATAACCCTCAGGAATCTTCATTCAAGAGAATGGGAATGTAGAAAGGCTTCTGGAACAATCGGGCTTTTGTAGCTATCAAAATTGAGATTCTGTAGTTCTAAGATGGGCCCAAAATTGCTTCTCACCAACTAGAGTTCTTGGTACACAATTTAACCAATTTTTAAAATTAATTAATTAATAATTTTTGAGACAGAGTCTCTCTCTCTGTTGCCCAGACTGGAGTGCAGTGGTACCACCTCAGGTCACTGCAACCTATGACTCCTGGGTTCAAGTGAATCCCCTGCCTCAGCCTCCTGAGTAGCTGGGACTAGAGGCGCATGCCACCACACCTGGCTTATTTTTTGTATTTTTAGTAGCGATGGAGTTTTGCCATGTTGGCCATGGCTGGTCTCCAACTCCTGGCTTCAAGTGATCTGCCTGTCTTGGCCTCCCAAAGTGGTGGGATTACAGGCATGAACCACCATGCCTGGCCAATTTTTTTACCAAATGTTTATGACATTGAGCAAGTCATTTGACTTCAAAGCCTCAGTTTCCTCAACTGCAAACAATCGGAGTGACACTGCCTCATCAGATTGTCAGTTGATTTTATTCCTTCTGTCTTTCCCTTTTGAGAATTTCATTTTAAATACAAGGAACATGTAAACCAGAAAGGGATTTTAGTTCTGTGGGCCTTTCTGCTGGTAACTAATGAAACCACTTAAGCATATTTTCTGTCAGTATTCCTAGAAAAGTGAGAGAGTTTCAAGAGGGCTGAGAAATATTCTGATCTAGAATGTACTCCCCAAAAATGTAATCCACTGAACATCAGTAGGTTTGCTGAGCCTTTAACACAAAAAACATACAGGGTGAATCTTAAGGAGGAGAACATAGTTTCAAGACTTACTTAATCATGGGACACTTTTCAAAAACAAAACTTACGTGTTGTAAAATTTTTAGATGTGCTAGGGTAATTTGCTACCTCATATTTCAGAGGACAATAAGGTCTATAGAGGGTAAGTAACTTTTCCAACTCCACCCAGTACACCAAAGATATGCTTTACTTCATCAATGAGTCTTTCTGCTAATTTATTTTACAAGTAATTTATAATAAAGAGAAAATGTTTTTTATTCTAGGGAAAAATATTCACTTGAGTTAAAAATTTGCCCCCAGCCCCAGTCTGAAAAACAGCAAGTTTTTTTTTTTTTTTTAAATACTTTAAGTACTGGGGTACATGTGTAGAACGTGCAGGTTTGTTACACAGGTATACATATGTCATGGTGGTTTGCTGCACCCTTCAACCTGTCATCTACATTAGGTATTTCTCGTAATGCTATCCCTCCCCTAGTCCCCCACCCAGTTTTAATTGCCTTGATATAAACATGTCCTCATTGCTCAGTGACTGTAAAGTTATGGCAATACTATGACTTCCCTCTCTGTGTAGACAGAACATGAAAGAGAGCTGAGATGTGCTACTGACAAGCTGTCATCCCTATTAGTGGGAATGGTGACATGTGGAGATGGGGCTTGTACAAAATCCTTGTGATAAACCAAATTCATCTGGCTGAAATTTCAAAACTTGAATCAAAATGTAAACTACGAGTCTAAGAGTTGGCTCGTTCACTGTAATTTTTTCCCTATTCTTGTTATCTTTATTTTTTTAAAAATATTAATAGTCCTGTGACCTTAGTACATTACTTACCTGTTTAGAGACACTGTTTATCCATAAAATATTAATTATACCCTCTACAAAGGAGAGAAAACTCTAGTAATCCCCAAACTTGAGTTGGGTCTCCAATAAACAATCCTACAGAAAAAAGGATAAACTACACGTAGAATGACATCAAAGGGATTGAAGCTTAGTTTTGAACCATTACAATTCTTGGTATTTGAACATCATTACATTGACATTTAATTGATATGGAATATTTGAATAATCTAAATTATTGATATTTGTTTTAGTTTGTTAGTGCTGCCATTACAAAGTATCACAGACTGTGTGGCTTAAGCAACAGAAGTCTATTTCTCCCAATTCCAGAGGCTGGAAGTCTGAGATCAGAGTGTATTGGGGTTGACTTCTTCTGAGATGGATCTCCTTGGCCTGTACATGGCCGTCTTCTCCCTGTGGGTTCATGTGGCCTTCCCTCTGTGTCTCTCTTGATCTCCTCTTATTAAGCGAACAATAGTCATATTGGATTAGGCCCACCCATATGACCTCTTGTTACCTTAATTATTCTTTAAAGGCCTTATCTCCAAACACAATCACATTCTGAGGTACTGGCAGTTAGGATTTGGTATTTGCCTCTAGATCTTGTCTGTAAATTATCTCTGGACGAAAGCAATGTTACCTTTGGCCTCAAATTGTTTCTATAATTTATATATAAATGTCCAGTGATTAATGAGAAATAAAGCAGGTTTAAAGACTACATAGCAGATAATAGAAACAAGGATCCCAAAAATGAAGTCATCACAGGTGAATTTTAAAATAACAACGTTTAGTATGATCAAAGAGCTAAAAGACAAAGTTAAAAATTTCAGCAGAGAAGTGGAAACAATAAAAAACTAAACGTAAAGACTAAAACTGGAAATATAATAAATGATATTAAGAATATAATCAAGGGCATATCTGATAAAGTTGAAAAGAAAATCAATGACCTTAAGGACAGGTCAGAGGGAAATATTTAGAATGAAACCAGGAGACAGAATTGAAAACACAAAAGAGAGGCTAAGATGAAGAGGGAATACAGTGAGACGTCTTAATATACATGTATGTGGAGTTTAAGTAGCAGTGGAGATAGAGAATATGGCAGAGGCAATATTTAAAAAATAAGTAGCTGAAATTTTTCCAAAAATTAAAAAAGATATCAAGGCTCACATAATAGAAGCATAACAACCTTCCTCTGAAAAATCACACCTAGGCAAATCGTAGCAAACTGCTACAAACATATTCGAAGGGAAAATGTCAAAGGCAGCCAGAGGTGGGGAACTTACACTCAGATGAGCAACAATAAGGCTTCTGCTGACTTTTAAATAGAAATAATAAGAAAGCAAGATGACAGAGTTGTGTGAATTTTTGGGGAAAAAAGCCAACATGGAATTCTATACCTAGAATTTTAAACTACATTTACATGCTTCAAAAAGCAAAGCAATGTAAGTAAGCACGTGGTGAAAAAATCATATTCTCACCTCAATGCCCAAGTGCCTTTTTCCCCAACTGCCTTGAACAGTTACTTTGATTGATTTCTTATATATCCTCCCAGAGTTCCTGTATGCAAATAAAAGCAAATACCAAAGGTAGTTTTATGACCCTCCTTTTTATTTTACCAGGAGCAGCATACTCGATACATTGTTTTGCACTTTGCTTTATGAATCTATCCTAGAGAAGGGAGACGTTTTTCATAAGCCTGTGGTAATGGACTTCCTCCTACTTACTTTCAAATCACCCTATACATGATTGTGTTTGCCTGAGGCAATCCTGCACAGACTCACTTCTGTGGATTAATCGGGGTAGACCTAGTCGTCTCTGCTTACCTAGTTGTCTCTGCTTGGAGATAAGTGAATAAGTCCATGGACTTGATTCTCCTGAAACCTTGACTAGCCTGCAAGATGACGCTGTATCTTTGAGGCCTGGACACCGCTTAAAGAAGTGCACTGATTTAATCTGGTCATTCTACCAGACACAGAGGAAACAAATATGATTACTCAATCCCTTTTCTATTGGCATCTCCTAAGAATACAGAATTATTCTCTAATTATGAAGCTAATTAGAGATTGTCAGTAATGGGTAACAGTGATCACTGGGGTCTGGGCTTCGAAATATCCTTAGTTAGGCAGTTAATCAGTGAATTATGTGACAGCCTCCTATCTGGACTCTACTCATCTTTTCTTCCTGTTATCCAGGCTCCAAACTCCAACCAGTGATTCATATCTGCTATTCTTTATTCCATTTGTAGACCCATGTTTCTATCTGGTACCATTTCTCCCTTACCTGAAATATATACTTTGATACTTTTTAAAATGCAAGTATTCTGGAGACAAATTCTCTCAGCTTTCCCTGGTCTGAGAATACATTTATTTCACCTTGTATGTAAAAGGATATTTTCATTGGTGATAGGATTTTGAGTTGACAGTGTGTTTTTCCCCCATCAGTGCTTTAAAGATGCTATTCCACTGTCTCTGGGCATCCAGTATTTCTCAGCAAAGTAAATTATTGTTTCCCTGTATTTTGCATATCTTTTGCTGATTCCAAGATTATGTCTTTATCTGTGTGTTCAACTTTTTGACTTTGATGTGCCTGTGCATGGTTTTCTTGTATCATGCTTCTGTTCTCTGGGAGTCTTGGACCTGCAGAGAGTATACTTCATCGTATTTCAAAAGCTTTTGACCATTTATTTCTTTGAAAGAGATGGGTTTTTTTTTCTACCACAATTTCATTCTCTCACTTCTTGGTCTCTTATAAGCATAGGACACTATAGATTTTGTCCACAGGTTCTTGAGTTTTCATTACTTTTTTTTGAACTTCCCCTGCTTTGTTCTTCAGATTGAATCCTTTCTATTCTCTGTACACAAATTTACTGATTATTTTTTCTGCAATATATAATCTGCCATTAAGTCCATCCAGTGACTTTTTTCCCGTTTTATTTTGTATGATTTTAATTTCCAAGATTTCCATTTGGTTATTTTTTATTATTCACTTTCTCTTCTGAGATTCCCCTAATCACTTATGAAGATCATATTTACCTTAAATTCTTTAACACATTTTCATAAATCCTTTCAATATATTTGTAATAACTGCTTTATAGTTTTCTCTATTAAGTCTAAAACCTGTCTTATCTGGGATTTAGGTCCTGTTTCATTGATTGACTAGTTATTTTTGATGAAATAAATGCTAGTAAGTGTTGACTGTGTATTCCATTATCTTCTTACAGATACTTTGAATTCATTTAATTTCCTCTGAAGATTTTTTTCTTAAGGAGACAAGTCAACTACTGAGTAATAACTTGGAACTTAGGCTAAATTTTGTGTTTTGTTAATGTACATTTGTCAAATAAACCACCCAAGCTGTTTCCCAAGCCCTTATACTTGATGAGGTTCAAGTTCCAAACTACATTTTTCCTTTGGATCTTGTCACGGTTGTACTAAAGTGGGTGTAGAACATGTCCTACCCTGGGGTATAATTATTACTACTAAGGCCCAGCCTGTCTGGTGTCTCAGCTGCACACCAAGGTGTAAAGCATGTGTCAAAGTGTCTCCCCATTCATAATATCTGACTCCATCATGAAGTTTTGTCAGCACTGTTTGACCTCTAGTATTGCTTTTCTACTTCTAACCTGGTAGCAATCATTACCTGGTAAACTGCTATGGTCTTACTTCATGCATGTGAAGCTAGCCCTTAGCCATAGATGTGTTGGTATCCCTACACATGCTTCTAGGGCCTTTTTTCTGTCGTTTTCTCCTCTCTGATACTTTTTGCTGCTGATTACAGCTGCTTCAACTGTCTGAAGTGTGGTCTATGCATACTCAACTCGGAAGGACTGCTTGTGCTCTGCTCTCACCTCAGCTTTCTAAACTTCAGTCAAGAAGTTGTCAGCATGCACAGAAGTGGGTAATTGTGGGGCTCACCATCTGAATCACGATTCTGAGATGATTGCTGCCTTTAGCTGCCTGTTGTCCTCAAAGAGTTAATGTATAAAACTTTACAGTCTTTTATGATGGGAAGACTATTCTGGTTTCAGCTACTTCATTGTGGCCTGAAAATATGGTAGTTTCAACCCAAATATATCAGTAATTATATCACATGTAATTTAAAACTTGAAATAACAATGAAGAATTTCCAGCTGGATAAGAAAAGTAAAAAACACTTAAAATATGAATTACACTGTAAAAGCAAGGATTCAGAAATATTGAAAGTGAAAGGACAAAAAAGACATACCACGTAAAAGTCAACCAAAATGTATTTCCTCTATTTTACTCTCAGACAAAGCAGACTAGTGCATTGGCATTATTGCATTATTACTAATAAGAATAACATTTATTAACAATAAATGTTTCAATTTACCCTGAAGCTATCATTATTATAAATCTGTATGCATATAATAATGTCATCAAAATACATAAAGTGATAATTGACAAAACAAGAATATATTAGAGCTTTTAAAGGCATCTTACGGATATTTCAATCTCCAGTTTTTTATTTATTTTTTGTTCGTTTGCCTTTTGCTAGCTCTAAGAGGTATCACATTTTTATAGTCATTATGTTAAACTATTGCCACTGGTTTTTTTTTGACACTTTAGAGGTAAGTCTTTTTTCTCAGAGCAATCCTTGAGTCAGGTCAAATGAAGGCAAGTCCTGAAAATGGAGCTTTTCAAGCATATGTGGATAGGACAAATAGTGACAATTCTCTGGCACATGAGGCTTTTGGAGCGTTTCAAACCAGTTGTGCTCATTCTAGTCACTGCTAGCGTGCTGCTTTCCATAGCTAACCCAGTTGTGAAGCTATTGGCTTTCAAGACTACTGAAAAGCTTTGGAGGAGGGGATGGAAATAGGGATAGTTAAAATGTCAAAACTCAGTCTTCTTTACTGAGATCCAGCCTTTTTTTTTTTCCTGAAACACTCTGCAGGATTGATGCAAGCCTTTGAGTTATCTTCAGAGTTCTGAAAATGTTAATTTTAATGAAAAAAAAAAAAAAACACTGATTTTTGCCAGTGTGAACACTGATTTTACGGAGGTCCACAGACCACCATTCCCGCTGACATGCTATAGGCTTATTCTGGCACATTGCATACTGTATTATTAATATAATCATTTGTTCACCTATCTTTCTTTCCACCTGACATTTAACCCAAGGTTAGTGTGTATATATATAATGCTTTTCACATTATAGGTGTTTAGAAAACATTTTTCAAACTAACCTGAGCAGTTAACTATAAATCTAAATGAAGAGGTAGAAAATTCTTGATCATAGCAGTGAAATCAGGCACACATATTATTTGAGGTCCAGCCAAGCCCTTAGATATTATCCAGTGAAGTCTAACTCTCCTTTTATTACAGACAAAGATAATAAAACCAAAATTGGAAAAGCGACTATCCTAGTTTTTATGCGAGGTAGGTCTTTGAGAACAGAGAGGTTTATTTTATCTCAACGGCCTAGGCAAATGTAATCCCTAAGAGATTAAAGAACACAGTAGTAAACTTCAGCATATTCTCTTAGATAAGATCTAGCTAGGATTGGCAACTTTTCCATGTAAAATTCTCATGGGAAAAATAATTTAGTCCTCAAAAGGGACATAGTTGATCCTTTTATTTGTTTTCTATTTTGTTTATTTCTGCTGTTATAGTTCTTATCTACTTTCTTTTAAAATTTTGTGCTTAATTTAGCTATAAATTTCCCTCTAATAATGCCTTTACCAGTCTCTCATAGTAAATAATATGTTGTACATTTGTACAACATATTTGTACAGTCAGTTAAAAATAGTTCTCAGTTTCTGTTGTGATTTTCATTTTGACTCGTATTATTTAGCAGTGTCTTGCTTAATTTCCAAATATTTGGAGGTTTTTAATCATTATCTTTTTTTGTTGTATCCAGCTTAATTTTTCTGTTAACAGAGAAAAATCTGTATGATTTTTAGTCTTTTGGAACTGGCTTATTCTTGCTTCATGGCCCAGCATATGGAAAATTTTATAAATGTCCTATGTATATAATTTGCAATTTTTGGAATTTTGGGGTGCATTGTTCTATATATGTCAATTAGGTGAATTATTCAAATCATATATTGAAATTTGCTGTATCCATTTTGTCTGATTTATTTTTGCTTGGTTTATTACTTCTGAGAGAGGTATATGAAAATCTTTCTTTATGGTTGTGGATTTTTCCATTTTTCCTTTTAAGTTTCTTCTTTTTTTATGGTTATAGTTTTGGTTAATTTAAAATTATGTATTACTAGTTGGGGGACCCTATTGTAACTACATCTCTGGTATTCTTTTCGCCTTATGCTTTGACAACAGCTTGGGCTCACCTAGAGTTTGTATGGTGTTGATCTTCTTATCCTTTTATTGCCAGTGTTTCTTTACTCTTTTATTATAGATATGCTTCTTATTAGCAAGGTATAGTTTATTTTAATATAACCTGACATTTGTCTTTTAGTTGCTAAATGCATATTTAATGTGAGTACTGATATATTTAGACTTATAGCCTCCATCTTGGTATTTGTTTTCTATTTTTCACATCTCTTCTATTTTCTTCTGTGTCCTTTCTATTTGTTGGATTAATGAAGTATTTTAAAATAATTCCCCCTTAAGCACACTCCCAAGCCTGTTAGTTGTACATGCTTTCATCATTATTTTGATGGTTACCCAATGGTTACATAATCCCTTCTTCACACACTGAAGTTAAACATGTTGAGTGTATCATAATCCAAGGGGCTAAGGATAGTTTGATATGTTTTGTCCCTTCTCATCTTTTGTATTTTTAATTGTCATCTTTTTCTGCAGTCACAATTACCTATATTTATCTATTTATTAATCTTTTTCCAGTATTCATCACACCACCTTACATCTCTGAATTTTCACTGGGGATTACTTTTCTTCTTCCTACGTAATCCCGTCTAGTATTTCCTTAAGTGGGTTTCTGCTGGTGACAAATTAACTCAGCTTTGTTTATCTATAATGATTTCAGTGACCATTTGTCCTAGTATATATCCTCATTTTCATTTTTTGGAGACATTTTTATTGTTATAGAATTCTAGGTTGGCAGTTACTTTTTAATAACATCCTTCTGGTCTTCTGTCTTCCCTACTGCTCTTATTGTTGCTGTATTAAAGGCAATGTGCATTTTTTTCTCTCTGGCAGATTTTAGGAATTTTTTTGTTTTTCTGAAGTCTGGCTACGATGGGCTTACATGGAATTTTATTTGTGTTTTTTCTTTCTTGGGATATATTTTATTGGTTTGGAAAACTGGCATACATTGTGTCTTCAGATATTGATTTTTGGCCCTTTTTTTTTCTTTCTGGAATTTCAATTACTTGCATGTTAGTTTTTTTTTTTTTCTTCTTTTTCTGCTCATATATTCTTTTTTCTTTTTTGTATTTTCCATCAATTTCTCTCTGGATTTCAGCCTGTATATCTGCTATAGATTTAGCTTTAATTTCACCAATTCTCTAAAGCTATGTGCAAAGTTCTCTGAAACACACCCACTGATGGTTTATGTCAGTTGTTTTATTTTAGTTCTATAATTTGCATGTGATTATTTTTATGGTTTCTGTGCATTAAAGAAAATGTCACCCGGGCACGGTGGCTCACGCCTGTAATCCCAGCACTTTGGGAGGCCGAGGCAGGAGGATCACGAGGTCAGGAGATCGAGACCATCCTGGCTAACACGGTGAAACCCCGTCTCCACTAAAAATACAAAAAATTAGCTGGGCGTTGTGGCGGGTGCCTGTAGTTCCAGCTTCTTGGGAGGCTGAGGCAGGAGAATGGCGTGAACCCGGGAGGCGGAGCTTGCAATGAGCCGAGATCGCACCACTGCACTCCAGCCTGGGCAACAAAGCGAGACTCCGTCTGGGAAAAAAAAAAAAAAAAAAGAAAATGTCTTGTTTTATGTTTTCTTAAATATATTAGTAAAAGTATTTAAAATTCTGAGGTGAGATGTAGAGCATGAAACTACAATATAGGGTGGTAAGTACTTTGACATGTCTACACAGTGTTGGCTTAACAGGTGGAAGACATTCCAGGAGAGGGAACATCTGAGTTGATTCTGTGTGGCGAGCAGTGGAGGGCGGCTGGGGTGGGAGCTGCAAGCAGCTTCTTGAAGTTCTTCCTTGTCCTGGATCCTCTCCTATACTTTGTGAGAGTCCACTGACAGCAAAAGAAGAGTGACACTGTCAGGTTGGTGGATTAGAAAGTCAACTCTGGTGAGTGTGAGAAAGCTGGATAGGCAAGGGCAAGAATGGAGGAAAAGAGATCAAGCTGGAGCACCAGATAAGGCTGATCCCACTGGAATCAGAGTATTTCGAGTTCTCTTCTCCCCTTCTTTTCCGCCATTTTGTCTTCTTGGAATGAGTTCCGGCTGTTTTCCTTGCATGTGAATAATGATACTTTCTTTTCTCATATCCAAGACCCTTATTTTTTTTACCCCTCATGTGACCCCTCTTCTGTGGATTAATTATTTAGAGTTTGCTATGATGTGAATGTATGTGTCCTCCCAAAATTTATAGTTGGAAATCAAGACCCGATGTAATAGTATTAAGAGGTGGAGCATTTCAGAGTTGATTTCAAGTCATGTGGGCTCTACCCTCATGAGTGGGATTAATGCCTTTATAAAAGGGCTCCAGGGAACTATCTAGGTCCCTTCTGCCCTTCCATCCCTTCTGCCATGTAAAGACACAGCAAGAGGTGTCATCCTCAGTGCAGAGAACAGCCCTCACCAGACACAGAATCTGCTGTCACCTTGATCTTGGACTTCCAGCCTCCAGAACTGTGAGAAATAAATTTCTGTTCTTTAGAAATTAACCAGTTTCAGGTATAACAAACTTACATGAGATCACAGGGCATTAGTTAAAGAACTTGTGTGTGAGCCTCAGAATAAATAACAAATTTCATAAAATTGAGCACTGTTTTCCAAACACAGTATTTGCTGTATTATGTGTGTTAATGCTTAAGGCAAGTTTTGTGGAGCCTACTCATCATCTCTAAGCCCACAAAAGACATAAAGGTTGGAAAAACTATGCCTGGTTACACCGCATTTTAAATTGAGGTCTTGCCACCGAGACACTGTCTCTAAAATTGGTCCCATACGGTCCCGGCTATATGGTACAAGGACAAAAAAATGAGATTTGAGATCAGCTTGTCTTGAGCAGTTTTTTACTTCTTTGCTCTTTATCATTAGGCAATTTGTTTAGCTTCTTATGCCTATGAAGAGCTTGGCATAGAATGGAAGCTCGGGAAGTGGTAATTTCCTTCCACAGTTTATCTGACAGTCCTTTCTACAGGGATGATGCACATAGTGACCTGACAGTTCCCATCGGTATCCCACCATATCTCTTCCATTCCTTGCAAAAGGGCAGCTACACCTTGAGTCCTTTTCTGAATGAGGGACTGATGTGAACTGTCCAACTTACTCACCAATAAAGACTGCCAGAGATAGACTTCCTTGCCTATGTAGAAAAAAAGTAAACCGAGGAAAATGGGCAGAAAAGAAACCTCTTGACGTTTGTTTGAAATTAACCCACTTGGGTGACCACAGTAATGAACTACTTCTCCCACACATACTGGTGCCTAGTTTCACTGGATTGGCAGCTTTGATCCGGAAATCCCAGGTGCCTGAGTGAGGACAGAGCTATGAAAATTCAAGCGGGATGACATTTTCCAAGGAGAGTTGGATTAGTGCAGGGGAAAATGCTGCCAAGCTGAAAACCTTTTAGTATGGAGGAACGAGAAACTGCATAAGCAACATCATACCTGCAACATGAGTTTATTCACAGTGAAGAGCTGGTGACCTTTGTGTGAAGGAAACTTGGGCTCCGCAGCCGACGTTTTCCTGTGTCTAATGCTAATGTTCCCCTTCTAATGCAAAACCAGCTGCAAAACTCATCTGCACTCTTCTCATGCTTTTCTTCTCCTTCCTGCTCTGGTTATTTTTTTTCCGGGCACACTTCTTACACTGTCAGAACTTAATATTATTTTACAACCCTGAGCCAAACCTTGGGAGCTTGAAGAATAGCTGAGAGGCAGACACACAAGCATGAACTGACCCCCTTTTAACACACACGTGGCTCTTAAGATAGGGGAAAAAGAAACCCAGGACTCTGCTGGTGTTGTGGGAAATGGTTTGTCCTTATCTGAACTCAGTTTGTGTTGGTTGGGGGCTTCTTAAGGAACTCCCTTTGCTGAGTCACTCTCTCAAGGACATTCTGAGGGTGATAAACTCAGAGCATGTGAGATACAGGACTACAGGACAGGAAAAAAAGGACTCTGCTAAGGCCATGAAGCCCAGGAACTTTCTCCACATTCTCTAATCTTTACACAGTCCTAAAGGGTGAGTAGCATTAATCCCATTTGTGTAGATGAGAAAGTGGGTTCAGAAAGTTTTACTGCTCTAGTGTCACAGACTTAGCAATGATAAAGTCCAGGATTTGTATCTAGATTTACTTACCTTCAATACCATGATGGCAATAATGGCCATTTACTGAGCATCGAACATGTCCCACATACTCTAAGGACTTCATGTCTATTTCTCTCATTATTCTTTGTAATTCTATCATCATACCAATTTTAAGGTTAAAAAAAAACATCCTTAGTGAGGTTTTATTACTTGTTCATGTCTATCTGGGATGAGACTTTATATGATAAAGAAAAAGCGCAAAGCAAATGAGAGCTAAATGTTCCTCTTGCCCATGCCACAGGTGTTCCAATAGCACAATCTTCAATTACTAGCTTTGATCTTGAAGAATTTCATAATAAGAACCTAATAATTAGGATGCAATTGAGGTGCAATTCTAAGCACTTTCAGATCATCAGCAATCCTTCTGCCAACAAAAGATTGTGGTGTGGGGCTAACGGACACTTTACAGTTATCAAAGGATCACACCCAAGACAGACGGATTTTTCTAATTGTAATTGTCCCTCTTGTCACACCTCACTCACCCAGCTTCAAGGAGTGAATGCATGAAAGCTGCTGAGAAGGTGAATAATTATTCCAGGGGACATGTATGCAGTTTCAGTACGTTTGAGTTCAGCTCACATTTATTGAGAGTGAATCACCGAATTACTGGACCATAGGCATTGTGTCTGAATGTTTCCAAAAATAATTATTTAGTATTCACAATTATTTATGGTAGGTATTATTGTTCCCCTCTTTTCTGATAAGAAAACCTATCCCAGTGAGGTATAGGCCATAAAAAGATCAAGCAGCAGAAGAATTTGAACTTAGGCTCTGATTCTTTTATTTATTTATTTATTTTGAGCTGGAGTCTCACTCTGTCACCCAGGCTGGAGTGCAGTGGCGTGATCTCAGCTCACTGCAACCTCTGCCTCCTGGGTTCAAGCAATTCTCCTGCCTCAGCCTCCCAAGTAGCTGGGATTTCAGGCTCCCACCACCATGCCCAGCTAATTTTTGTATTTTTAGTAGAGGCAGGGTTTCACCATGTTGGCCAGGCTGGTCTTGAACTCCTGACCTCAGGTGATCCGCCTGCCTTAGCCTCCCAAAGTGCTGGGATTACAGGTGTGAGCCACCACACCCGGTCTAGGCTCTGATTCTACACCGTATGTGATATGGTTTGGCTGTGTCCTTGCCCAAATCTCATCTTGAATTGTAGATCTCATAATTCCCATGTGCTGTGGGAGGGACCCAGTGGGAGATAATTGCATCATGGGAGCGGTTTCTCCCATATCGTTCTCATGGGAGTGAATGAGTCTCATGAGAGCTGATGGTTTTATAGGGGGAAACCCCTTTCGCTTGGCTCTGATTCTGTCTTGCCTGCTGCCATTTAAGATGTGCTTTTCGACTTCCACCATGATTGTGAGGCCTCCCCAGCCACATGGAACTGTGAGTCCATTAAACCTCTTTTTCTTTAAAATTTATCTGGGTATGCCTTTATTAGCAGTGTGAAAGTGGACTAATACAGTATGCCTTTATGACAACACCACCATACAAACTCATGCCTTTCTAATTCTCATACTTCGGTTATGACATGGTTTACTGAGTGTCTGGTTGTGCCCAGGCCTGTGCCCAATCAACCCGTCTATACCTTAGGAAGCTGGAGTCCTTATACACATAGAATAATTTGGTTTGCCTCACGTCCTACATGAACTGGAAGAAAAATAGCCTTTTTAAGCCCGTATTTCAGTTTTCAGTTTTCATGGCACTCTGATGGGGAATGAAGGGGATGAAAAGGGGCACACCGACCTGCTTCCCAGGCTTCCAGCTGTGTCCATGAGGTAGTGGGCTGAAAGGAAATCCACGGCGCTATTATGGTATAATTTTAACAAGAAAAACACCTTTTTAAAGTTCATCTGTGCTGCCTTTATACAGAAAGCAGCGCTGAGGTTCCTGGAACCCCATTTGTGATAGGAGCCATTTGGGATCGCTTCATTGCAGGCATTCATCTTTCCTCTAGTGTATTTTTATCTTCTCTCAGGATTGTCCACAGAACTTGGACTGCAGATTCGTTAGGCAGGGACTGGGGCTGCTTTAAGTCAACATAAAATTCTGTCATATTGTCAGTGCTCATTACGTCTTCTATAACATATTGTACTTAGGGTCTTTTGGTTTTCAAATATACTACCATGCTATTTTTCAGCAGGCAAGCCTGGGCAGATATTTTCTCCATTGGTCTACAGATAATGCTATTTTCCATTTTCTGCCTTGGAAAACGTTGACTCTCCAATAACCAACATTTGTGAACTAATTGATTACAAATGTCTATGAGGTCAATGTTTTCCCGATTCAAAGAGCTATCAGCATTTTATTTGATATAACTTCCAAAAGAGAATCATTTTAGGAGTACCTGTACTTACTACATTGTATGAGAATTGTCTGTCACACACCCTGATTTCCATGAGCATGAGACCAGAGAGGTACTTTTCCCCTACAGTGGTTACAGGAGGTTGTACCATATGAAAATGTTTTAAACCATCTAATGTCAACAATTTCGAACATAATGATCGAACAATTACGGTTCGATCTAATACCACATGTGGAACATAGCAAGTAACAAATAAATATTTGTTGATTGGATGAATAGATGGAATATAGATGTCTAGGTATGCATTTAGCCAACTAAAACTTAAAATGGGAGGTGAAACTATTTACCCAGCAGCAGAAAATCACTCTCTTCATATCGGCAGCAAGTGGGCTCTTGTCTTTGGAGACAAAAACAAATCAATGTATTTTTGCTGCTTCAATTCATTCACTTGTTCATTCATTGACCCTTTCAGTAATTATTTAGCATCTTATGTGACGGCACCATGCCAGCTGAGAAAATGCAGAGAGCCCACTGTCAAATGTTGGAGATGGGGCAGTCACCAGTGTTGGCAGCACACAGAGGAAGTACATGCCATGGTAGAATTAGGTCCAGGAACCATGAGAATCTAGAGGACAGGCTCCCAAAACCGGCCGGCTGGTGTGGAGGTGACACATAAGCTGAGTTCTGAGATATCAGTTAGGAGGTATCTGCCAAGGAAGTTAGGGAAAATAGAAATCCTCCAGAAAGAAGAAACCACTTCTTCAAACACCTAGAGGTGCCACTTCCTGGTGATAGGAAGGTGAGCCCAGACTGAAGAAGGAGGCAGGAGCCAGGCCAGGAAACTCTTTTAAGGAGTTTGTATTTTATCTTGAGGGAAATGGGGAGGCAGTAAAAGGTATTAAACAAGGCAGTGACCTATTCAGCTTTATGTATTAGTACAGATCATCTGAAAAATGATTTGAGGATGTTTTTCAACTAAAAAGTGAACTAATGGGAGTTTTTGCTGGTATGGAATCAAATTTGTAGCTGATTTTGGTAAGTAGCAATTCTTTCCATCTTTATTATATTGGTCTTTTCATTATGTCAATTATATCTCTAATCATTTTGGAGTGGCTTTATGTTCCTAAGGATGGTTTCTAATTTGCACATTGTCCTGGGTGGAGGAGTGAGTTCAGATCACCTATACCAGCATTGCTGAAAATAGAAATTCCCTTTACCAGGACTTCAGCAATAGAAATATGTAATTTTTGTGAAAATTCTTTGTTGTATCTTGCTCTCCTTAAGAACCAGACATGAGCACAGGACCTAGGAAGATGTCATCTTGAGTTGCTTACATATTTGCACTGAAAATAAAAAAATCTTCCCTTCCCTCCAACAAGAACCCATTGCCTGAACAATGCTCTAGAAGAGCTATTTTCCAGCACACACTCATGTCTCTTCTCCAACACTCAAAGATTAAAGTTAAAAGAGTCGCTGAAAAGCTTTTAAACTGAAAGACAGAAAATAATACTTTCATTGCATTATTTTAAGCATTTATTTTTTTCTTGTTGTATCATTTAATTTTTAACGGTCTTTGTTTTTTATGGAAATATTTACATCTGTCTCATTATAAAAGTGCAATTAAGTTAGCATATATTTAGTAAATACCTACTAGGTAGACAGAATAATGCAGACATGTTGACAGGATGGCCTGGAGTAGAGAAGTTGGAAGGGAAGTTATGTATTTTGACTGACTTGAATGAGTTACAATAAAATCAGTGTAGTAAGCAGGAAAACAATTCCTTCACTAAGAATTGGCAGATGGGTGGTCAACCATTACTTCCAGATAAGTAACTACACAGTCTTGTGAATTTATTCTTTGATTTGTTCAACAAGTAATTACTGATCATTTGCCATGTGCAAGGTATTGTGCCATGTGCTGTGGGGGTTAGAAAAGAATCAGAAATGAATACTGATTTCTTTGAGTTAATGGCCTAGTATTACAGATAAATCATACACATACATGTCTCTGGCAATAGTCCCTAAAGCCTTTTGATCACTCAACACTATTAGGAAAAATATTTGAACATACAGCCCAATATACTATTTATTATAAATAATTTTATTGCATTTTGTAAATATACTTTTAAAAAGTAAGATACATAACAGTAAAATGATTTGTTTTTTCAACTCAATAGAATATTTTGATTAAAATTTTTTTATTAATACCATTTTTATTGAGAACAATATGATTGACTATGCTTATTTCTCAAGCATTATTTTAATTATTTGCACTTAGTGATTGAGAATCTGATTTTAATTTCATGTTATTTAATAGTTTTTAAAAAAATATTGTAGCTGAAAAGTTTTCTTTATAGGAACACATAAATCAAAATGGAAGAAATGCATCCTTGGCTTTTCTTTAAATATTGATGCACGTATTTTAGTCCCAATTACCAATTATGTAAAATTTTCTTTTTCCATTTTTTGCTTTTGAATTTGGCTTATAAATGTCAGCCTTTCCTGATGTCAATCAATTGTTACTGCAAACTCATCTGAAGATGTGACATTTTTTATCTATTTTAAAAATGAGTTTGAAATCCCCTAAAACTCTTCATTAGGAAGTACTGCCTAGCCCTGCTATTCAGCATTATACTGCTAGTCCTAGCCAGAAAAATTAGGCAAGAAAAGGAAAGAGAAACAAAAATAATCCAATTTGGAAAGGAAGTAAAATGATCTCTATTTGCAGATGACACGTTCTCTATAAGAAAATCCCAAAGAATATGCACACACACGCACACACACACACAAACCTACTAGAACTAAGTTTAGCAAAGTTTCAGGGTATAAGGTCAACACACCAAAATCATTTGCATTTCTATTTGCCAACAATGAACAATTCAAAAAGGAAATTAAGAAAAAAATTATTTACACTAATATTGAAAGAATAAAATACCCAGAAATAAATTTTAGAGAAGTGAAAGACTTGTACACTGAAAACTATAAAACATTTCTGAAATAAATTAAAGAGGAAATAAGTAAAAAGATAATCTATATTTATGAATTAGAGCACTTAATATTGTAAAGAAACTACTCCCTAAAAAAGATCTACAGAATCAATATAATCCCCATCAATGGCCTTTTTTCCCCTGAAATGACAAAGCTAATTCTCAAATTCATATGGAATTTCAAGGTGCTCCAAATAGCCAAAACAATATTAAAACAAAATAAAAACAAAATTGGAGGCCTCACAAATTTTCAGTTTCAAAACTTACCACAAAGCTGTGGTAATCAACACAGCATAGCACAGCCATAAGTATAGGCATATAGGCCAATGTAACAGAATGAGAATCCAGAAACAAACCCAAACATCTATGGCCAATTGATTTTCAGCAACGTTGCCAAGACCCTTCAACAAGGAAAGAATAGACTCTTAAATAATTGGTGCTAGGATAACTAAAAAACCATATGCAAAAGAAGAAATTTGGACTCCTTTCTTCACTCCAAATATAAAAATTAACTCAAAATTAATCAATGACCTAAGTATAAGAGCTAAAACAACAAAGCTGGTACAAATAACACAGGGATAAATGTTCATGGCTTCTTGTTTGGCAATGGATTCTTAGATTTGGCATCAAAAGCTTAAGCAACAAAAGAAAAAGACAAATTGGATTAATAAAAATTAAAAATATTTGTGCCTCCAAATACATTATCAAGAAAGTGAAAAGACATTCTACAGAATGGTGGAAAATGTCTGCAAATCATATATCTGATATAAAGGTCTAGTATCCAGATTATATAAAGAATTCTTATAATTTAACAATAAAAAGAAAAACAATCTCCCACATGGACAAAGACTGGAGTAGATATTTCTCCAAAGAAAATATGAACACGTCCGACCAGTACATGAAAAGAGATTCAACAGCACCAGCCAAAACCACGAGAACCATTTCACGTCCACTAGCATGAGTATTAAAAAAAAGAAAGAAAGGAAAATAACAAGTGTTGACAGGGATGTGGAGAAATTGGAATCCTTGTTCTTTGCTGGTGGGAATGTAAAATGGTGCAGTTACTGTGGAAAACAATTTGGTGGTTCTTCGAAATTTAAACTTAGAATTATTGTATGATCAGCCATTCTACCCCTAAGTATGTACCCTAGAGACTGGATAACAGGTATTTAAACAATATCAAAAAACTTTTCCACAAGTGCTTATAACAGTTGTATTCACAAGGTAGAAATAACGCAAATGTCCATCACTGAATAAAAGGAGAAACAAATTGTGGTATCTATATACAACTAATCGATCCTAAAAAGGTATGGAGTGCTGATTCATGCTACAACTTGGATAAACCTCAAAAACATTATGCTAAGTGAAAGAGGCCAGACCACAAAATGTTACACATTGTATGACTCCTTTTATATGGGTTATCCAGAATAGGAAACTTGATAAAGAAAGTAGATTGATGGTTTCCAGGGTAGAACAGCAGGGAATGAAGAATGATTGCTTAATAGTTATGGAGTGTTTTTCTGTGGTAATCAAAGGTTTTGAAACCAGAGAGAGGTAGTGGTTTTACAACATTGTGAATGTGTCAAATACCACTGAATTGTATAATGTCAAATGATTAATTATAGGGGATGTGAATTTTACCTCAGTTAAAAAAAAGTACACATGGACATTGTAATAAAAACATATAAGACAGCTATTAAAATTCTTCAGAGAGTTTAGAATCTATGCTTTTGAAAATTGCTTAACATAGCAAAGCAAATACCTACTGGTCTAGAAATAGAGGTTAAATGCAAAGATTACTATATTTACTTGAGAAAAACACTATTTTCAAATAAAGCTTCCGATGAACCAGGAATTGATGAGGAAGACAATTTTAAAATGAATTTTCATTGTGATTGTAGCTACAATGATAAAATGGATGAACAGATATTTTGAATCACCTACAAATCATAAAGTCACTTTAAGTTTCTTGTATGATCACCACAAGTTGTAGGAAGTACCATTGCATAACCTTATATTTTAAGTTAATTTCAGACTTTCCTGAAACTAATTGTATAAAGAGTTAAATCTTTTTAGAAAAAATGTTCTCTAAGAATCATCAACTCCAGATGTACAATTTATATTTTCAAAAAATATATCAGAATTGTCATAACCTAAGCATACTCTTAATAGTTTCAAGAACAGTTCCATCAGCAGAAAGATTATTCTGAAAATTAAAAACTATCAAAAATTATTTGTGATCTTGCATTTTTCAAGAGTGACTGATGTCACTTTTAATTATACAGATTGAAAATGAAGTTACAAAAAGTATAAATTCTGATGTCCTAATTTGCAGAAAAGCAAGACATAAAAATGTTATGATCAAGGAAGACATCACATTAATCAGTATTATTTATTGTATTAAATAAAATCGTGACACTGAAATATTATTTTTTATAATTTTTAAGTTTATAGCATTAATCATGTACTTCTTTTACCCCATCATGTTTTATAATTAACAAACTATTTCTTAGAGAAAAAAGTTTTGTATTTTATTGCGTTTACCTGATCTTCTTTTATCTTGCTTTTTAAACTGAGGAACCTGTGATAACATTTCACTCTGGGCATCACAAGTTACATATTTGGCCTCAAGCATAATGTATGAATTGCAGCTTTTATTAGGAGACCCATGCTTCGAGATTTTTTTTTTTTTTTCCTAAGGAAAAATGTTAAGAGGGATGCCCACCTTCCTTGGCTCAGGCTCTTTGTTCTCCATAGGACCAGTCAAAAATCTTTCAGCAAATACTATTTACCTAGGATTACCTGGACTACTATCTGTACAGCAGGTTGACAATCTAAAATATTTAAGATATAGTCTCTGAAAAAGTTAAATCACATCAATAGCTAACTGTGAAACTGTGCTCTGGACTTGAAGCTGTATCTGATTCAGGGGTCAAAGAGAAAGAGAGGGATTTTGTTGCAACCAATTCTTTATATTATATAAAGCTTATTATAAGCATTTGTTACAGTTGTTTTTTCCCATATATTATTGAAGTGCCGTCTTTGTCTGGGTTAAGTACCAGAGGTTCGTTGTCTCACACTAAGAAAATCAAGGATGTGGACACACAAGTAGTGAGTTTAAGACTGGAGGTTTAATAGATAAAAGAAAGAGAACAGAGAGTAGCTCTCTCTCCTGCAGAGAAAATGGGGAGCCCAAGTGGGTCTTCCGGTCTGTGGTGAAGTGCAGGAGGTTTTATAGGCTGGCTTGAGAAGGTGATGTCTGATTTACATAGGGCCCAAAGATTGGTTGGACCAAGTGTGACGTTTACATAGTTTGCAAAGAAGCTGGCTATGCCACCCTAATCTTTTATTATGCGAATGGATTTTCCACCTGGCCTGCTCCATGTTGTCTGCTCCTCACTGCATATGTGGTTGACAAAGAAAAGGGAAAATGAAGCTGCCCTGTTGAACATGCCTAACCCCTGTGTAGCCTTTTCCTATTGGCATGGCTGCTGGCATTCACTCACGCAGGCTTCCAACTTGCTTATCTATGTCTTTAGCTTGATCTTACAGGCTGCTTTGTGTTAGAAAAAAAGTGATTTTAGGGCTGCTTTTTATTAAAAGGAAAACCTTACTGAGGACTTCCTTATTCTCACTATCTGCCTGAATAATTTCTTTTTAACTCCTATATCATTATTTTATTTCCTATAGCACAACAGTCATATAAGACTATTGCCCCAATTTTAAGTTAGAAAATTGATGCTCCAAGAAATCAAAATTGGACCCTCGACGCAGTCAAATGTTTATGCTGATGCCACCAATGGGTATGTAGGTGCAGGCCATCAATCTGGAAGGAGTAGGACTTTCCCTTTAAATCACTTGCCAAAGCCACTAAGTATACATTAATACATTTGTTCTTTGCCCTTTAGGAAAACTGTTTTCTTGAAACAAGGCTACTTATTTTAGCTTTCATAACCCAAAATGAAAGGAAGCACTATGATAAAGTTCTCTATGATAAAGATCTTTCCTGAGATACTCCCTTTTTAAGCATTGAACCTTACCTTCCGGCGTTTCCTGTTACTCATCTGTTATATGTCTCTGCCAATTACAGAAGGGTTTTTTTTTCTGTATTCCCTTTTCTTCACTTTCACTATTTATTCCCCATTTGTAAACCATCAAAAGTTTGTGCTTGAAGCCATTCGGCTTTCTTTAACTTTTGACATGATTCAGTTCTACAGCCAATTTCCATGTCATTCCTCATAGAAAACAAACAAACTGAGCCCAGGACATAAATTTCAGAGTCACTCAGCTGGGGTAGAGGACTGGGAAGGTGTCTGGCTCACAGCTCCAGGCTGGCAAGGCAAGCACCGGCTGCTCCACACCCTCACACCCCTGGGAGAGGAGTCTTTTCGAAACCCAGGAAGCCACTAACCTACCCAAATGAGAATTTGTTTTTGGGTAATCACCAACTAACACTTGACATAAACAGCATAGACAGCCCTGAATTAGGCAACCCTGAGTTTGAGTCTTGACCTTGAGAAAGTTGTGGGCTTTTGCTTTATTAGCTATAAAATGCACATAACAATAGTCTTGACCTAGTAAAAGGCTGTTGGAAAGATTAAAAGAAGAAATGATTAAATGAGATAATGCCTGGCTTAAGTAAAGTACACATTTGATAAATGTTACCCATTACTATTTATGAAATGCTTCTCTAAGAAATCAATTTCCTATTCTCTTTCAAGTCAATTGACTATACCTTTATTTTTAGCCCTTGGGATAAAGCTTACCAAGTCTGGATCAGATAGATTGAACAATGGGTTGCTGGAGATAATCAATAAATCCAGAAAGTGTTGCTGGGGAAGAAGCTTAACAAAGACCCTCTTCTCACATGGCCATAGACTGGGGGAGTATGCTTATCTGATGAAGGTGACCTCATCTCAGCCTTCCAAGAACACATTCTTATCCTTTCTCATCTCTGGTGGCAGCCCCCACCACAAACGCCTTGAGACCATAGATTCTCTTTTCTCTCCCCCATCAACTATGAACAGACAAAGATCCTAAACTTAAACTGCTGAGAAAGTTTAAAGGGTGGCTCCCCTCCCCAGTTCCGTGCCTTGAATGGAAGCTCAGTGTCAGGACAATAAACTTGTCATCCTGTTTACATTGGTTTTTCAAGGTTAATGTTGGAGGGAAGGAGGGCTTACTTGAATACCCTCCTTGAATCAGAGCATGTGTATTTGCTTATAAATTAACCATGCTAGGCAGAATTCATATCAGTAGCAAACAAGATACTGGGGGACAATAACAGTTATGGATATTTGTCCAGTGCTGGATAAATTCAGATCATTTTCTGAACACGTTTCATTTTGTTTCCCAACATCGTTTTAGGGCATCTTGATGCAGGAGCGGGACCAAGAATTTGGCTTCAGAAGTTCAGGTTCATATGTCAGCTCTGTTTAAGCCCCTCTCTGTGCAAGCTCAGGAAAATGGCTTCCCTAATGAAGCCTCAGTTCCTAACCTGGAAAACAGAGGATTTTTAAAAACATCCTACTTCACAGGGCTTTTAAGAGATTGGATGGAACAGTCATTGATGACCTGTCTTTCCCCAGAAATCTTCAGTTCAGAAAGTTCAGGCATATTAAAAGATGGAGTCAAGACAGAATGGGGTCTTCTGACTGAAGGGTCTTCCAGGGCCCTGCTTCAGGGTCCCTGTTCCTGAAACGTTAGCCATACCCTTGGACAGAGCTGGAACTTGGGCACAACCAGGGACTCTCAGTCTAAAATGAGGTCTCTGGGCACAGAGTTGACAAATTTTGAATTGTGGTAAAATAGTTGATCAGCGCGGCCCCATTTTGCCTCCCAAGGGATAATAAAAGAAACCATCACTGCTGACATCTGCATGGGAAGGCAAAGAATGACATTTCTGCTGCGAAGAAATGAACCATCGAATGCATTTCAAGACAGTGTGAGGTCAACTGTAATAGTGGTAAAACCTGAGGCCTCACACTAAGATGTCAGTGAAGAAGAACAGATCACCATGAACACAGAGCTTTAGGTGATGAGAATGTTTCTCTCTCTGAGTGAAACTTACTTGGCAGAAAAATTGCAGAACTCAGGCTCAGTCTTGGCAACTTCAGGGGCCTCCCTAGTTGGGGCTTAGTCTAACTTTCTCTTTTTCTTATGTTAAAACTATATTATATACATAGAACTTTTCATAGATCTTTGTGTTTTGTGTGAGAGATTCTTCTTGAGAATATATCTATATATTTTAAAAATAGACCTTAATAAATTTTGTATTTCATATTATCACTATAATAAGCTTCAAGTTATTTTGCTGAGTGTGTTTTTTCTACGTTCTATTTGTCTTTTTTTTGAATAAAATTTTTTCTTACCTTTTTTGAATAAATTATTTATTTCATTTCTACTTAAAACATTTGCAAATTAAACAGTCTATATTTACTAATTAGCCTGTAAATTATAATAATTAAATTGGCACATTAAAAAGTTAATTTACCTTCCTCCTAAACAATATTAGGCTCTTTTTTTTATTCCCATCATTCCCCTTCTGAGTATAATTATCAAGATTATTTTAGTTTCTCCTCTTTTTTTAACCCCATGAATCAGATATTTTTATTATGATTATGGTTTTTGCCATCAATATCTGTTTAGATTTACCCATGTCATTGGTTTTTGTTGTTGTTGTTGTTTTTTTTTTTTTTTTTGAGACAGAGTCTTGCTTTGTCACCCAGGCTGGAGTGCAGTGGCGCAATCCCGGATTTAAGCAATTCTCCTGCCTCAGCCTCCTGAGTGTCTGGGACTACAGACGTGTGTCACCACTCCTAGAAAATTTTTGTATTTTTAGTAGAGACGGGGTTTCAACATGTTGGCCAGGCTGGTCTCGAACTCCTGACCTCAGATGATCTGACTGCCTCAGCCTCCCAAAGTGCTAGGATTACAGGCATGGGCCACCGCTCCTGGCTCCTACATTATTGTTTTTGATCACTATTTCTTCTTCCTTCTAAGACCTTCCTTCTTGGGTTATTTTCTTTCTTTCTGAAGACCATATTTTTGAATTTGTTTAGCGTGTATATGTGGATAGTAAACATTATTAGGCTTGCTTATATTAGGTCTTAAAATTTTGCTCTTATTCTTGAAAGATATTTTGCTGACAGTTATTGTCTCTTAATGGTTTGAAGACACTACTTCCTTGTCTTCTCGTTTCCATTGCCGATGTAGTGAGTTACTGTCGGTACAATTACCTTTCCTTAGTAGCGAATCTGCTCTTTCTTTCTGATGCTTTTGAATTCTCTTTGTCTTCAGTGGGTTTTGGTTTCATGAGACTATGTCTAGATAATTTAAATGTATTCTATTTGAGGTATGTTGAGTTGGGCTGCCTGAATTCAGAAGACTCCATGTTTTATCAGTCTTGAAAAATTTGTCACTGTGACTTCAAACTTTGCCTCGTCCCCTTTTTCAATGCAAACCTCCCCAAACTCTGATTTTCTTTATGTTGCATCTCCCTCATTCTCTGTCTCTCAGTATTTATTTGATAGTTTACAGTAGTTTGTTTTGCTGTGCTGCATCATAAATATTCAACCTTCAGCTTATTTATATCCAGTGGTCAACTCACTTTGAATGTTTCAGTGTTGATTTCTAGAAAAATTATTTAGTTGTTTTTCAAATATGCCTGGTCATTTTTTTTATAATCTCTTAATCCTAAGAGATTCCCTGTTTTATTCTAGCATATATGTAAACACTTATACTCCTCCTATGCATTTTAGTGTCTGAATACTTCACAGTATTTAATACATCGTTTGCCGCTTTGGCTGGCTGTCATCATGGTGCCCATTTCCTTGTGCATGTCTGTGTTTTGTTTTTGTAGCTTTAGTGTTCTCTGAAAACTGCCATGGACCTGGGTTAGATCCCATTGCTTGATGGGAATGGTTGTTATGAGTGGAATAAGTCAAAAGAAAAAGGCAACATAAAATTGTAGAAAGGCATTCTGTTCTGGGATATGAGCAATATAGTTATGCGTTCTTCTTCTGATTCCAATTCTCTGTATGATATAATTCTCACTTGGAAAGTAGACTGCCCTTCAAACTAGATTGATATGAAAGATGCTGGAGAAAGAGACCAAGATGAATTCAAGATTTCTGGCTTGGTCATTGGACAGGTAGTGGTTCCATTCCCTGAGAAGAGATGTGGTCTCATGGCAATGTGAGATGGAGATAATGACTAAGATTGGGATATGATGGATATGACTGTGAAATCTGCAGGTAGAAATGACTGGTATACAGTTTAGTATCTAGATCTAGTGCTCCGTAGTGTGCTCTTTTTGAGAGATTTAAAAATAGAAGGGAGTAAGTTCAAATTTGCTTAACCCATTTTCTTCATGATCTAGGCAACTTCATCCATTATTTTTCAGCTTTCAAATAAAACACCCAAAATATTTTTCTATGACCCAATCAGAAGTATATACCCATCACATCTAAATTGTCTCTATCATTTTTGTTTTTCTTCTTTGGACAAAAGACATGAGAACAGCCTGGGAAACACGGCAAAACCTCATCTCTCCAAAAAATGCAAAAATTAGCTGGCATGGTGGCATGCACCTGAAATCCCAGCCAACTTCTAAGCCTGAGGTGGGAGGATCAATTGAGCCTGGGAGGTTGAAGCTGCAGTGAGCTATGATCATGCCACTGCACTCCAGCCTGAGTGACAGAACAAGACCCTGTCTCAACAAAACAAAACAAAACAAAACAAAACAACAACAACAAAAACAACCATGAGAAAAGACGTGAGTTTGCCCCTCTCCATATGGGGCTTCCCCCACCAGCATCACTGTCTCATCTGGGCCATAATATTGCCTCTCTCTGAGCATTAGAGTCCTTCATCAGTACAAGAAGAGATTGGAAGAAATAATCTCTCAGGTACCATTTTCCTGTAAATTTTTCTGATTCTCAATTTGGTTTGGAGAGAGAATTAGGATTGAAACTAGAAGTAGAACTTTCTATAGAATTCCCCAGCTTTCTTTGTCTCTTGTTTCCTTCTAAAAGTAAAAGAGCTATAAGCACTGCCCAGCCATTAGAGCAACTCTCCTCTGGCACAGATCGCTAGATCTTAAATGAGAACCAGCAAACAAAGAATGCAATCCCACCAACAGTGTTGGATTGCATTCTTAATTTGCTGGTTCTCTTTTACACTGTTGGTGGGAGTATAAATTAGTTCAACCTTTGTGGAAGACAGTGCGGCGATTCCTCAAGAATCTAGAACTAGAAATAACCATTTGACCCAGAAATCCCGTTATTGGGTTATACCCAAAGGATTACAAATCATTCTACTATAAAGACATGCACACGTATGTTTATTGTGGCACTATTTACAATAGCAAAGACTTGCAACCAACCCAAATGCCTATCAATGATAGACTGGATAAAGAAAATGTGGCACATATATACCATGGAATACTATGCATCCATAAAAAAGATGAGTTCATGTCCTTTGCAGGGACATGGATAAAGGTGGAAACCATCATTCTTAGCAAACTAATACAAGAACGGAAAACCAAACACCGCATGTTCTCACTCGTAAGTGGGAGTCGAACAATGAGAACACATGGACACAGGGAGGGTAATATCACACATCGGGGCCTGTTGGGGGTGGGGAGCTAGGGGAAGAATAGCATTAGGAGAAATACCTAATGTAGATGACAGGCCGATGGGTGCAGCAAACCACCATGGCATATGTATACCTATGTAACAAACCTGCACGTTCTGCACATGTACCCCAGAACTTAAAGTATAATAATAAAAAAAAGAAAAAAAAGAATTAAAAAAAATAGAATGCAATCCACAGGTGGGATCGTAGGTCAATTTTTTGTTGCCTTATTTTTCCTTTTGTATAATAAACTAACAGCAACAACAATAAAGTCCTGATGGGTTAAAACAAAATGATTGAAATAATTTAATTTGAATGCTCATAAGCAAAGTTTTCCTTTAGTCAGAATGTTCCAGGATCATCAGTTTATGCAATAATTATATACAAGTAAATAGGTTTCTAGATTATATTAATAGATGTATATATTGATTTTCTGAGACAACTGTGCTCATCTCATTTTAATGTAGTTTTTTGTTTTTGTTTTTGTTTAAGCCTCTTTCCTCTAGTGGATGCCCCAAGGCCAGAGCCTGAGTCTCACGTTTGTTTTTACCTTTAATTTTTATAACAATACCTAATGCATGTTTGACACTCAGTAGATGTTTGTCGAATGAATAAAGGACAGTCATTATTATATTGCAGTTGTTTTGCAGAAAATATATTAACTGCAAATGGCTTAAAAAAAAAGAAAGAAACATTGGAAAGTCAACTCCTACTGTTTATTACTGAATACATTGTTGGCTGCTTTGGCTGTCTGTCATGTCATGGGTCTTATTTCCAGGGTAAACCCCTTAAAAGCTACTGTAGTACCAAATGGATCGTTTGGATCAGAGACCAATAATATTTACAAGTAGATTCAGAAAAATCTTAAATATAGGAGAAGAAAGTTAGTCACCCATATGATTTCCATATCAGAGCTTTTGGGAAGTAACGGGGAGTCAATTTATTATCTACACAACCACCATGCTTTTATGAAATGCACTGTAAATGGAAAGGTTGAGAAAGAGGGTCTTGAACCAAGGAAGAGCTAAAGAGTTGGGGGAAATGATGCAAATATATGCAGTTGAGGCCTAGTTGAAATTTGAGTTAACCAAGAAGCATGTTTTCTGCTTTGAATCTTTGAATTCAAAATGAAACTTGGGGTTAACATGAGTCATTGTGTGAAAAGAACTCATGTGGTTCCCACAGCTTTTAGGATCCTGAAATTATGAGATATCTTGATCTGCTGAACACTGACTTCACACATAATCTAGGTACAGAATGAGCTGTAAGATCTTGATAGTGTGCAGCAAATACGTGCTCAATTTCCATGTTCATTCATTTATTCCAGGAATGGGTTGCTGTAGATGCTATTTCATGCACTGGACTTGTAACTATGAATTAAATCCACTCGCTGCATTTGAAGCTTGGGGAAAAGTCAAGAGAAATAAATGGATCATTAAAAAAGAGTGCACTTAATAGTGTGATAAGTATAAGCATAAGCTGCTATGAGAACACAGAAGGAGAGTACATAACTGACTCTTGGGGATGGAGAGGACTAAGAATTTTTCCCTGATTAAGTGAGACCTAATGTGGCAGAGTGACCGGAGGTGAGTGGGGAGGTGGCCAGGGTTGACATCGCTCCTAAAGAGCATGACCATCCCTCCCAGCTTGCCCTGACTGTCCCATCAATGGAAGCAAGTATGCTTCCTTGGACCTCTCTTCTTTTTCTTTCTTAATCAGTAGTCACTAATACAGTCTCTCCTCCCATGCCTGGTTTTAACACCATTGCTACTCCCTTGTACAACTAAGAGAAGAGAATCTATCAACTGAAAGTGTGGGTCTGATAACATAGCGGGTTCCTAGTCCTGGGTTTTAATCTTTGCTCTCCATCTGAGCCTTGCTATTTTGATCAGATTTCTTAACTACTCTGGAATTCAATTGCTTTGTTTGTAAATTGAGGATAATAATACAGAATGTGCAGATTTGTTGAGCAAACGACATGAGTAACTATGTGTGAAACACCTGGCATGGTACTTGGGTGAGATCATCTAGTCTGCCTTACCATTTTGGGGAGAAATTTAGGGAAATTGAGGCCCAGAGAAGAGAGCTGACTTGCCCTCACTTCATCCAAAATTTCCAATGCAGACTTTGAGTTGTGAGTGAGAACTTTTATTCACTTTTTACAGATGTAGGGAGGCTGCATGCCCAAGGTGACACAGGTAATTAGTTGGAGTGCTAGAGCTGGGCACCAGTCTTTTTATTCCAACATCCAGGTTCATGTTTAACATCAGAAGTATAGGACAAAAGTGGAAACTACCATGCCTTCTCTCTCTCTCCATCCTCCCCATGCTATACCAATTTCTCTAGACCAAAAACAAAAGGCAGGCTGACTTGTAAGTAGTTATAAGAATTACCCCCCCAGAATCTGGCATGACATTAGGGTCAAGCTAGAACAAAACTACCTCCCAGGCTATATGTGGCTCCACAAAAAGCTGGTTCGAAGGATCGTTGCCCACTCCACCTCTCCAAGACAAGCATATGGTGCACTGTCTCCTCCCTCCTCTACCCTGTTGAGCTTCTGTGACAAAGCCATGCAGAACTGGTTTACGATCAAGCTCTACTGCCACATTTGTGACCTTGTATTTGCCTATAACTCCTCTAAGCCTCAGTTTCCTTAGATACATGTAGTAAACAATTACACATTCTAACTCTGTCTCAGAGAGTTGGAGTAAGGTTAAAATGGGAAAATATGTATGTGTGCTACCAACCATCATATAGAAGGTAAATCTGTAATATTGTTCTTGAAAAAGGATTATTTTTCCAAATATCAAAGGTAGGCTTTAAAAAGTCTTTGTATTATTATTGTTGTTGCTTCTGTTGATTTGAGAGAATTTGTGGGCCAGGTTGTTGTCTTTCAACCTTTACGTCTCTGACATCCTTTGTAAACGTCACTTGTAATAGCTTGAAATTCTTCTGCTCCTTCATCTATAAAATGGAGATTAAAATGCCTGCCTTGCAAGTTTGTTGAAAGCCCCAGATGAAATAATAATCCTGGAACTAAATCTCAAAAATAAGTATCTATATCTGCCCTTCTGTCTTCATTTCCTGGTGCTTAAGGAGACCTGAGCAAAGGAAGCAAATGTGGTTTTAAAACAAGCCAAAGGCATCGTTTTCTACCAAGAAAATGTTAAAGCACCTGGAGGAGCTGAACTGTAAAGCTCCTAATTCTGAGTCTGTAGTTTGGATTGATGGAGCTCATTCTCCTCTAGAACAATTGTGTCTAAATGTGAGCAAAAGCAGGCAGAGGAATGGAGGGACCACTGAGAGATTGTGAGCTGGGAGTGATCAAGGGTGAGGAGTCCCCAGAAGCTACAAGCACAGGGACTGTCCTCTCGTGCTGTTGTAGGAAACAGGCCACCTAGCTTCAGCTGCCCTGCAGGGTGTGGGACAAAGGCAGCAAGTTCCAGCAGGGACAAATGAGGCAGGTGTAGGTTCCTGTGGTGCCCGCTCACCATCATCCTACAGTGAGAAACCATCATTGAGGCCGATGCCTTCAAGCCCATGAGGCCAATGTGGGCTCCAGACAGATTAGAAGAAACTGAGGCTAGTGTCACCCATGGTGACAACTGGTGTTCACCACATGGAGCTCCGAAGGCTGCAGAGGCTGGCTTTTTTCCCAGCGAAAGCCTCATCAAGGCAGGCAGAGAAGCACAGAAATGCCTCAGCAGATCTGTGAATATTAGCATGCAGACAGAAGAGGTCAGGCAGGGCTTATTCAGGTGTCTACAGCTCAGTTTTAGTCTCAGGTCTTGTGTTTGCTGATAACATCCTAGATCATCCCTCTTCCTAGCTCAAAGAATTTTACAAGATGAACCCTTTTCTAATGGTAGCTTCGAGAAAATACTAATAAGCTAAGTGGCCAACTCCAGTTTTTCTCTTTAAGTAGAAACTGAAACCTTCCTTAGATTGTAGGAATGTTGTGGGGAAGAAAGAACTATGTGAGAAAAACAATGGGCTTTACATATTTGCTCAGCAATTATTTCTACTGCCTATGTGTACCAAGAATCTGGAGATATAATGAGCACTGTCTTCATGAAGATAATCAACTATTGGAAAATTCAGACATCAGTCAAATAGTCATACATAATAAGCATGTAATTACACACTGAGACAAGCACTAGGAAGGAGAAGTATCCAGTTTTATGAGACTGTGTAAGAAGGGGACCTGGCTTGGACTGGAGTCAAGTATGATGTCATTCAACTTGACTTGGGTCAAGGAGAAAAGGAGTGGATTGTGGAACAGTTACAGGAGGAGGGACAAGTGTGTGGTTGGTGCTATGGTGGGAGGAGAGGAGCACACCTGAGGAACTTCAAAGATGGCCATGCAGGCACTTTCCCCACCATTACCAGAGTGCAGATGGTGTGGGGGAGTGAATACTAGAGAGCGGGGTGAGTTGAGGCTGAAGGTATGGAGAACAGTCAGACAGCACGAGGTCATGTGCATCTTGTTGAGAACTTGATGTTGACCCTAAGAGCAATGGAAAGTTTAATCCCTTTACTTATTGGCTTTGTGACCTTATAAATAAATCATTAACACCTTAATGCTATGCTTTCACATTTGTTACATGAAGATGGTCATATTAAGCTCACAGGGGATGCAAATAAGAATTCTGAGAGACATAGCAAATGAAATAATGAAGACGATGATGATAATTGTATCTATAGTTAACCTTTACAGAGCATGTTTTGTGTTCTTGGCTCTATTATAAGCAGTTTATCAGCACATAGCTTTTCAAATGGAGCTTTACAAAGGTAAGGCATCTACTAATAGATAATGAAATAGTTTTGATGAAACTAATGAAATAGTTTTTTAAGGTGGGAGGATATTTTCTTTCAATAAACTCTCAGTCAGAAGTTCAAATTATAAGGAAAATAAAGAAAATACAAATAGAGATGTTTACGTCAGTGCTTAGGTCTGTCCAATAATACAGTGTCTTTGAGTTTCAGAATCCTTTTCTCCTTTCTATGGGGCCATTAATTACAACTTGAGGACCACTGGACTAGACAGTGATAATTCTCTTTCTTAAGTTCCAAAGGGAAAAAGGAAATTTCTCTCAATCTAATATGAAGAAAGGATTCAACTTAGAGTATTGGTACATTAAATAGAAAGACCACCAATCTTGGGAAAGTTAGTGAGATTCTCTATGTTTCAGATTTTATCCAACTCATAGGATTATTTTAAGGTGAAAATTAGGTACTAATTAGACATGCATAAATCATAGAAGTTTCTGAGCACATAGAGAGTAATCATTAACTCTTAGATCTTATTATTAGTTGTTGTTTCTGAATCAGACATCAGTTGTATGTCAGTGCTTGCAGCCTACACTGCATTATTTGGAAGTTTTTCACAAAGTGTCAAGAGTCTCATCAGCCCCCACCAGCCTCATGGTTTTCTTGAAGGATGGTCTCTGTATTTCTTAATCTAGCAATTCACCACCACATATGTGCTCGTATTCTCTTTATCTTTGCAGTTAACATAAATATGCAAACTTCCATGGCAAAAACCATTAGACACTTTCCATTTAAATAGTAGTTTCACTATTCCAGCATATTTTCCCAGCTAGAACAGTGTGCGATCTGCTTTTAAGTCCTGATCATCCACTTCTATGGACTCTAGAGTGATGTTTTTGTTGGACCTATTTTTATATAATAATTAAAACCAGACTGTCCTTAATTTATTCATTTCCTTTTACTGAATTACAAATTAGGTCAAATAAAGGACTAGGCCTCTGGAGGGTTAAAAATAATACAAATCCTAGTTTTTGAGGACTCAGGGTCTATTAGAAAAAATAAGATATGTGCATAGATGAGCATAATCTAAGGCAGAAAGTGATTGTTATCATAAAAGGGTTTCAAATAAGTTCCCTTGAAGAGTCAAAGAGAAGGCTGAGGGAATGCTTTGCAGAAAAAAATGGCAACTGCAGTATATGATGAATGGTATTCCTAGTTAAGGAAACAGGGAGAAAATGTACAGAAACTAGAGTGAGAATGGTTTGATGGAAATGGGGTATGAAAATCGGTGGTGGGAAATGAGGCTGACTGGCACGATTGAGGACACATATGGAAGAGTCTTGGTGGTAAGTCAAGAAATGGAGATTTGCTAGGCAAAAGGAAGGCTAGAGTAGTTTTGAGTAGGAGGTCACCGTAATCATAACTATACTTAAGTAAAGAATAATCTGTTAGTGACTTTGAGGGTGAGCAGTGTCTAGAGCACATGGTGTCGGGGAGATGGCATCCCTGACAAATGAACTATAGTGCTCATTTCCTTTTTTTTTGCCCCAGTGGTCCCCATGGCAGCAATGCCAACTTGCAGACCCATCTTCCACATTGCTGATTTTTTAAGCACAGACATGATCCTGTGTCTGTCCCACTCGAAAACATTCAATGGCTCCCTGTTTCCTATTGGATAAAATCATATCTCAGAAGCAAACATCCTAACATCTGCTATAATCAGATGTTCTGCTCTTGCTCCTGAAGAAGCTATATTGCTCAGTGATACAGTGCCCATGGTTCAGCTGAAAGCCCTGAGGGTGATGAAGAGTGAGCTAGGGTAGTGATAATGGAGATGGGGAGGAGGGATGTCTTAGTCTGTTTTGTGTTCTTGTAAAGGAATATCTGATGCTGGGTAGTTTATAACAAAAAGAGGTTTATTTGGCTCACAGTTCTGCAGACTACAAGAAGCATGGCACCAGCATCTGCATCTGATGAGGGCCACAGGCTGTTTCCACTCATGGTGGAAGAAGGGGAACTAGTATGTACAGACATCACAAAGCAAGAGAAGAGGTGAGACAGAGAGAGAGAGAGAGCAAGAGAGAAAGAGACAGGGGAGGTTCTACGTTTTGTTTTGTTTTTTTTTTTTTTTTTCCCAACCAGCTCTTGTAGGAATGAATAGAGCAAGCACTTACTCATGACTCTTACCAGGAAGGGCATTAATCTATTAATGAGGGATCCACTCCCATGATCCAAACACCTCCTATTAGGCCTCCTCTAACACTGGGGATCAAGTTTCAACCTGAGAATTGTAGGGGGTCAAACATCCAAACTATGGCAAGGAGATGCAAGAGATAATGCAGATGTTTAATCAATAGATGTTTGCAACTGGTTATCAACAGTAAAGAAGTGGGAATGATCAGAGGCTGCTGTGATATTACCTACCTGGATGGCTGGAAGGTTCTTATACAATTCCCAGGCAGGTTTGTGCCTGCCTCTTCCTGGAGCGCTGATTGCCAGGGTGTCACAATGGATGCCTTGAGCAGTTGCAGAAGAGTACTTGATGTTTATTTCATGTGTATGACTTCCTTTCGGTTTTCCTCCCCAATTTTTCCCTCAGTCCCCAGGCATGATCCTGAAATGATTCTTAGGTGTGCTGACTGCCGTCTCTTTCTTACTAAAACACTCAACATTCTTTCAGTCCTCCATGACAATGTTTACAAAATTTAAAACATTCTTTGAGCATTGACTATTTGCCAAACATTGTTCTGGGTGCTAAAAACAGAGCAGTGAGTAAGTATGATATGTTTCTGCTTTCTTGGAGCATGCATTCTGGTGAGGAATAATATTCCTCCTCAATGTTCCTTCCTCTCTCTCCATACCTCTTCAGCATTTGTTTAATTCTCCTTCGTTTCTTGTTTTGCCTCAGTGGTTTCCTTGGCACCAGTGCCAACTTGCAGACCCATCTTCTACATTGCTGTTTCCTAAATATAGAGATGGTCATGTGCCTGTCCCACTGAAAAACCTTCAATGGCTCCCTATGTCCTATTGGATAAAATTATACCTCAGAAAAGATATTCTAACATTTGTTATAATCAGATGGCCTGCTCTTGCTTCTGGAGAAGCTATATTGCTCAGGGATCAAGGGGGAAACAATAGGTTCAAATTTTTAAACAAAGAAGATTTAATTCATAGAATTCCAGAACTTTGAAAGGTCAGTAGTTCAGTATGTTTCCCATTCATTACCGCTTGTTTATATTCACACACACAAAAGCTTTGCCACTGTGGAGATGCCAGTGGAGTTGTGGAGCTGGGGGTGGAGGAAGGTTTTAAAGTTTCCTCTGGATGGGAAATAATGAAACTTTCCAACTTTACTTATGCATGAATGAAGGTGGTTTAATGGGCCAAGTGCCGGCTTTGGAGTTACAAAGGCTTGGGTTTAAATCCAGCTGTAGGACTTCTGCAAGTCCCTGACTCGCTGTGAACTTTAGCTCCTCAATTGTCATATGAGGGTGACTCGGCCTATTTTACAGTATTAGGAGGCAGACAGCTCAGATGCCGGCCTTGCTGAGGTCAGGCAGGGCTAGGTTGCCGTAGTTGAATGGCAGAATTATCACCCACATCTGGATGGAAGAACATGTAGAGGTTTTCCAAAAAGAGGGGATTGAGAGAGTAGGCCAGCAATGCCAAACAGTGGGCATTCGTTCTGGGGTGAAAGAGAGAAGATGAAGCCATGGCTGAGAATACAGGAGGTAGTTCGCTAACAGAATTGATGCTCCCAGCCTCCCACGGGGAGTGGGAGAGCTTGAGTAACGCCCAACATCACAGGCAATCTCTTCACAGCTACAATCCCTTAATTCATTTCCTCCCCTAGAGCATATATTTGGATCCCTACTATGTGCTAGGTGCCTGGATGTAAGACGCCTGGCCTCACAGTGGATGGACATCTAGGGGTGTGAGTGGCTGAGCAGAGTGCCCAATAAAAGGGTGGGAGGAGACAGGCCAGAGAGGTATGACCAGGTCATAGAGGTCCCCATGGACTTAGAAAGGACTTTGTTTTTTATTCCAAGTGGAATAGGAATTCTAACAGCAGGGTATGAATGAAGGACACAAGAGTGAAAACTCGGATCATCCAACCTTTGACTTATCCAAGCTATGACATAGATGTTAAATAAACAAAAACACCCAAAATAGATAAATGAAGAAGGGATAGCATGTGCCTGTGCATGCACACTTCCTGGGCCTGTCATGTATCGAAGAGGGTAAGACTTTCTGCCTAAGGAACTGGATATGGTTATATGTGAGCAGAGCATGAAGGCCTGCACTGACCACGCTTCCCAGGCTTCCACGTCTATGGAGATGCATAGGTCTAGAGTAGGCTGAATACTCGAGGGTAAGCTTCCAAGGGCACAGGTGTGATTACAGTCATCAAGACACCACCGCCCCAATGAGTAGCTATCATGTATTGATACCTGATGGAGATTTGTGAGATGAATGATGCCACCAGAACGCAAACTCTGACAACCAAGCCAAAAGCGATGGATCTGTTTAACAAAATGGTTAAATTAACCAGTGACAGCAGGGCTGTCTTATATAGTCTGGCAGGAAGTTCTCTGCACAACTCCAAGGGAAGCTGTGCATATAAACAACCCACACAGCACATCACAGGCCTGAGAGTTGGAGGAGTGCACTAAGTTCCGGTGGGTGTGGGCTGTGTCTGGACCTGTGAGCTTTTCATGGGGGACTGCCAAGGTCAAGTGGCATGGCTGCTGCCCTCTTTTCCATATGTGTGAGGCTTGGGACAGCATGCCTGTGTTTTATTCATGCCCTGTCACAGACATGGCATCCTAGTGGATGAAATGCTGGGACCCCGGTTCTAAAACTTTTTGACTATAAGATTGTTAATTATCCTATGGATAATAGAACCAAGGTGTTCTCCCTTCTCCATCCTCTTAGCCAACTCCTTTCACCCATTCAGACACAATTAAGACCCCATGTCTTTTGAAAGGCCTTTGGACACATATCCCTTCTCAAAGCACTGAGACATGCTGGTTACCTCTGCCGTAGCTCCTACTGTCTCAGTCATTTCTGCTCCCTGAGGCCAGGGGCTGTACTTATTTATTTATATTCCCAAGGCCTGCACCTAATAGATGCTCACCTAATAGACGTGCTGGATTACCTCTGTCATAGCTCCTACTGTCTGTCATTTCTGCTCCCTGAGGCCAGGGGCTGTATTTATTTATTTATTTATTTATTTATTTATATTCCCAGAGACTGCACCTAATAGACGCTCAGTCAACTTTTATCAAAGGAGAGAAAAGTTTTGTATCTTAGGTTCTAATTATGAGTTGAATATATATGCATTCAAGAACTCCCATTTACTGCATACTGACCAGAGTTATGAAAAACAACCCAATATAAATTCTCTTGTTCAAACATTTCTTTCCTTATAATAGCAGATGCCATCCTAGTGGGGACAGGGCAGCAGGCATATTTGAAACGCTCATATGTATAAGAGGAAAATGCAGAGAAATTTTCAAGGGTTCTCCAAGGACTGGTGAGGCATGACCAGCCCAGCAGTTTTTTGTGGCAGAATCTCTGATGAAATCAGAACTTCAAGGTCTTGAACTAATGTTCCATAAATTAGGTGATGCTGAAACCAGAGAACTTTGAAGGGGGGTATTTTTCTTGGGGCAATATCGGGAAACCATGTGTGCCTATGACTAATTCCCCTCCTGTGAACTGTTGGTATTATCTTTGAGGGTTTTCAAGATAAATAAATTGAAGCTGTTGTCAAGTTTTACTAGACAAAAGCAAACAATCCCAGGGTCTTTCATGTGTCTGTACTGCCACAGCGTCACCCCCTACTGCCTTCTTGCTTTGTGGTTTGTTGGGAGAGGAGAGAAGCATGCAGGGCAGGGGCATGCACCCCGCAGAGGAGAGGATACCACAGCCACAACCACGGTCACCCACAAGGTCACGCCAGGATTCCCGCAGTCATGTGCAGTTCCATCAGTGCAGCAAAGTGCCTACTTTGTGCCCAGCCCTGCACCAGGGACCGAGGACACAAATACAAACAGGCACTGTGCTTGCATTTGCCCTTGAGAAGTTACTTGTCTTAAAAATATTGAGAACAAAGTTTACTGATTGCACTGTTGCCACATCAAAAAATTACTCACCAACAGAAGGCCTGATCTACCAGGGATTAGAATTGTAAACCAAAAATAAAATTCCAAGCCCTCCAACTGACTGAATGAACCTTCCTCTTGGCCAATGGGACCCAACTAAACCTGAAAAATTAGTTCAGACCATAATGAGAAGGGGAGGATTGGACCTGCTTCATTATACTCACCTCTCTTTGGAATTCAGGCACAACTGGCCAGGATTAATATTAAAATACAGATCCCAAGACTGACAGACAGACTCTTTGTAGCAATAAGATACCAAATTCCAACCTGACCTTAGTATAGCATCACATCCCAGATGGCAGAGCTCTGAAAGAAACCAAAGTATTTTACCCCAAAATATACTCGTTTGACGTATTTTGAAATGGTCCCATAAAACTGTCTCTTGTGGGGAATACTTACCTTCTGTAGAGAGCCCTCTTCCCTTTCCAGGTCTTTTTCTGATGCTGAAGAGATGGGCTGAGAGTCTAGCACCTTTTAAAGGTCTGAATAGGAAATATTTGCCATCTTTTGCCTCTGGCCACCTATGAGGCTTCATTTACATAATAAGAACCTTGTTCTCTACAACCCCTTATCTTAACCCAAACACTCCTTTCTATTGATCCCAGGTTTTTTGATAATAACTAACTCAACCAATTGCCAATCAGAAAAGCTTTGAATCCACCTGTGACCTGTAGGCCTCCCCCTTCCCACACTTCAAGTTGTCCTGCATTTCTGAACCAAACAAATGTATGCCTTATATGCATTGATTGATGTCCTATGTCTCTCTAAAACATAAAACCAACCTATAATTCAACTGCCTTGGGCACATGTCCAGGACCTCCCAAGGCTGTGTCACAGGTTATGATCCATAAGCTTGGGAAAATAAACTTCTAAATTGATTGAGATCTGTCTCAGATAATTTTTTGTTTACAGAGGTGACAGCAATGGCCAAGTTTCTTTCCTCTTTGGGCTCCAATTTCCTCAGCTACAAGAAGGGACCTCTTAGTCCTTTTAAGCTGGACTCTTGAAATCTTTCCAGTTTAGCTAATTAGACTTTCAAAGAAGCTAGAGATTGTTGAATAGAAAGAATTCAGCTGGTATAGAGAACTGGGAGCCTGTGCTGCTGTCTTCAGGTAATTATGTCATTACATAAGGAAATGAAAACAATTTAAGGATGCTTTTTATCTTTTAGTATTGGCATGGCTTTGACTCTAACACTGAGGCAATAATTTGTGGTCAGTGCCAGATGCAACGTCTCCTTCATGGGCTGCGTCACAAAATCAAAACAGCTGCTTGGAACTAAAACTGATTTTCACAGAATGCCAGATGTGCTAGATGTCCTCTCCTGAGCTACCTGATTCAGTCCTCCTGGGAATACACAGGCATTTCAAATACTAGAGTGAGTGATCTGGGGACGTGACCACCCACCTGCCCCTTCAAATATTTCTGCAGTGTTCATATAGTATGTTTCTGATATTTTTCCTTTATCTTTACATCTTTGAAAACATGGTCCTATGTAGAGTATTCTCAATGACAGTTATAGACTCTGCTGAGAGCAAACAAATACCCCAATTAAAAGTGACCACTTGATTGTCAACTCAGAGCAGCTGTTTCTTTCCCACCTTTACCCAGCATTCCTGGGAACCCTTTAAATTGGATGTGGGTTGGAGACAAGCTGCTCGGGTGTTCAGGGGTTAAACTCCTATACTTGCATGTTGTATTTGATTTAGGAATCATCATCCATGACCCATAATACAGTTGGGGTAAGGAATATGACCACAGCCAGTGGTGGGCTGGCCCATCCCAGCTTTCCTGCTGGGAGAGGGGCATTACAGTGAACAAATGGATATACCCACCAGTATCAGGTAGTGAAGATGTCCCCCCCATGTCTGGAGTGAGAAACCTGAAAATAGGTGAGCCATTTCTTTCTTCTTTCATTCTCCCCTATCAAGGCCTGCTGGTGTGGACTAGTCTTACACAGATGCAGGGGACAAATAAGATGACCATTTAGAAAGCTGAAAGGTGTCTAATAAATTCATGTGGGAGCTTTCCTTTTATATTCGTGCATAACAAAAAGTAAACAGGTTTTATCATTCTGGCATATTAGCAAAAAATTAAATCCTTAAAGCTGAGCAGGGTTCGTACATTGCTATTAGGAGTAGACATTGGTAGAACTGAAATAAAAATAGTTTAAGTATGGGTCAATGATGCCGAGAATTTTTTCATATGATTGTTGGCTGTTTGTATGTCTTCTTTTGAAAAATGTCTGTTTTCAAAACCACAGTGAGATACCATCTCACACCAGTCAGAATAGTTAATATTAGAAAGTCAAAAAACAACAGATGCTGGCAAGGCTGCAGAGAAAAGGGAACACTAATACATTGTTGGTGGGAATATAATTTAGTCCAGCCAATGTGGAAAGCAGTTTGGATATTTCTCCAAGTACTTCAAACAGAACTACCATTTGACCCAGCAATCCCATTACTAGGTATATACCCAAAAGGAAAATCAATCATTTTACCAAAAAGAAACACACACGTATGTTCATCGCAGCACAATTCACAATAGCAAAGACATGGAATCCACCCAGGTACCCATCAATGGTAGATTGGATAAAGAAAATGTGGTACATAATATGACACAGCTATAAAAAAGAATGAAATCATGCCCTTTGCAGCAACACTGGTGTAGCTGGAAGTCATAATCCTAAACAAATTAACACAGAAACAGAAAACCAAATACTGCATGTTCTCACTTCTAAGTGAGAGCGAAACATTGAACACACATGGACATTAACATGGGAACCACAGACACTGTGGACTACTGGAGGGGGACAGGAGAGGTGGGGCATGGTTTGAAAAACTACCTATTAGGTACTATGCTCACTACCTGCGTGACCGGATCTGTACCCCAAACCTCAATATCATGCAATTGTTCCATGTAACAAACCTGCATATACACCCCATGTATCTAACATAAAATTAATTAAAAAAAAGAAAATCATGCATCAGGAAAAGGCAAGACAGACCAATGGATGTTAATGTAACAGAATACAAAATATTCGTTTGTACAGTTTCAGATTCCATAGTTCAATTTGCCTTTAAGAAACTGCCACTTGTTTCGGTGCAGTATCAAAAAAGAATGACCCCAATTATTTGAAAAAGCTACTAAAATACTCTTCCCTTTCCAAATACATATGTATGTGGCTAATTTTTCTTCTTTATGTAATCCAAATAAAGTAATAATGCATCTTATTTTATGAAGAAGCAGATACAAAAATAATTGTCTCGTATTAAACAAGGAATTTAAGAGACTCGCAAAAATGTAAAATGCTACTTTCCTCAATGAGGTTTTTGGTATTGAAAAATATAGCTATTCTTGCCAGGCGCAGTGGCTCATACCTGTAATCCCAGCACTTTGGGAGGCCGAGGCAGGTGGATCACGAGGTCAAGAGATGGAGACCATCCTGGCTAACACGGTGAAACCCCGTCTCTACTAAAAATACAAAAAATTAGCCGGGTGTGGTGGCGGGCGCCTGTAGTCCCAGCTACTTGGGAGGCTGAGGCGGGAGAATGGCGGGAACCCAGGAGGCGGAGCTTGCAGTGAGCCGAGATCTCGCCTCTGCACTCCAGCCTGGGCGACAAGCGAGACTCCGTCTCTAAAATAAAATAAAATAAAAAAAAAATGAAAAATATAGTTATTCTTTATAAAAATATGTTATTTCACAGTGGGTTTATTATTATTTCTTTAATGAGTTAATAAATCTGTCTTTAGAAAGTATGAATCAAGAGCCTCAGAAATGTTAGACATAATTCAGCCTTAATGGATTCAATGTTCACAGCCACTTCTTTCACTGGATGTGTTATTTACATGTGAATCACCATGTTTCTTTTCTTGAAAAATAAGATTACACCATTAGGTGAGATACAACTTAAAATAGATTTTTCAAAAAGAATGAAGTGTTAAAATTTTTCTTTTATCCTTATATACCTGAGAATATGACTGAATATAGAATTCTAGGGTCACAAATCATTTTATTCCAAAGTCCCCCAGCCACTGTTTTATTATTTTCTATTACCTAATGCTGTTATAGTAAATTCTGAGTCCATTCATTATTTTTTCAGTTTTATAGGTGAACTATTTTTTGTAGACACATGTTGGTATCTTTCTTCTTCACAAGGTTCAGCAATTTTTGTTAAAATATGGCATAATGTGAGTCATTCTTTGTGATTTCCTCCTAGAACACACTGAGCCCTTAGGATTGCAGATCAAGATTTTTAGTTCCAGATATTTTTTCACTTACATATTTGAATGTTTTCTGTTTAGTATATTCTATTCACTAAATTTATATTACTAATTATTCAAAAGTGATGGCTGCATTGTCTGTTACTCAGATGTGCTCTTTTAAAAATTCTTTATCCTTTCTCTCCTCATTCTTTGGAATTTTTCTCATTCCATCCTCTATGTCACCGCCTTAAATTTCCATAGTGTCATATCAGTTCTGTTTATTGATGATTCTACAGCCTTCAAAAAAAATCTACACTAGTATTATGCATTCATTCTCTTAATTATTTTCATCATCACTGCTAACACCACTTATCATTCATTTTGTCATTTTCTCTCTGATCTTATATTCTTAATATTTACATTTTATTTAATTGCCTTGAAAATAAAAAAGCAGTAGTCATCTAAAATTTGCTCACCTTCCCTAGAAAACATTCTTTCTTCAAAGAGTGCTCACAGTCTCTTGTTTTGTCCTAGTTTTTATTTTATCTTTTTGACATAATTTTTGCATTGGTCTCATATGGTCGTATGGTCATTGCTTTCCTTCTTAACTTTCTGAACAGAGGCTGTTGCAATTAGGATGGCGAATGGTGAAAAACAGTGTGGTTGAATTGAACATAAGCTGAAGGGCTAGACATCATGGCTTCAATCCTTGTGGAGGTAAGAGAGCTGGGACATCAGACATCAGCAGGTGGCCTTGGCTCCTTTTCCTTCATTTATAATTTTACTAAAATCCTTTCAGAATAAGGGCTGATCACCACTGGGAAATTTAAGGCATAATCTGCCTTTACTCTATCCTCCCATTTTGGGTGGCTAATCCAGCCACTGTAATGTAAAGAAGGACCTTGTGGTTCATAGCTTTTGGTTTCTGGCATCTATGTATGTTTAATATTCCACCTTTCTGAACTTATCTTTACTATCAATCAATGATCTGCTAGGGGACAGAGATTTACTCATGGTTCTTGCATAGCACGTTGTTTCCTGATAGGTGTTCAGAAAAGAAATTTTTTTTAAACTATTCCAGTTTAATTGACTGAGAGACTCAAGGTCACAAGCCCAAATATTATTCAATAACCACATACCACATCCTTGCTGATTTCCATGACATAAAACTACAACGTATAGACATTGGCTGCCACAGGAGAACATGATTTACTGAACCTTCCAATCTGCTGTGAAAGGGAACCTGAAATTTGCTGTAAATTACAAGCCCAAGGATCAGAACATATTCATCCATTTCCCTATGAATTAGGGGAGACTTGGTGAAGATATTTGGCCACACTGGAAAGGGAAATCTTCCCCTTTCTTGAGGTTTTATGCTATGTACTTACTTATGCCAATGTCTCAAACACCATATGTAGATACGTGTAGATGAGAGGGAGTTTAAAATAAGGAAGAATGTAGCAGATTTCAAACAGTTTTTTTCTATGCCATTACATATACTATAGTATTAAAACATAACAAAAAGGAAAATAAAAAAATCTGTTCTAACAATCTGTTTCAAGAATCTTGAAAGATATACAAAACAAATCACTCCAGATGAGACGTATATTTCAGTTCCCACCACCTCAACCCAATAACGACAATCCCAAGGGCCCATGAATGAAGAAGCCAGAAGAGGTCAGCTCATACATCCCCTTCCTTTAGACAGGACTGTAATGAAATCATCGTTGACCAAGGCTGTCAATGGTTCTGGGTGACCAGAGCACAGCAATCATTTCCATTATTTTCCATAGAATGACTTGTGAATTGCCACCTCCTGCAAATCCTGTGGCCTATGATCTGGACCAAATCACATCCAAGTGTCTGATCAGTTCTGAGAGTGGTTGTGGATGACCTTAGTATTCCAGAAGACTGGCTCTGAACGCACACTAGTGCATCCACAATGGGACATCCATGTGTAAAAAGGAGTGAGGAGCTGGGATTCTTCAGTGGCCTCCAGCTTTCATTCCATACAGGAATGGGCTCGTTCATATGCCTCTGAGAGAGTCAGCTTGGAGACAGGCAAGTCTGGGTTCAAATCCTGGGTCCATCCCTAGATGGTTGAGTGTGGTTCCTTTATCCTTTATAACAGGGCCAATACATACTTCACTTGGCCTTTGTGAGGACTGGGGGACTGTCCACCTAAGGCAAAATAAAGACATCATTTATTCACAGTCTTCCTTAGTGATGCACACATGTGGCCTGAGAACTAACATTGATCTTAGCCTTAGGATCCCTTCGTTCTACCACTGACATTAACCCCCATGTGATCTTGTGCATGTCAGTTTCCCTCTCTGAGTTTGATTGACCCTTTAGTGAGATTAATCAAAATTGATCTCCAAGTCACTTTCAGCTTTAAAAAATGCAAAGCTCTACAAATCATTCTGATATTGGCCCCAAAACCACCTCTTGGCACCTCCTTTGCTTCTCTGCAGTTTTAGGATCCCCTTGTCTGATTTCTTATTCAACTCTGTAAGATCATATCACCAGTCTAGCAACATCCTGTCCCATGCCATTTTATAATTTCCTGTTTAATTGCCTGTTTTGTACCCCTAGACTGTGAATTACCTGATGGCAGCAACTGTGTTTCATTTGCCATAGTGTTCCAAGTGTTTTGTCAAGGGCTTAAAACATAGTCATTGTTCATTAAATGCTTTTGTGGATTAGGATTATTAATTTATTTACCACAACATTATTGAACATACCTGTTGGCAACTATATTCTCTCTTCTATGGGCATTGAAAATAGAGGATTTCTTAAGTATTTCTAATGATATGATTTCAGGTAAAGGCATCTTTCCCAGGAAACTTCAACCTTCAATTTCAGTGCAGCTGGCAAAGACATGTTCATTCCACCTATGTATAAAGACAAGAAAGATTTTAGCACCCTTGTAAGGGTAGATTTTCTAATTTGAAATTTATTCATTTGTTAAACTGTTTGCTAAGTGCCAACTATTTGTCATACACAAGACTAGGCAATGGGGAGACAGATACTAGAGCAGAATAAAAAATATCTCAGGATTGGATTTAGCAGCCATTTGAACCTGGAAAAGTCCCTTGAATTTAGTGAGCATCCCTTTTTTATCTTTGAAGATAAAATTGCCTCTTGTATCTGAAGAGGTTATAATGGATATCCTAGGAGATTTTTGATGTGAACTTTATTGGTAAAGTGCAAGTGTCAGATTAACTAAAGGCAATGACAATCCTTCTAGATGTTTTCCTTCTCTCAATAAGCATTGTTTAGATTCAATAGCAGCTTAGAACCTAATATATGTATAATGTTTCCCTCTATTTCAGAGCAATGGAATATTCTCAGAAAATAGACTTGAGAGCAGGTTCTATAACTTCATTTCTCTTTAGTTGCTTCTTCCTCTACCCTTCTACCCCCCAGTTTAGTCTACTCAGATAAAGAATAAGCACTATGTTGTTCATGTTTGTGGTAAGTGAAAACAGTCAACTAATCACTAATTTAATCACTAATTTTTTCTTTGTGTGTATTTGACACTCAAGTTCTTTGCCTTTAATAATGTTTAATCAGCATTTTATGTTTCTTTTGTACCTTTTTTTTTCTTTTTTTTTGAGATAGGGTCTCACTCTGTCACCCAGGCTGGAGTGCAGTGGCACAATCTTGACTCACTGCAACCTCCACCTCCTGGGCTCAAGCCCTCCTCCCACCTCAGCCTCTTGAGTAGCTGAGACTACAGGCATGCACAACCATACCTGGCTAATTTTTGTATTTTTGTAGTGATGGAGTTTCTCCATGCTGCCCAGGCTGGTCTCGAACTCCTGAGCTTGGGTGATCCACCCCCGTCGGCCTCCCAGAGTACTGGGATTATAAGCGTGAGCCACCATACCTGGCCTCTTTTGTACCTTTCCAGAGAAATATCCATGTCAATTATTGACAATCCTCATATTCAGCTTCTTTTAAAGCTGGAGGAGTTGGAGAAACAGCCTGGTCCTCTCCTCTCACCATTCATTTGGGAAAGCCAGGGCTTGACAGATGCTCCCTCCGGAGGAGTGTGTAGTAGGAGATGAAGTCTGGTGTCAGGTAACCTTGGGAAAGTTACTTACTCTCCCTAATCTCACCGATCCTGTGTTCTTTTAATCTACACAATAGAGCTACAAGTTCCTAGTCACATAAATATTCTAAGACTGGCATACAGCAGGAACCAACACAACTCTGTGCCCTGGGGTCGGGTTCCTCAATGAGGAAATGGCGGAGCTGGGGCTGTGATCCAGGACGCTGGTTCTCAAGCCTGCTCCTGTTCCTCTGCCTGTGGTCCTTTCCCTCATTCCCACACAGGCCTGCAGATGCTCAGCACTGGTCCAGAATAGCAACCACCAGGGCATCCTCCCTGTTTTCTCTCCCTTGGAGGGAAGTGCAGTCAATGGGGCCTGGGAACACCTAGATGAGGAGGCACTGTCATTTGCAAACACTTTTTTTTTTAACTTTAATTTCTTGCACGGAAATCAAAGAAATATCATTCAACTAACTTCATAATAAGAGGCAAATGCAGTTTCCTAACCCCAAAATCTCCAGAGGATGAGTATGAATTGATGTGCTAGAATTTGAAGATGGAAGGGCCTTGACTTTTTATTATGAGTGTGATTAAATAAATCCCTCTGGCCACCTCTAAAGCCTCCTCTAATTCTGTCTCTGCCTAGGGACACAAGATCATTTCTTTTCTGAGATGATCTTCTGTACAGCCTTTCTGATATCTCCACATTTGCCTACTGTTTTCTTTCCTATGCTTTTCCGGGAAGTCTTTTTTGTACAAAATTAACATGGGTCTGTTTACATTCAGAAGATTCTTGGGGTGGGGCATTACAATTGCTTGGTTAACCGATCAGACCAATTCTTTCTTTGTATGATATACCTTCCTCATGCACAGCTTCTTCATTTCTGGTTTAGAATAGTCATTGTATCAACCTGCTTAGCATGCTGACTTTGCTTAATTAGCATTGAGGGGTGCAAACCACTTAATTCTCTCACACTGCAACTCACACTCACTGCCTTCAGTTAATTCCTTAAAGATGATGAAGTGGAAGGCAGGGAATATAGAACTCCCTGCCCCCACCACAAATCTAAGCAAACAAGGATGGGACCAGGAGGAAGAACCCATTTGTGTGGGTCCTCCACAGCTGCTGGCTTATGTATTCTTCAGTGTGCCGCTGCAAGGTATAAATGGTGCACATCATTTTGTAGATGAGAAGCGGCATACAGGAGAGGCAGGATTTGGATCTAAACCTGTACCATGAGGTCTCTCAAACTTGGAATGGGAGGTCAGGAGCCACGTTGTTTTCTTCTCTGTATCCTGGGTGCCTGTTATCTTACGGTAGGTGGTCAGTAAACCTGTAACTAATGAATGAACATCTGTATTGGTAAAAAGACACAGGTTACTATTGCTCTTCAAGTGGGGTGGGGATCCGTAGCCAGTAAACCCCAACCCAAGGCCACTTACTGTTTATGAGACTTAACAGACTTGCGTGTGGAGAGCACCCTTCTGACCTCATTGTTTACAAAGGATGTCAAAAGATGTGGCTAGGGTTAGAGTTATCTTAGGAGCAGAGCTCTGGGTAAGAGTCAGATGATCTTTCTGGGCTCCCGGCACTAAGTTTTATATTTGAGCACTAGTTTCTAAACCTCCACATGAAACCAGCTCTCACTGTGCTGCCAAGCCTGAGACATTAGGGACTGAAGTTCCCTTGTTCCAAGAGGATGAGCTTTGTCAAAGGAGGATGAATAGACTCTGCTCATGTTTTGGCTCCAGCAGCCTCCTGCCTATAGAAGCGTTTTCCTTCACTGGGGCTAGGCTGAACTTCATTTCAGAGAGGCATAAAAAGTCTGAGATCCCCAGGGGATCTGGCACAGGAAAATGAAGTCATTTTACATTTGTGGCGTGATTCAAATTGGAATCACACAAGTCAGAACGACAGGATGCTGGAGTACTTTGTTTAGCTCTTCTGTGCTTCAGGAGCTAAGCTTTCTTCAGCTTCCTGGAGAGAGGAAGTGGGTATGTATGGAATACCCATTTGCTTTCTATAGTCTTCAAGGTCCTTTTCCCTTACGTAAAACACCAAGCCTAAATCTTACATTCAGCTTTTTAGAAGGCAGAACAAGCAGCCATTGAGCTCTTGCTGTGGGACTGACCCCGCCTTCTGCCTGATGTCAGTGGGGATACTGCTTACCTTCCTTCCTGCAAGGAAATCCACACACTCTTATTTCATCCGGCCTGGGGAGGAGGGGAAAGAGGAAGTCACCTGTGAAATTGTCTTTGCGCTTTGGACTCAAGCCCCCAGGTAGGGCAGTAACAGGTATTCTAATCTCTGCAGGTCTCCTTACCTTCCTGTTTGGTCTCGGGTGGTTTGTTTTTGACCTACGTAGCTTATGGGTTTTCCCTGCTTGGGCTGCTGCCCCCTGGGTCCTTCCCCTCTCTCCCTGCAGCCTTATGCAGCAACAGCTCCCTGTGCTTTCCCTTCCCTCCTCCTGCTGCTGCATCTCTGCCTTCGCCCCTAGCAGGTGCTCATTCGTCACATCACATATGCTACCATATTGAATAAGCACAACATCCCAGTGGGGGTGGGCTTTGTAGAGAGGAGTCTGAAGTGCAGAGACAATGAGTGAATCACTCAGGCTTGCAAAGCTGGTGAAACAAGGATCCATCTCTGGTCGGCTTACAAATATTCTCCATGCTCCTTCCACTAACTCATGATACGCTTTAAAGTTTACAGTTTATTCTGTACCAAACGTTAGCCCAGCTGTCTTAGTCAGCTTGGGCTGCTGTAACAAAATACCATAGATTGGGTGGCTTAAACAACAGACATTTATTTCTCACATTCTGGAGGCTGGGAAGTCCATGATCAAGGTGCTGGCAGATTTGGTTCTGATGAGGGCCCTCTTCCTGGCTTGTAGAGGCAGCCCCGTCACTACGGGCTCACAGGGCATTTCCCCTGTGTGTGTTCGCACAGAGATCTCCTTCTCTCTTTTCTTCTTATAAAGGTATTAATTCCATCAGGAGAACCCCCTTGTGATAACCAACCTAAATTTAATTAACTTCCATAGGTCCCACCTTCAAATACCAGCACATGAGGGGTTAGGATTTCAACACAGGAATTTCAGGAGGACACATTCAGCCCATAACACCAACCAGTTTTATTTTTACCATCCTCTGGAAACAAAATAAGGAACTTGTAACATGTTCTTCCCGGGCATTAGATGATCTGAATGTGTCACCCTCAAACTCATATGTTGAAACTTGATCCCCAATGTGACAGTATTTTTAAGAGGTGGGGCTCTTAGGCATGATTAGGTCATGAGGGTGGAGCAATGGGATTAGTCCTCTTATCAAGGGGCTTCATGCAGTGTCCTCCCCTTTTTCTTTTTTGCCCTTCTGCTATGTGAGGACACGGTTTCCCTGTGAGGATGCAGCAAGAAAGCACCATCTTGGAAGCAGAGATCCTTCACCAGGCACAGATTCTGCTGGCACCGAGATCTTGGACTTCCCAGCCCCCAAACTATGAGAAATAAATTTCTTGTATTTCTAAAGTACCCAGTCTGTGGTGGTTTTCATATAGCAGCATAAATGGACTAAGAAAAGGATGTTCCTGGGGGTCACCAAGTATCTCACCTGTGTGGTTCCCCATCGTGATAGTTGGATTCAAAGCTGAAGGTTGTCACTGACTTCTGGGTTCTCTCTGCTTGCCTGTCTAGGGCATTAACTCTGGAAATACTTTGTTTCTTTGTTCCCAACCATCCATCTCAAATCTCTTTCCCTGCTTTCTCCAAGGATGTTGTGCAGGTCTTTGTGCAAATAAGAATTTCAACCTATATTGGATAAGCCATATTTACAGAGGTGAATTTGATTTGTAGATATGACCTTTTCCTTGCCCAATGACAGTACCCTGAGGTTGAAGTCTGTTGCTCAGAGAATTTGGATGCACTAGCTTCTCCAAATATCTGCTCATCCACACAGCAGAGGGATAAGAGGAGACCAGTCTGCTTCTCCCTCTTTCCAATCCCTAAACCTTATAATTTGTGTACAAAGGAACTAATTTTGAAGAGCAGAAGGTCAAGGAAGACTAACAAAAATCTATCTTTTTGAAAGAAAGCAGCACTGGATTTAGGTAGCCATACAAATTGTCCCAAGTGGTGTTCTACTCCAAAATAGTGTGCACACCTTTTTAGCCCTACAATGAGTTGGTGGCTGACTGTGCCAAGTGCCTGCTTGCAAAGCTTTCCTCTGGAAGGGAGCCCTGGAAATGCTGAGCAGTGGTGACCCCACATTGCCTTTGGGGGCTGAATTGTCACCAGCCACAAAGATAGATCCTTTTACCTTTTGCATAATCCAGACATGTGGTTTGGAAGAGAAATAATTCATTTAAATCTCCCCTGCCTCTCAATTTTGCATAAAGTAAATTCAATTCCATTCAATTTGCACAGATTTACTGAAAATGTACTCAGGGTTGGGCCCAATGTGAGGTGTTGTGGACACAGTGGCACATAAGACACTGTTTTGGCCCTTGAGGAGCTCATAGTGCAGAGGGAGAGACAGTCAGGTAAAAAATGACATGGTACAGAGATGAGTCACTCTGTTGTGGCAGTGACAGTATAACTGTCCAGTGGGTTCTTCTTGCCCACTGCACAAATAAAGAGCATGACGTTGCAGTAAAGGAAGAGTTTAATGGATGGAAGTCTGGCCATACCACGTGGGACATAGAGTTACTACTCAAATCAATCTCATCCAAGGCTCGTAGGTCAGGGGTTTTTCAAAGACAGTCTGTGGGAGAGGGTGGGGGTGGCCAGGTAATGGGTGTTTGCTGCCGAATCGGGGCAGAGATGAAATTACAGGGGGTCAACAGTGTCCACTTGAGCTCAGTTGCTTCTGGATGGGGGTCATAGGAGCAAGGGTCAGTGGGCCCAAGTAGAGCCATGTGTGTCAGACACGCAAAAAACCTGAAAAGATAGCTCAATTGGCCGATCTTAGGTTCTACAATAGTGGAGTTATTTGCAGGAATGGCTGGCAATCATCTATGTCTACACCTTACCAAAATTCAGATTCCCCTTCTCCCCCAGGTGATGCCCTTTCATTCACTTTACAGAGGTAGTTGAGTTTGGGGGAAGGCCTATTATCATTTAAACTATAAACTAAATGTCTCTCAAAGTTAGCTTAACCCAAAAGCCCAGGAATAATTAAGGGAAAGGCAAGATAAGGATGGGTTTGATCAGATCTTTTACTACCATAATTTTGTTACTACTATAATTTTTGCAAAGGTGGTTTCAACAGGATAGCCTGCGTTGACAGGGGAGGGTGTGTAAAGACCCTGGAGAAACCAACAGAGGTGGCCTGGGGGCAGCCACAATATCTGAGGCTTGGAGAACACAAATGTGTTAACCCAGCAGGCCAGAAGCAGTGTGGGTGTGAGGTCAGATATGTCACAGGCAGAGAGAACACATGCTATCAGCAAAGGCACAGAATCTGAGAGTCCAGCACGCCAATGGAACAGAGTGTGGTGTGTGGAAAGAGGGGCACAAAGGGAGGCAAAGCCCAGGATCGTGGATCAAGGGTGATCCATGCCATGACAATAAGGACAACTCCTTATTGTCATGCAATGCTTCCCAAGATTTTATTGACAGGGCAGAGACACAATCAGAACTGTGTATTAGAAAGATGTCCCTGGAAGCTAGGGATAAGAAAGTTTGCAGAGTGAGGCTCAGCAGGGAGCCACGGACTTAGGTGGGAGGCTATTCCAGGTATCCAGGAGAGAAATGGGGAGGCTCTATGGAGAGTGTGGGAGTAGAATGAGGCTGGCCTTGAGGAATGTCAAGAGGGCAGGACTGACAGTTACCACCTGGACGTGAGACACTGGGCATGGGAAGAGTGCTGCCAGGCAAGTAAGTCTCAGATCAACACACATGCGTTGCTAAAGCTACTGACCAAGGCTCTGGCCAGATTGATGGCCTCCTGGCGGTGGCCTTTACTGCTCCCCTTGTACACCTGAGGCAGAGTTACTTACATTAATGTCTGTGTCTCTTCCACTGCCTTTGCAAACAGATCCCTGAGTTCTAAGTGAATCAGAGCCTGCATGGTACTTTTCCTCTGACTTCAGACTAGTCATACATTTTGGAATTCTTCCATGTTGAACTTTCACATCCTGCACAGAACACTCGGGCCCTGAGACAGCCCTACGCCATTTGGTGAGACCTTTGGTGAAAAGTCAAGGTCTGGGTTTATGACACAATATTTTTTCCTGGTCTATTTATCCCTGGCACAGTTCAGAGCTGGCCTATTGGAACAGGAGGTTCCAGCCTTCTCATTCACCTGGGCACTCTCTAACCTCAAATCAAATTCTACTGTCTCCCAGATTACATTCTGAGTTCCTAAATATGTGGGGAAAAATACTCTCAAATGCCTCCCTAAGAATACACACAGTCATAAAGCTCACGTACATTCAAATTGCTTTTTAAAAACAAAGACCGTGAAAAACCAAAGCTATAAAAGTATGTGAATCATCAACCCAGAAATCATGCCTCAAGGCACGCCTGACAGCATGTTCGTTCCCGGATGCTTTTCCTTCACAAATTATGGAGGCTGCCGACATCCTTCTGGGGAAAGGATTATCTGATTCCGCAGGCAGTTAAGAATAACATGTAAATGTCATTTAGATGAGCTATTTCTACATGGATCAAAAGACACACTCAAGTTACCAACTATGATAGCCAAACCCTTTATTTCAATAAAATCAGAGCAAACCCACAAAACTCTCCCAACTGAATTAGCACCATTGTGGTGTGGGAGGCATTCAGACATTCCTTCCAGGTTAGTAGACTATTTGCAATTCAGCTGTTTTACTGATGTGCATGTTATATAACTGCCACCAGCCATGGGGGAAGCTAGAATCCAAGGCGTCTCAAAATTTTCCACTGTGTACTCAAAGCCAACAGGAGAGAGTGAATGAATACTCCCTTGCTTTATGGTGACATAGCTAAAACTGTCTTTCCAGTAAATACCAGAGTGAGAGGCAATGTAACATAGTGGTTATATTTATGGGTTCTGGGGTAGAGTGTCTTGGATTTGAATCCCTATACGTTTGGGAGCTGCGTGTCTTGGATAACTTCTGTTGCCTCTCTCAGTTTGGATTCTTGTTGGCTTCAACGATTTTATCTTCCTTATTGAGTTACTCTGAAGGTTAAGTTAATAGATGTTAATCCTTAATATATGTTAAGTTCCTCTATTTAAGGGCTCCATAAATGTAAGCTATTGTTTTAAAACAAAACTGTAAGCTCTATGCCTTGTTTTAATTCAGGCAATGTTGCATTTTGCTGTCTCTGTGTCTCTAATACAAAATAATGTTTCCCTCCAAATTTCCAGTAGAATTGACCCTCCCAGGAGAGGTACCATATTTGTGCCTGGATTTGCATAAAACCAGGTTCACTGCCACAGATTCCAAGACTGACCTCACCCTAATGTGAGAAGCACAGTCAGACTGAAGAGAAGGCAGAGATGCTTCCCTACCAAGGCTCCTTGGAGATTTATTGTTGTTTATTTTCTAGATAACTGAGTAAAAACCAATTTTTGTAGGTAATGTTACCATGGAATGGATTACCTAGTTGCTGTAGTTTAATGGGTAATGTCTAGAAAAATATATGTCTCAAAGCTTTGTTGTTTCTAAGGAACTTCACTGGTGACTTTACTTAGTAAGTCAGCACTATGTAGTACAACGGTCACTGTCCAGATCTGGAGATGAAGTAGGTGGAGGGAATTGTGGTGTATGTTGCTTATTACTGTCAAAGAACACTGGCTTCAGAGTCAGGAAACCCGGGGTCTAGGCCTGCCTTTCTCTTGACTTATTCTGTCATTTTGCACTTAGGATTCAAATGCAGGTGCATTGATTCTAGAGCTCATAACCTTGGCTGTTTCTTTATACATCTGATTAAAAGGCTGTGACTACACTGCACATGTCTTTTCTGAGCTTGTGATAGGCCTGCTTATCTCTGCTGGTTTTTACTTTTAAGAAGCCACTGGATTGTTATACAATCAGTAAACATGCATGCTCTCCGTAAATCAATCTGGATCTGCATCTGATCTTTTTCCCAATCACTGGTCGCGCATTTCTGACTGTGTATTAGAAACTCAGTTCCCCATTTGACCTTGTGTTTTCCCACCAGTGGTCACATCTCATGTATGTGACTTCCCCTGTGACTGGCACCTGGCAGGGCCATGGTAAAATTGGTTTATTACCCAAATGCATGAAATCATAAGTCTCTGTACCACTTAAATGAAATGACAATTCTAAATACAAATTTAATTCGTTTGTACTCAAGGAACAATGCCATTTCTATGAACAAGACTAAAAATAAACTGTGAAATGATCTTTATCAGTCAAGAATAAACAAAACAAAACATTGACTACAATCACATCGCTCCAGCGCCAGCGTCATCATTTCAACATCTATTTGGCTTCTTTGCTTCTAGTAACTGTGTGGCTACAATTTATGGTTGTAAATATGGATGAAAGAAAGCATGAAGAGTTTAGAACATAATTGAATTTAAAATGTTCCTTCTGGAAATGTCTGGTCCAAGGACTTAGGATCCAACCTGAGTTCTTTGCATGGGAGATTTGGGGGAATTTGCAAAAAAAAAAAAAAAAAAGAAAAAAGAAAAATACTGATTCGTGACTCAAGGAAAGGGGGCTTATTGATGACTCAATTTTTTTCCTGAAATCAAACTTCTCTTACAAGATGGCATTTGAGTACATTAAAGGTAAATAGCACGGAAACATATGGTTTGAATTTCCCATGAAATGTGAAAGTTTTGATATTAAGGGAGCACATACTTCAGAAAGATAATTTGGCCTCTGCTAAAACCAGAACATTTAAGAAATCCTTCTAGAGACTTTGCCAAAACCCAGGGCCATTGGACTGTTTTTGCCTAGCAGCTTCCACTTCAGCCAGTACCCCTAGTGACCCGGCCAAGTGAAACAGAGAACTCAGCATCTTCTGAGGGGATGTCTGCCAATCTCAACCCTGGTGATATGTTCAAGGGCTTCCAGCTCATCCTGTGAGCCAAGAGAACAATTTGAAAACGCTGGAGTCTCTTAGCATATCTGCTTCGGGTTACTTTGAGAGACAGTGTGTGGGAGCTGCCAGGCTGAGAACAGGATCCATGCTGGAAACTATTTGCAAAAGCCCCACTTCCTTCTGCCAGGCCAGCTTCTCCGCAACCCAGACAGTCTGTGCGAGAACAAAAAAACAAGGACTATTGTCAAATTAATAGCACTCCCTAAAAAAGTATGGCAGGTGGTGAGATTCTTGGCCATTGAGTTCCAGCCAAAACATTTCACATTTTTTTCTCCTGAGGGAGGCACTGGGAGCTTGCTGTGAGTCAGAAGTGTGGGGGCTGCAGCAGAGAGTGGCCGCTTGAGCATCTTGCCTGTTCCTGATGAGAATTAGTCAATTCTTGGAAAGAGGGAAGAGCTCGCCTTGCTCTGCTACCCACTTCCAGATTCTCTGCTCAGCCTTGGGTTGGAGAGTGAGTAATCTAATGTGATTCTGTTTATTCCACTCAATACATATACATTGACTGAGTTATTTATTCAGCATCAGGCTCAATGCTAGGTCCTGGGAAGATAGAAATATATTGGACTCACTATTTTCCCTCAGAGGACTTATGAAACAGTGCAAAATTCCTCTGAATATGTTACAGAACATTCATCCTTGGGGATGAACCATCAAAACTATGCCATGTGCAAAAGTTTTAGAAAACGTTGAATTCCCTCTCATTCTTCATGGATATACACAATGTAATCTCCATGAAGATTCAATGTATCTCCACACTGAAAAGCTCTGTCTTTCAGAAAAGCAACTAGCTTAACAGCTTTCTCAAATTTTTAATGAGTAATACTCTCCCCTAAACACACACACACATTTTTCTCACATGGCTATTACCCACAGCAACTTTAGGAAATAACAGCCCAGTACAAAGAGCCAAACTTATCCTTTCGGGAGACAAAGACGATATTTAAAGATAACCACAAAGTATGGAGTTAGCACAGAGGACAGTGGTAGAAAATCAGAAGACTCTATTGAAGAGATGGGATTCTAAGTAGGTTTTGATAGAAGAATGAAGTTTTTCAGATAGAAAACACAGGGATGACCCTTCCAGGCAAAGAGAAAGTCATGTGCAAGGACATGTTGTTTTCCCGAATGAAGCTCTCTCCCATTTGTAGGAAAGTGGATGGGAGGACAGCAGAGGGAATGCCGAGAAAGGCTAGAACCAGATCTCAAGCTTGTTAGATGCCATACCACTGTTTTCAGCTGTAGGTAAATATTAAAATATGGAAAGACAGCTTTCTTTCTCCTAGTTCAAGTACCTGGTGTTTAACCCAATGTACCTTCTTCATGCATTGTGTGATGTGCTCTTTTCTACTGCATTCAATCAAAGCCATCAAGCCCAATTTTCTATAAAATGAAGGCCTCTGAAGAAAGGGAAGAATGGCTCTGCTGTTCGGGAGCACTCACCCAGGAGGTACCTAGGTGCCTGGGACTGTGCAAACAAACTTGAGAGATGTGTTTATGCAGGGAAAAGTTGAGGTAACTCAATGGCCTATATTATGATGGGAATGCTGAGGAATGAGGCAGATTGGGGTTGAGATTCCAATGGGTGAGCTGGAAATTGTCTGGGAAGGAATGAAACCCACATGGTAATCCTGAACTAAGCAAAATTTGGTGGCTGTTTGCCCTATCAGGCACAAGGTCCTCTAGAAAGTGCAGGAGTCAGGGAGACTGGGGTCTCGTTCCAGCTGAACACAACTTGCTGTGCAAATCATGGGCAGATGGCTTTCCCTGTAAAGTGAAATGGATTAGACCATGAAACTCAAAGAACATTTCAGCTCCAATATACTATAATCTATCCATTGTCAGCAAATGCTCAACATTAAGTTAAAAATTAAAACAAATTATGTTCAAATGTATACATTCGAAAGATCAGTGAAAAAGGGAATATTAGACAGCTACAATGTGCTAGACACCATGCTATGTTCTTAATTCACCCATATGTCAACTGTGTAAAAGTTTCTTTCATCCCTATTTTGCATATGAGTGGATGAAGGCTCAGAAAAGTTTTCCGAAGTTCTCTCAACTCCCAAATGAGAGAGGCAGGGTTTGGTAGCAAGTCAGTGTGGGTGCAAAGCCCCTGCTCCTTTTTTTTTCCATTACAGCATCCATCATCCTGAAACAAAGTTTATTAAGCACTTTGGAGTGGACTGAGGAGCAGAGTGGTCTGCCTTCCAAAGTCAAGAGGATGCTGTTAATGGAACAGGGGACAAATGGAAAATGCCAAGGCTAAGTGTTTCCTAATGGAGTTTCTTGGCATAGAAGTGTGGCATCATACAGAGGCTGCTCTGCACAAAGTAGCTTGTGGAGTCCAGCCACTGGGGCAAAGTTTCACCAACACAGGGGTAACCAGGCAAACTGGAGCCCACTCACTGGAAACAGCTGCCTCTCCCCACTCCCCCGCCTCTTTTATCCAGGTCAGGTGGGGCTAGCTTTGCTTCAACATGGCCAATAAAACCTCACCCCAGAAACCTTCCCCAGTGTAACCCCAATTTGGAGAAAAGCCATGTGAATTGAAGCCCAGTGGCCAATTCGGATTCAGTCTGAGCAAGGTCATGAAAACACTGCATTGCTGGCTGGTTGGTCTGCTAGGCCTCCTGTAACCAAATAATCACAAACCTTGTGGTTTAAACAACAGAAATTGATTTCTCACAAATATGAAAAAGTTACTTCTCACATGTGGAAGCTAGATGTCTAAGATCAAGGCATCAGCAGGTTGAGGTTGTCTCGAGGCCTCTGCCCTTGGCTTGCAGATCACCACCTTCTTCTCACGTGGCCTTTTCTCTGTGCACATACACTCCTGGTATCTCCCTCTCTTCTTCTAAGGACACCAATTGCATTGGACTAGGGTCCATCCCTGTGACTTCATTTAACCTTAGTCATCTCCAAGGCCTTAACTCCAAATACAGTCACACTGGGGAGTGAAGATGCCAACATACACATTTTGAGAGTGCACAGGTCAGGAAAGAAGGTGTTCTAGTGAAATTTTCATTGCAAATATATTCAAATGGAAAAACCATGAGGGCAGTTAGCAATGGGATAACATTTAGAAACACTTAGAATAGTAGTTCTCAACGCTGGCTGCACGTGAAATCACGTCGGGAACTTTCTAAAACTGCCAATGTTTGGGTTCTAATCTCGAACATAAGAACCCCAGGGATTGGTGTATTAGTCAGAGATCTCCAGAGAAACAGAACCAATGATGTATGTGTGTGTGTGTGTGTGTGTGTGTGTGTGTGTGTGTGTGTCTAAAGAGAGAAAGAGACACAGAGAGAGATTTTCAGATATTGGCTCATGTGATTATGGAGGCTGGCAAGTCCACAGTCTGAAGAGTCGGCCAGCAGGCTGGAGACCCAGGGAAAAGCTGATGCTGTAGCTTGATTCTGGAGGTAGAATTTCCTCTGCCTTTGGACAGAGCTGCCTTTTTTTCAACTGATTGAACAAGGCCTATCCACATTATGGAAGTTAATCTGCTTCATCCAAAGTCTACTTATTTAAATGTTAATCTCATCTAAAAACTACCTTCATGAATATTTCCACACTGATGTTTGGCCAATATACCAATATTTTGGTACCATGTGCTAACCAAGTTGACACATAAAATTAACCATCCAGCTGGTAGTCTTTTTTTTTTTTTTTTTTTTTTTAGATGGAGTCTCACTCTGTCACCCAGGCTGGAGTGCAGTGCAGTGGTGCTATCTCATCTCACTGCAACCTCTGCCTCCTAGGTTCCAGTGATTCTCCTGCCTCAGCCTCCAGAGTATCTGGGATTACAGGCATGCACCACCACACCTGGCTAAGTTTTGTATTTTTGGTAGAAATGGGGTTTCACCATGTTGGCCAGGGTGGTCTCAAACTCCTGACGTCAGGTGATCCACCCACCTCGGCCTCCCAAAGTGCTGTGATTACAGACATGAGCAACCGTGCCTGGTCCCAGCTGGTAGTCTTTAATAGCTCTTCTGGTGATTCCAACATGCCATCAGGGTTGAGGGCTATTGACCCAGGACCAGGGCTTTCAGAGCCAAGAAACAGGATTCTGCCTCACATACCAGGCTCTTTCCACCCTGCCTCAGTCAGAGGAGCCACTTTCTTCACTGGTTCCTCAGTCTCTTTTGCTCAGGTACTGGTTCTCCTTGGCTGCTCTTCTGCTGATTTTGGGGGGAGCTTAAACAATACTAATGCCCAGGTTCCAATGCAAGAGATTTTGGTTTGCTTGGTAGGAGGTAATCAAAATTGCAAATGCAGAGTACAGCCTGGGCATCAAGGATTTCTTCCCCAGGAAATTCTAAACAACCATTCAAGGAGTCCCACGTATTTATTCAAGCCTTCAACTTACATTAGGTTCATGAGAAACTTACCTTCTAAGCTGCAGTTTATTTGTAAATCTTGCCTCATTAGGGAATATGGTATTGCCAACATACTTGTATTTCCTTGATAGGGAAAAAATGTGTACCACAAAGTCTTCCTTAATAAAGTGAACCACTTAGACCCTCATGCTTGGATATTTATTCCTGCCAGAAACGTGTATTGACCAGCTTCCATCCCATGCCATGTGAGCAACCCATGCAGTCCCACAGGAGAGAAAAGGGTGAGAAGACATTGTGTCTCTGCTTAAGAAAGTTACTGTCGAATAGAGAAAGCAGATAGTAATGTCACCGTTATACAAACATGGTGATTGCTGGAGGCAGGCGGTGGAGAACAAGAGCTGTATGAGCCCAGAGTATTTCTCAAGGTAGAAAAAGGAGTCGGGAAAGACATGCGGGCAGACACGAGAGCTGCACTAAGGCCCAGCTGTGTGACGGTTGGTGAGGCGCTCAGGAAATGCCAGCCTCTGGTGCTGGTGAGTCACTGAGTTCATGGGAGGAGTGGCTGGAAAGCTGGTTTGAGATTAGATAGTAGAGAGCCTCGTAAGCTAGACTAAGGAGTTGGAAGTTTTTAAAATAAGCTCTAAGGTTTTTATGAGAGATAGAATTTACCAATGTTTTAACAAAAATTATATGAAAGCAAGCAAAGGGCAGCATTGGGAAGAGGGAGGGCAGACTCAAAGGAAGGTTCTAGAAACATCCAGGGAAACAATTACAAAGACCTGAACTAGGGAATTGACAATGGAAATTAACAGAATGGAAAAGATGGAAAGCAGGAAATAGACGAGCCTAGGTAAGTGGCAGAGCCAGCACTTGAATCAGGGTCTTGGCTCTCATTTAACATGCACCCAAACAGAAACATGCAGACACACACACAGACACACACACACACATAGACACATGAACACCTGCTCACACACACACACACGCATACACGCATGCAGAGACACAGACACACACAGATACACATGCATACAGGCACACACAGAGACACAGACACAGGCACTTGCACAGACACACACGCACACACACACACCGAGGGCAGAATATGTGCCACTCACTGGCCAGATCCTGGGGACATAGAGATAGATATGGTTGCTGGCCTCATGGTGCTTACAGTTGAGAGGGGGAAATTGATAGATAGAAAGCCAGAGAACGTTACTGAAATAAGCAAAGGAGAAAGACAGGTGGACCAGACTTACAGGGGATAAAGCTTTTGGGATAAAGCTTCTCGAATGAAAAAAACATCTAAGAGGGTATCAGAAAAGTCAGTGGGAGTGAAAGGCTAGAAGGGCAGACAGGGGAGGGAGGTTGGGCTCCAGGCAGAGGGAATGGCAGGTGGGAAGCCCAGAAGTGACATTGCGAGAGCACACATGAGTGCGTCTAACTCCACTGAATGAGCTTGGTATGGCACCACCAAGCGGTAGCAAAGATGGTGGTGGGAAAGGAACCTGGAGAGGTGAGCAGGGCAAATTTGACAGTGCCTATCTCCGTCCTGGAACTGACTCTCTGCGGAGCTCTGAACAATGGCAAAGGCGTGCACCCCTCTTCTCCCCAGCAGGCTGCTCACAGCTATGCCTAGAATAGAGCACATGGTCTGTTCAGCAAAGGAGTGAACTGTTCAAAGGATATTTTAATGATAAAGGAGGAAATATTCTTCTGTATGAAAATATTGTAGAAAAAAAGTGGGTCACTTCAACCTGGCAAAATATGAATATGGGATTAGATGTGTAAATCCATGGCAGATTTAAAGTGAGGGTATGAATTCTCAATAGATATTCATAGTCTTAAAGAAAAATATCCGGCCAGGCGCAGTGGCTCACGCCTGTAATCCCAGCACTTTGGGAGGTCAAGGCTGACAGATCACCTGAGGTCAGGAGTTTGAGACCAGCCTGGCCAATGTGGTGAAACCCTGTCTCTACGAAAAATACAAAAATTAGCTGGGTGTGGTTGTGGGCGCCTGTAATCCCAGCTACTTGGGAGGCTGAGGCAGGAGAATCACTTGAATCCGGGAGGCAGAGGTTTCAGTGAGCTGAGATCATACCATTGCACTCCAGCCTGGGCAACAGAGCAAGACTCTGTATCCAAAAAAAAAAAAAAAAAAAAATCCAAGCTCCTTAAAATGGGGAAGATCATGACAGCAACAGCCTCAGGTCTGTGTCTGGCCTCATTGGTCACCTTCCTCTGCTGCAGGTCTACTGAACCACTTGTGCTTATCAGGTTGTGCCGAATTCTTTCCCTCTTCTTCCATTCACATCCCCATCTTGCCTACCTGGTAAACTCCCAGTTGCTCTTCTAGTCTCAACTCAAGTGCTGACTTCTCTAAGAGATGGTCTTAAACTCCTCATAAGACAAAGTCAGATAACTCCTTCTTCAAGCTAAAATAGTATATTCCTATTTGATTATGTGCCACATTGGATTCTGAACACCTGCCTAGAGGTCTGGGTGCCCCGTCACCTGGAAACTCATGTTGTATCCATTTCTAAACTTTTAGGGGTTGAAGCTACAACAATCAATAAGGATAGGCACCCTGTTTACCTAAGTACAATATTTTTCTCAATCTTTATAATACACAATGCTACAGTCTTTTTTTGTAGTAAAACTAAATCCAAATAAATAAGTGGTAAAACTGAGCTGTGAGACCAAAGCTCCTGCTCTTCATCACTGGCCAGTCCAGATTCCAGGATGCTGTGGTTTGAATATGGTTTGTTTGGCCCTGCTAAGTCTCATATTAAAATTTGATCCCCATTGTGGGAGGTAAGGTTGCATAGGGTGGGAGGCATTTGGATCCTGGGGGTGAGGTTGGGTCCCTCATGAACGTCATGGTGCCTTTCTCATGGGAGTGTGAGTTCTTACTTTTGGTTCCCCTGAAAACTGGTTGCTAAAAAGAGCCTGGCGCCTCCTCCTCTCCCTCTTGCTTCCTCTCTTGCCATCTGACTTCTGCATAGGCTGGCTCCTCCTCAACTACTGCCGTGAGTGGAAGCAGCCTGAAGCCTCACCAGAAGCAAGTGTGGGCGCCATGCTTTTTGTACAGCCTGCAGAACCAAATAAACCTCTTTTATTTATAAGTTACCCAGTCTCAGGTATTGCTTTACAGAAACACAAACAGACTGACACAGGAATAGAATAATTTCAATGAATAAATAAATAGAATCTTATAACCAAATCATAGAAGTGGCAGCTCCCTTTTAAAACTTAGTGTTCCTTTCAAAACATATTCCTAACATAGCACAATAACTACTCGTTTGATAAATCCATGCAACTTGAGGTTATCTAGTACAGGGCTGAGGTGTGCATAATTTAATTCTCCACTTTTCTGGCACTGGGGCTCCAGCTGAGGGAGATTTCTAGGTAAATGGGCACTGTCCATGTTAGTGCACTCTTGGGGGATACAGATGGCACACTGGACATTGACCACAGTTAATTTTGCTGAATGCTTCCTGGGCAATAATGGTTTCTCTGCTGTTTTAAAATGTTAGAAGCTGCAGTGGGGTAACTGCTTTCCAAGCTGAATGTTTGACATCTGCTTGTCATCAAACTTTATTCAAACTAAGCTAAGGCAGGTCACTGTGGCTCACACCTGTAATCCCAACACTTTGAAAGGCTGAGGCAAGAGGATTGCTTGAGGCCAGGAGTGCAAGACTAGCCTGGACAATATAGGGAGGTCCTATCTCTACAAAAAATAAAATAATTAGCTAAGCATGATAGTGCATGCCTGTAGTCCCAGTTACTCAGGAGGCTGAGGTGGGAGGATTGCTTGAGCCCAGGAGGTTGAGGCTGCAATGAGCTATGATTGCACCACTGCACTCCAGCCCTGGTGACAGAGCAAGACCTTGTCTGAAAACAAAACAAACAAGCAGACTAAGCTGGTACCTAGAATACCTGTCCTCTTTCCAAAGTAACAATGATAACAACAGCTACTACTACTTATTAGTCGCTTATACCATGTGGCAAGCAGTGTTATGAATCAAGAAGTATATCATCCCAGTTCACACAGCTACATTACAAAAACTGTTATTCATCCCAATTCACACAGCTACTAAATAATGAAGGCGATATTTAAATGCTTAAATTGGATGTTTCTAGAACAGAGGCTGTCCATAGCAGCATCCACAGAATACCTAGCTACTTTTGTTTCAAATGTCCTGTACCTGTGCTTTCTTTCTCTTCACTCTTTAGAGAGGCAGGTTTTTTTAAAAAAGTGGCTCATGGTTCCCTCTTAGCTGCGGCATAAATCATTAAAGTCACCATGACTCTGCCCAGGTCACCACTCCAGTCTCCTCTCCTGCAATGCCTCCATGCCCTGTGCCAGACCAACCCCACTCAGGCCAGGTACTCCTCTCTTAGGCCTCCTATGCTTTATCCATGGCAGCCCATTGGCTTTGAGCATCCTTTCCCTTCTTTTCTCCAGGCAAAACCCTGCTCATTTTTCTATCCCAGATCCTTTGTTACTCACTCTACGCAGGAGAGAGCTCTAATCCACTAGCACCTGTGAGGCACACAACACATATGGCACTTTATACAATTCTCTGTTCACTTTTATGTCTTCCTCACCTGACCATGATAACTTTTAGGAGAAAACACTTTGTTTTAATGCATCTCTTTCTACTTAATCCTCACACATGGGCTGATGTGTAGTAGGCTTTCTGCAAATTCCATTCATTCATTAATTCAACAAATATTTATTGATTATCTTTTTATGTTTTAGCCATGGTAATTATTGCTAAAGACAAATATAACATAACCCCTGCCCTTTAGTTATGAAATTTTCAATGTCAAGTAACTGGAAATGCTGACCCAACTGAACTAAACGAAAAGGAAAATTGGAAAGGATTTTCTGGCCCCTAGGGTCAGTTCAGCTGCTCAACGGCATCATCAAGACCCAGGTTCTTTCCACATTTCTTCTACCAACTCAAGCATGTAGGCTAAGAACCACTCTTAGGTCATAAGGCAGCTACGACAGTTCCAAGAAGCACATCTAGGCACAATTATATCTAGGGAATAATTACCTGTCTTTCTTTTAATCAGCAAAGAAAACACTTCTATGCTCCCAGCAAGACTCACCTGGCCATGCCTAAGTCAACACCCTCAAGAGGCAGTAGATGAGTGAACATGTAAGTGCTGTCAGCCTCCAGGGATGGATAAGGCTTGCTTCCTCTGACTGCATGTCTGCCTGGAAAATGGGAGGACAGTGAGTTTTAGGCGGACAACCAAAATTGTTATCTACAAGAAGTTTACAGACATGGAGGTTCACAAACAAGAAGCTCATACCCAGTCTTGACATATAAAAAGAGGTGGGAATAAGTGTTATTATCATGATGAAATCAACGTGCTGCTGCGAGGGAGACTAATTCAGGCCAAGGTCCAGGTGACATCTGAGCTGCAGATTTCATATTAAAGGTGACATCTTAGTTGCGCCTTAATTTAAAAAGAATATGATTTTGACTGCTGGATAAAGGGGAAAAGACCGGGGAAGGCAAATAGATGACCACATTGCTCATGGAGAAAGTGATTCTTTTCAAGTGACTCATTCAAAATGGCTGCTGCATAGCACATGATGAGAAATGCCTGTGACAGATGAGGCAGAAGAAATGACCTCTTTAGCATGATGGTTACTTGAACTCAGGAGAACCAGGAACACCTTTGTTTGGTGGTGAACTTCATCTTGAAATCTTTGGCCTTAGCAGCCTACAGATGCTGAGTGATTGTTAAATGGACAAGTGTATTTGCAGGGAAATTCAATTCCTGTTTTAAAATTACTTATTCCTCCCATCTGACAAGGGATTCATAACCAGAATATACAAGGAGCTCAAACAACTCTATAGGGAAAAAAATCTAAGAATCTGATCAAAATGGGCAAAAGTTCTGGATAGACATTTCTTAAAAGAAGACATACAAGTGGCCTATGAAGAGGTTCTCAACATCGTGTATCACTAGAGAAATGCAAATATAAACTGCAATGAAATATCATCTCATTCTGGTTAAAATGGCCTGTATCCAAAAGACACGCAATAGCAAATGCTGGTGAGGATGTGGAGAAAAGGGATCACGTGTACACTGTGGGAATGTAAATTAGTACAACCACCATGAAGATCAGTTTGTAGGTTCCTCAAAAAAACTAAAAATTGAGCTACCATATGATCCAGCAATCCCACTGTGGGGCATATACTCGAAAGAAAGGAAATCAGTGAGTCAAAGAGATATCTGCACTTCTACGTTGCAACACTGTTTATAATAACTAAGATTTAGAAGCAATGTAAGTGTTCATCAACCAATGAATGGGTAAAGAAAATGTGGTACAGATACACAGTGGAGTACTATTCAGCCATAAAAAAGGAGATCCTGTCATTTGCAACAACATGGGTGGAACTGGAGATCATTACATTAAGCAAAATAAACCTGGAACAGAAAGACAAACATCACATGTTCTCACCTATTTGTGGGATCTAAAAATCAAAACAATTGAACTCATGGACATAGAGAGTGGAAGGATGGTTACCAGAGGCTGGGAAGGGTGGTGGGGGGCTGGAGGGGAGGCAGGGATGGTTAATGGGTACAAAAAAATAGAAAGAATAAATAAGACTTACTATTTGATAGCACAACACAGTGACTATTAAATAGTAGCTTAATTGCACATTTTAAAATAAAGAGTGTAATTGGATTGTTTATAACTCAAAGGATAAACGCTTGAGGGGATAGATACCTCATTCTCCATGATGTGCTCATTTCACATTGCATGCATGTATCAAAACATCTCATGTGTGCCATAAATACATCTACGATGTACCCACAAAAATTTTTAAAAAATGAATACATAAAAAATAAAAATAAAATTATTTACTCCTTAAGCTCTTCCAAAGGTTTTGTCAATTAATGTGACACTTAAAAGCCCTTTGATGTCTTAGACTCAGGAAGCTGAGTGTGCACCAGAATGCACAATCTTCAACATCCAGAAACGCTGGCAAAGCATCTTTCAAAGCCTCTGCCCATTGTTAACCCCAACCCTGGGAGATCTCTTTCTCTTTTTGTGTAAAAAAAATTTGGAGAACCGTACTACGGGTGACGGAGCTGAGGGACCTCTGGCCTTTCTTGCTGAGGTTGTGGGGTCCTCAGCGTTCTTCCCTCATCAGTCCAATCCTGCTTGCTGAAGGGGCCAGTGCCTACATTCTCAAGGTGCTTCCCAACATGAAGCTCCTGACACTTGTTATCCTGTCTCTGGCGATCCTAGCTCCTGAAATCCCAGCTTTCTGCTCACTGGAATGATTCGCCAAGGACCATAGATAGTCACACTGGAGGCTGGGCACAGTGGCTCACGCCTGTAATCCCAGTACTTTGGGAGGCCCAGGCGGGTGGATCACGAGGTCAGGAGATCGAGACCATACTGGCTAACACGGTGAAACCCCGTCTCCACTGAAAATGCAAAAAGTTAGCTGGGTGTGGTGGCGGGCGCCTGTAGTCCCAGCTACTCGGGAGGCTGAGGCAGGAGAATGGCATGAACCCGGGAGGCGAAGCTTGCAGTGAGCCGAGATTGTGCCACTGCACTCCAGCCTGGGAGACAGTGAGACTTCATTTAAAAAAAAAAAAAAAAAAGCCACAGTGGAAAAGATCTTTGAAAACACTCATTTCAACCCCTTCATTGATAAAATAAGCAAATAAGACCCTAGAGGAAGGGACTGTTTTAGGAGAATCAGCAATTTAGAACTGGAACCCAGGCTTCCTGATTACCATCCAATGTCTTTTGAATACGCCACATGTGTTTCTTATACCTGAGTTTAATTTCAAAGGCACTCTGTGTGTAAACCTCCTTGCTAAGTGTTCTGATTTTTTCACCACGTGCTCATTTATAATTATTACTCCCTCAGCATTGTAGTAAACTGTATCTCTGTTCCCTGAATGCACTGTGCATTTTGCAATGAACCTGTTCATCTTGTTCTTTCAGGACTTATCATTCATACTCTCTTCTTCTCAAGTGTTACTATTCTCTTCTCCTAGGGCACAAATCAACTCAAGCATTGAATTGCTTTATCATTCCAGGTACTAAAAGTTTAATTTCAGAAGTTTTCTTTTCTTTTTCTTGAGATGGAGTCTTGCTCTGCTGCCTAGGCTGGAGTGCGGTGGCACAATCTCAGCTCACTGCAACCTCCGCCTCCCAGGTTCAAGTGATTCTACTGCCTCAGCCTCCCAAGTAGCTGGGACTACAGGCACCCTCCATTACGCCAGACTATTTGTGTGTGTGTGTGTGTGTGTGTGTGTGTGTATTTTTTAGTAGAGATGGGGTTTTGCCATGTTGGCCAGGCTGGTCTTCAACTCCTGACCTCGAGTGATCCACCTGCCTTGGCCTCCCGAAGTGCTGAAATTCTAGGTGGGAGCCACCGTGCCTGTCCTAATTTCAGAAGTTTTCAAGGCATGGGCATTTCCTTCACTTCTGGCAGCATCTGGGCTGCATCGTTCCTTTCCCATCATTCTTTCCCCTCACCCTTCAGTATTCCTTTCCCGTCTCAACTTAGAGCCACATTCAACTAAAAATTTTCAAGCAGATGCCATGTCAGATGCTTAATATGTGTGAGGTCATTTCATTCTGACAATAATTCAGGGTAAACATTATTATCCCCACTTTTCAAGGGAGAAAACTGAGGCTCAGGAGGGTGACGAACTGGGACCAGGTGTCAGTGAAGAAATAGGTGGTCCACAGTGTGAACAAAGGCTTCTTTCCTCTTGGCTCACTGGGCTTTTCTGGCTCCCAAGGCTACATTGTTACTTAGGTTTGATGGGAGAAGTTCTACTTGATAGTGAAAATCAGGTGAAATTATCGCTGTATTCCATTTCTCTGGCAATAGATGTGGCTGTGACGTGCTGTCTGCCAGCATTATGCATCGAGTTACATCTCTTCCCGGTTCCACACATCCTGTGGATAACTCAAGCGCCAGCCAGCCGTTAAAATCATTTCTTCCAAATGAGGGTGGTGGGACCTGACATGTGGATGTTTCCTGCTTCCAAATCCAAGAAATGAAGGTAACTGACTCCAAGCTAAAAGAGAATCATCCTCATCTGTGGCAATCACTTAGCAGTGTCTCTAGCTGCGGCTCTGCAGTGCGTCTGACAACTCAGCTTATCAGCAAGGATAAGAAAGCCTGTGGGGTCAGAGCTGATGGAAGGAGGGGAGCTTGAATGGTGAAATGGGGAGGAGGTAGGAGCACCCTGCCTGGAGATGCAGCCCAGAGGAATAATATGTGAATCTCACATGACTCAGCCCTCTGTGCAGGTAATAAAATCTCAACGAGACATGAGCTTATTTAAGAAAACACGCAGGAAGAATTCATCATTGATGTGGCTATTTTGGGAGATGAAAGGGAGCGTGAAACGGAGGAACATGTGAAAAGCATTCAAGCTGAGTGAGTGTGATAGAAAACTAAGATTTCCCTTCATAATTGAACAGTAAAAATCAAGTGTGTCCCCATCTTTCAAGTCTTCGGATTGGAAGAGTGAGGTTTGGGTGCAGATGTTGGCAGTTCTTTACTCCCTGGATAAACAGATTGTGGTTTTGAGATTGACGGATTTTGGAAGGGATTGCTTTTTTATTTTTTTATTGTTGCTAAGAGAAACCAGGTCTCAAATGCAATCTCTTGGGCTTGGGAATGGAGATTCCCCACGCCAGCCCTTGAACGTGCCAAAGAAAAGCATCCCTGTGAAAAGAGGCACTGCTGTTAGATGTCTGCTATTACCTCATAGTGCAGGGAGAGCAGAAATCCTTTTTCTAATCACTTGCAGGAGACTCTCAGTTAAACACGATCAGCTACGAAGATGACGGGACACAGGGGAGAGTCTTCTGCCTTTGATGCAGATGTGCCAGATGTGGGCTGACACATGTTCTTTCAACTTCAGTAAAGTCCCAAGGCACAGAAGAATGAGGCAAGTTTAAGAAGTGGAAATTTGAGGCCTGCTAAAATCTGAATCCCAGCTACTCTATTCTCTCCGGGGTTCTCACAGCAGCCTTGTTTATCTTCCAGACATCCATGTCCAGCCTTATATCCCAAGTAGGAAAGGGGTCTCCAACACCTTGATTTTACCTTTCATTGTTTTTCCTGGATCTCTGATTCTGTGTCTTCCTAACTCTCCTGACTTCTGACTTCTGACATCACCAATTGTTCATTCAGTCCCACATATTTATGAAGTCCTTTCAAGGTCTCTGTTCTCCCGTCTAAGCCCCCTCCCTTCACTTTCCTCCTTTTCTGATGCTCAGCCCATGGAAACATTTCTTGTTCACCATTTGGATTTTCTTCCTGGTTAAGCCACCCAGGGCAAACATCCCTCAAACCCTACTGCCCTGGGACTGTTGACTCTGGCATCCTCTGTATGAAATACTCCTCCCTTCCCACCTCCATCTCAATCAGGGTTGCCAGACCCCTTTAGAAAACCTACACATTCACCCTGCAGTCTACCTTACGAATGCCACAGTTGCTCTGATATTGTCTCTCTTGGCCTAGAAAACATCAATGACTTTCTACTGGTCCAAACCAGCTATCCCAAAAGTGTCTCCTGAGGATAGAATCAGTGTCTGGTTGAGATTGATTCTAATACAAGATTCAAAGCAGTGTCTTTCTGCTCTTTGTAAATATTTATTGAATCCCTCTCTGGTGTAGGACCTTAATAAGATTCTGTGGATACAGTGATGACAAATTAGATGTGTCCAGTGCCTCGTGATAGTTACCATTTGTCATGGAAGACATCAAACAACTAACACTGTGAAGATTAGTTTGAAGAAAGGCAAAGGGTGTTATATAAATGCAAAAGGGGGAATGGGTCTGGCAAACATAGTCTGAAAAATCAGAGAAGATTGAGACCTAGAGTGTGAGGAGGGATTCATTAGGCCAGGTCCAGGGACAATAGTGGCAGGTGGCAGGAACCATATATGTCAAGACCATATTGCTGGAAACAGCAGATGTGTTCAGGACCCAGAAGGAAGGTGGAATGGCTTGAGGACATGTGATGCTTTCAAGCAATGATTCTTGAGGGACTTTGTATAATCATCTGGAACACACACTCAAAATACATTCTGATTCTCATCCCCAATTGTTGAATAAGAGTCTCTGTGGATGAAACTCTGGTAGATAGGATACAAAAATGGTTGTGTTTTTCACTCTCTCCTAAGCCCATGACATGTGTGATGTAACTTCGCAGCTCTTGGAGGTGGGGTCTCTTTCTTTGGAATCTGGGCTGGCTCTTGAACCACTTTGGCCAACAGAATAAAATAGAAGTATTCTCATGCCAACTATGAGCCCAAGACTCAAGAAGTAGTGTGTGCTTCTGACCCTCTCTCAGAACCTGCCCCCCTCCCCATGTAAACAAGAGCAGACTAGCCTGGTGCAGAATGAGAGACCACATGGAGGACCAGCCTACTTATCCCTCTGAGACCATCCTAGATCAGCCTATAGCAAGCCAGTCCCTGAACATACAAGCAAGTCCAGCCCAGATCAGCAGAGCCGCTTACCCTAGGAGCAGATGCATCAGTAAATCCAGAGGAGACCAATGGCTTAAACAATAATCATTGCAACAATAATAACTGGTTCTGTGTTAAGTCACTGAGTGGTTATTTATGCCAAAAAAATCTGTTACTAGAGACAACAATTAGTGAGATAGGCAGAGGAGGTCAGCTTGAGTAGGACTTTGTAGGCATGATGTGAATTTGGTGTTTTGTCCCAGGAGTTATGTGAAATTACTGAAATGTTTTGAGCATGGAAGTGGCACAATTAGGTTTGTGTTATAGAAAAATGAACTTGGCTATTCTGTGGAGTATAAATGGTGGGAGCAGGGATTTAGAATGAATCCCTATAGATTGAATCAACTTGTGAATGTATAGTTTAGTTTGTTCCTTTAAATATCTATATTGGGCTTTAGCAATGTACTCAATAATGCGATTACAAGGAGGAAGGCTCATATCCTGTCTTTAAATCTAGTGAGAGACAGAAAGTTATTATGAATTTTGACAAGAACCATAACAGAGGTATATGCAGGTAGTCATGGTAGCATGGAGAAGTAGCCCTAGCCCAGCTTGGTGGAGAAATGAAGGGTTTGGTCCAACCGGTGACAGTGGAGGGTAACCGTGAAGATGGGGAAACACACATGGATTCCTAGGAGGAGGTACAAGCCTAATAATAGTTGGTGTTGCTGAAGAGCAAGCATGAAGATGGGAAGCAGAAGAAAATCCGATGAGAGAGCAGGAAGGAGCCACGTGGTAAAAAATATCCTTTGTACTTGTTGAGGCTACAGACAGGCCAGAACCCAACAGGAGCTGAGGCGCAGGATGATCCTGCTTCCTGATCTGCAGGTGGATTAGTGGATAGAAGAGAGCCAGTTGGGAAGGGCAGGACTTTCCCTAGGAGTCCCCAGGGTGCCGAGCCACCATGGTCACATGACCTGATGCAACTGAGACAGAACTGCCTGTTGTCTCAGAGGCTGGTGAGCAGGACACAGGAATCACCAGTAGCAAGACAGTTCCCTTGGTTGATAGTCTTGGACTACAGTCCTAGAGTAGCCCCAAGACTCAGCTACTCCTGAATGTCTTCTGGGAACCAGCAGTCAGCGGAGGCAAGAAAAGAACATGTTTTGCTGTGGTGTCCCCTCCTCCCCAGAGTGTTTGGCACCCCATGCTGCCAATCTCCAGCTGTCTGTCTAGACGGAGCACAGATTGGACCCATGAGGTACTGAACACTGTGATCCAGGCCCACTCACTCTTGGCCAGCCCGAGAGTGAGCATCCAAGGATAGCATCTGAGCTGGAGACACAGGGGGTCTCCTTTTCCAATTAGCACTCAGGTGCTCCTCCCAAATCATGGATGTCTCTGCTCACTGTATTGCCACATCCCGAAATTTGCACTGGGTCCAGGCATGCTTAGAAAAGCCCTGCTTCCCCTGCTCTTGCTGATCATTTCCCAGGCCCTAGGACAAGCTCCATTTGATCTTCATAGCACAGATCCTTGGAAAAGCCTTGATGCCTCAGTGAACAGTAATAGTTTTCAAAGATTAAACGCCTACATGGTTAGGACCTGGACACTCATACTATTCTCTCATTATTCTGTTGACTTCACACAGCAACCCTGTGAAAGAGACATTATTAACTCTATTTTAAAATGACAAGTAGGAAAGCAGGGCTTTGAGAAGTAAAGTAACTTGCTCATGATCTCACAGCTATAGATGCGGTGGAAGCAGGATCTGAACCCAGAACTACTAACTCTATATGCCACATTCCATCTGTTAAACTGTATTGCCTTTGCTGTCCAACTGTTTCACTTTTAGATGAGAGTAAAAGGAGCAGAGGGAGAAATTGATTTGCTGAGATACACAGCAGATCTTTCAACCAAGGCTCTGGCCTCCCATTTCCCTTTCTTTCGGGGTACCCCCATATTCTCTTGGGTACATTTCCTGAGCTGCTCTTCCAGATCCTCCTCATTTGGCCTGGGATGCAGGAAGCTTGCTGGAGATCCTGGACAGCTGTAGACAGCCAGCTTTGCCTTCTCTGAGCAATGACAGCCCTGGGCTCCACTGCCACATATTGGCTTGGACAGAGACAGGTGTGAGAGATGGGGTGCCTCCTGGAAGTATCAGACTCCACATCAGACATTCACCCTGGAAGAACTCTGGTGGGATTTAGAATCCCAGGGTTTATTGTAATCATTTGAATGAAGTCTTTGTCTTCCTTTCCCATCCACTACTCAAATCTTGTGGTGATCACTAACCAGAGGATTCAGAGAAATCAAAGCTTTGAAGGAAGTTCGCCTTTCAATGTGTTCACTCCACATTGAACACGTCCACAGCTCCTGACTTCTCGAATTAATAACAAAGAGATTTTTTTTTTTTAACAGCACGTCAGAACAAATGAAGGCAAGGAGCCAGTTCTCAGTTCTCTGTAGATCATGAGAGTTTTTGTCCGTGACTATTGACCCTGTGTCCTTCCCTGGAAGTACTCAACTCACTTTAATTAGCTCACATTCTGTCCCCTTCATCTAACCCACATCACGGTGGTTCCAAGGGATGAGAACTGTGCACTGTGGCAGACACCTCTGTCTGTTCCTTTGAGCACCTACTACTGTGAGGCTCAATTGCCAGGGATCATAGAATCAAGGCAGGATCAGCGACATCATGTGTGGGGCCCAGAGCAAAATGAAAAAGTGAGACCCTTCTTCTAAAACTGCTAAGAATTTCAAAACCTGGGAGTAGGGCATTCAACCAAACATGGGGCCCATCTAAAGTTGGACACTCATGGAGCTGGTCCAGTGTGGGGCAGTGGAAAAATGTAGCACAGATGAAGAAGAGAGAGAAGTTAGAGCTGAGTGTTAGCATCTCAGTCTATAAAATAGGGTGCTAACCCTTACCTTGCTAATTGTATATTAAATTTTGGTAATGTATGTAGACCACTAGGAAATGTTAGATGATCATTAAGGAGGAGCTCCTTTCCCTAAGGGAGAACCTAACTTAAAGACCTCATTTTGCAGAGGAGAAACCTGAAGCCTAGAAAAGAAAAATGCCTTGTCCATGTTTAGTCAGGGAATCCATCTGTGGTGGGCCTGGGATAGGGGACCACGGTCTTCATTCCCAGCTTGGTGAACTTTTCACTGAACCAGGCTGCTTCTCATCTCTCCAGATGCCTTTGGATAATTTCTGCTTGCTAAAGAGGCGGGGCCTTAGTCCTCATCGGCCGATGGTTTGGAGACTGAATCAACTATCTGTAAGTTTGGGCTCCACTTCCTGCCCAGTTGCTGTCCCATGAGTGAATAATAATGAAATAAATGTTATCCTTCATCACAGGATGCTTGGGGTGAGGGGATAGCTTTCTCAGATGACTTCTCACATGGTTTGTGATGAAATAGTTTTTCTGCACATAGCCACTTTCCAGTCACTAGACGGCTGCTTTGGGCACTAACAAATAGTGAACCTGGTGGTAGTTTGATTTAAAGGTGATGACACAGACAAAGACAGGGTCCACTGGGTCTACTGGCTGTGGATAATGTCAGTGCTTAACAAGAATAATAATACTACAAAAATATTCTATAGATAGACACTTCGGGGAATTAGAAACTACTGTTATAATAAATATCATCGCTCTGATAACAGAGGAAGGGCAAGGCTAGTGTGATTTTATTATAACTTTTCAGAAGAGAACACTGGCTCACAATGACCTGACTATCTGCCCAAATTAACAGTTATATATATGGTGGTGATGGGGGCTTCTGAGAAGGACATTACATTTGATTACGCCTTTATTTCCTGTGCCTAAGAGACAATTGTGAACTAAATCAATGATACTTTCGATCTCTAAATTTCACTCGGTGAGAACACAACAGAATGTATTGAAAAGGAGATGCAATTTCAGAGTCCTGTATTCCTTCCTGTCTTTTCCAACACTCATTCCTGGAAACTGAAGGCTGGTGAATCACTCTGCATCAAGACCTGGCCTTGTTCTTAAGTGGGGGCCCTGATCAATTGAACAGCCTTTTACAGGGATATGAGGGCTGGTCTTATATTCTGTGGTGACTGTGTTCCTAATTGTGGTTCCAGTCTCAAAGTCATATAGAAGCTTGGTTTTCTGTGGACAATTTCATTCATAGCTTATGAGTACAGCTGCCATTTTTTTACTTGGTGATGACCCTCAACTCTATTCTGCCCAAATTCTGTCCAAGCTTCAGGCCTATCTGCTAGACTCAATTTTTGGGTGAATCCCAAGCATTTTAAACTTAGAATGTCTTTAACTGAACTAATCCCCCTGCCCCCCTTACTTTCTCTGTGGTTTCCTTTATCCCAGTTGGCAGCAATGTCTTCACCTGTATCAGCCTCCTTCCTCTCCTTTCTCAAATATAATAAACTAGGTTATAAAAGTCTGTCTGTTCTATTTGTCTCTAAGCCTCCAGCCTTTCTACTTCCAACTTATTCCTACCATGCTCCCGGAGGGACCCTTGATTATGTCCCTCCCCACTGAATATTTTGCTGTTATTTATTGTTACATCAAACAGTCTTTTCATTGATAACAACCTAAGAGGTAGTTACTAATACCGTTTTGTAAATGAGGAAACTGAGGAATAGAGAGTCATACAAAGTCATACAGCTTCTAGGTAAGAAAGCAAATGTCTGAACCCAAGAAGTCTATTTCCAGAGACTCTGCTTCTGGCTACTAGGCCATCGTTATAGGCGGAATTATGTCCTCCTCTCCCTACCCAAATTTATACATTGAATTCCTGATCCTTAGAACCTCAGAATGTGATCATATTTGGAGATAACATCTATAAAGAAGTAATTAAGTTAAAATAAGATCTTTACAGTGGGCTCTAATCCACTATAACTGGTGTCCTTATATGAAGATGAAATTTAAAAGAAGGAGAGCATACAGACAAGTGCCTATGCAGGAAATTCCACATGAGGGTGTGGCAAGAAGGCGGCCATCTGTGAGCCAAGGAAAGAGGCCTCAGAGGAAAGCAAACCTGCTGACACCTTGACCTTGGACCTTTGCCTCCAGAACTTCAAGATGATATATTTCTGTTGTGAAAGCCACCCAGCCTGGTATTTTGTTACAGCAGCCCGAGCAGGCTAATGCAGTTGTGTTGCTTCTTGTTGCATATGAATACAGTCTACACTCCTTTAGCATGACAAACCAAGTCCTCCAAGATTTTGCCTCTGCCTTCCTCTTATGATTCATTACCCACATGCCACTAAAAACTTACATATTCTGGTCTTGTTGAGGTATTCGGCCTTCCTTTTCTGTGCCTTCTCATGATTGTATGACTTTCCATATGGTTATTTCTCTGCTTGTTCAATACTTTTATTTCTTTATTACCTTAAAACATCCAATCATCCTTTAAAATTTGACTTGGGTATCACCTCTTCTCTGTAACTTTGCTAGACCCTCCATTTGGAAGTACATTTAGTTCTTCCCTTCTGGGTCCTCTCACTAGCACCTTGCCTATAAATCTGTTCCAACAATCATCACCCTCCATTTCCTCATGAGATCATTGATGAGGGCCTCACATTGTCCTGGGCCTTGGGGGTACAGAGATAAAGGCACAAATCCTTGCCCTCGGGGATGTAACTGGCTAGTAAAGGAGCCTACAGTGGTGTTAATGATGGGGCAGGTTTCAAGATCACAGAAGGGTCTGAAGATTTGATGACAGGTATGAGTAGGAAGTGATGGGAAGGCAAGGAAGGCATTGCTGATTGAGAAGACAACATGAACAAAGCATGAAGAAGCAGCAGGGTGTGGTTGCAGTTTTTAGATTGTAGTCCCAGTGGACTATAATCTTGGGAGCAATTATTGAATGAATAAGTGTATGAATAAATCAATGACTGAGCATATGAGAAATGGAAACAGCCTCATACATCAGAATCCTTTGGTTGAAAGCATCAGAAACCTACCCCAGCTAACTTAGGCAAAAGGGAGTTTATTGGAAGGCTAAGGGAGAGGCTCATGGGGTGGGAGAAAAACTGAAAACCAGGTTGGGCAAAGAGAGGAACCAGAGACCTCTGAGCAGGACCTGCTTGCGAGGCTTCCCAGGTGTGACTGCTGGAACACGTGAAACACACACATGTTTTGTCTCTTCCCATTCTAGAAAAGAAACAATTAGCTGGGCTAGATCGGAGCACATGCTTCCTTCCTGGCTGGGCCAGGTCCCTGCTTCCCTGATTTTATACAATGATGAAGATATCATTCCCAAGTAAAAATCGCATTTCATCACCAAAAATGTGCAATAGACATTGGGGAATCAAGAAAAACAAATACCCACTACATAGGAATTTTCAAATGATTCATAACTGGCTGCTCTTCATTGACCGAAGAACCTTAGAAACTTTCATATTCAATAAATCACGGCTTGTTGGTGCCACTAAGAGCTGTCATCAGTCAATGAACCAACGTAACATTTTGATATGAGATGGAAATACCTTGGGAATTAACACATCCTCTTCTAGCCCTCCTCCCATGAGGTAAAAGTGTCTTCAATAACTCCTGTCTAAGCATCAGGCTAACCCCAACACCTGGTGTTAGCTGCTGACTTCCCCAACCTTACTTGAGGGCAAGTTCACATGTTTTTATGTTCCTAGGTTTATCTTGTGGGAACTAGGTTAATATTTGCAAAGGTACGTGATTAATTATGTAGTTTCTATAAGTGAAAATTAATATTTCCTCAAAAATTTCTAAACGGAGGGTTTGACAAAGTCTGTTTATTCCCAGAGTTCAGAAAATAATCTTTTTTAATCTTTGGCGCATAATTCAAACTGCAGAAAACTCCATCCATTTCTATTGTTTTGCTTCTTTTTTTTTTTTTTTTTTTTTTTGAGAGAGAGAGTCTTGCTCTGTTGCCCAGGCTAGAATGCAGTAGTAGGACAATCATAGCTCCTTGTCACCTTGAACTACTAGGCTCAAGAGATCCTTCCGCCTCAGAATCTGGAGTAGCTAGGACTACAGGCACATGCTCCCAACTAATTTTAAAATTTTTTATAGAGACTAGGTCTCACTTTGTTGCCCAAGCTGGTCTTGAATGCCTGGCCTCAAGCAATCCTACCACGTAAGCCTCCCAAAGTGCTGAGATTACTGGCATGAGCCACCTCACCAAGGCCATTCTGATCTTTGATTCTATGGCATCATACATTCATTCTTACCTGCTGTCCTGGCTAGGATCTTGCCAGAGAGAGATCTTATTGAGATGCAACCTCTCTTTTGGATATACCTCAAGACAAAACTTCATTGACCAGATATAAAAAGCATGATGTTTACTAATCTCATCATTCATTACTCAAAAGGAAGCTGTTACCAGGCCATAAAAGCAATCAAGAATTTTCCTTTCGTCTCTCAAATTGAGATGTTTATATACCTCCCAAGTCCTAAAACTCTTATTTCCTTAAAAAAGAGGCTCACTTACAAAATACTGTGACAAAAAATAATTGCCTTTATTATGCAGATGGTATTTCTGTGTAGCTCCACTTTTTGTTTGGTTAGGGTTCTTTTTATGGAGGTCTCAATGAGGTGTCCAAGCTCTGGCCCTGGCTTGCTGGGAGACTACCACACATCACTGAACAGCTCTAGATCTTAGTTTAGACATCTGTAAAATGAAAATCATAATGCTTACTTCAAATTTATTTCTCTTTAATGTTTTTATAAAATGGTAGTAAAATACACATAACAAAATGTACTCTCTTAACCCTTTCCTAGTGTACAGTTCAATGGCATTAAGTCTGTTCACGTTGTTGCACAGCCATCACCACTGTCTGTCTCCAGAACTTGTTTCATCTTCAAAGACATACACTGTACCCACTAAACAATAACTTCTTATTCACTCTCTCCCCAGTTCCTGGCACTCACCATCCTATTTCCTATCTCCGTGAAATCATACCGTATTTGTCTTTTTTAAAACTGGTTTACTTCATTTAGCAAAACATCCTCAAAATTTATCCATATTGTAGTATGTGTCAGAATTTATTTCCTTTTTATGACTGAATAATATTCCATCTGATGTATCCTTTTACACTTAAAGTAGTCACTGCTAGGGAAGAACTTAGCATCGCCATTTTGTTATTTGCCTTCCCTATGTCTTATAGTTTTTTGTCCCTCATTTCCTTACTTACTGCCTTCCATTGTGTTTAGTAGATGTATTTGGAGTTACATGGTTTGGTTCTTTTCTCGTTTCCTCTCATGCATATTCTATAGATTGTTTTGTGGTTACTATGGGGATTACATATGATATCCTACAATTTTAGCAGTCTATTTTAGACTAATACCGAGTTATTTCAACTGCAAAAAAGGCTTTACCCCTTTACAGCTCCACCTTCTCCTTTATGTTACTGATGCCACAAATTACAACTTCATGTATTGTGTAGCCATTAACATATAATTATAATCATAATTACTATCATTACTATTATCTTAGAGAGAGGGTCTCGCTTGGTCACCCAGGCTGGAATGCAGTGGCGCAATTGTAGCTCATTGCAGCCTTGAACTCCTAGGCTCAAGTGATCGTCCCACATCAGCCATCAAATTGCTAGGACTACAGGCACACACCACCATGCCTGGCTAATTTTAAAATTATTTAATGTTTTTATCTTTTAAATCTTATAAAAGTATGAAAAGTGGAGTGACGGGGCTAAATTACAATAATGCTGCTTTTTATATTTGTCCATGCATTTACCTTTACCAGAGATCTTTTCTCATGTATTTTCATATGGCTCCATTTTGTTTTGCTTTTTAAAATTAAGTAAAATTAAATATATAGAATCACATAGTTGTATCAAGTATGTAGTAAGTATTTAAAACGATGGTGACCTTCCAACCTTCCCTGTCAATACCTGTTGACTGATTAATCAATTGAATGAATGAGTGGATTTTCCTTCTCCAAAAGGAGACCTGTAAGAAAGAGAAACAAACTGATATTTCACGGAGCAGGATTTCTCTGACCACCTAATATGAATGTGGATAGAAAGAAACTAAAACCAGTAAGACACAAGGATGCATCTTGGTTTTCCACCGAAAAGTTCTGTGGCCCTGGATGCTGAGTTTCTTACTTATCATGTCCTAGGGTCACTGAGGCTAAACTCTATTTTAAAAGACATGACTTTTTTTTTTTTTTTTTAATTTTTTTTTTTATTATACTCTAAGTTTTAGGGTACATGTGCACATTGTGCAGGTTAGTTACATATGTATACATGTGCCATGCTGGTGCGCTGCACCCACTAACGTGTCATCTAGCATTAGGTATATCTCCCAGTGCTATCCCTCCCCCCTCCCCCGACCCCACCACAGTCCCCAGAGTGTGATATTCCCCTTCCTGTGTCCATGTGATCTCATTGTTCAATTCCCACCTATGAGTGAGAATATGCGGTGTTTGGTTTGTTGTTCTTGCGATAGTTTACTGAGAATGATGGTTTCCAATTTCATCCATGTCCCTACAAAGGACATGAACTCATCATTTTTTATGGCTGCATAGTATTCCATGGTGTATATGTGCCACACGTCTCAGCCCAAAATCTCCTTAAGCTGATAAGCAACTTCAGCAAAGTCTCAGGATACAAAATCAATGTACAAAAATCACAAGCATTCTTATACACCAACAACAGACAAACAGAGAGCCAAATCATGAGTGAACTCCCATTCACAATTGCTTCAAAGAGAATAAAATACCTAGGAATCCAACTTACAAGGGATGTGAAGGACCTCTTCAAGGAGAACTACAAACCACTGCTCAAGGAAATAAAAGAGGACACAAACAAATGGAAGAACATTCCATGCTCATGGGTAGGAAGAATCAATATCGTGAAAATGGCCATACTGCCCAAGGTAATTTACAGATTCAATGCCATCCCCATCAAGCTACCAATGCCTTTCTTCACAGAATTGGAAAAAACTACTTTAAAGTTCATGTGGAACCAAAAAAGAGCCCGCATCGCCAAGTCAATCCTAAGCCAAAAGAACAAAGCTGGAGGCATCACACTACCTGACTTCAAACTATACTACAAGGCTACAGTAACCAAGACATGACTTTAAATAGTTTTCCTTTTCCTTTCACTGCTTCAGGAACTTCCACCCTGAGTCAATGCCAGATGGATTTGGTTTTTAGCTCGAATTTACCCGTAAAGGGTGGTGGAAGAGATGATTCATAAATCCCATCTTGACCTTATTTGCCTCATACTCAAACTGCAGCAGGTGAGCCGTTGGACTCTAAAGCATGGGATTTTACAGAGAAGTCAGTGCTCCGTGTCTAAGATTGTAGAGAGAAAAAATGTGTGCACAAGAAAGAAGTCAGGCAAATGCTTGTTTAAACTTGCTCATGGGCCCATGCAGGCTGTATAAACAGACCAAACAAAATAATGAGGACATGCATTTTGAAATCAAACAGAGGATGTAACATTATTATTAGGCATAGTTATGTACATAGTATTTGATAGAACTGGGGGAAACGTGTGCATTGCATTCGTTGGATTCAGCTACTACTCAATTTACACACATTGTAGGAAAAACACTATATTGTGCTTGATACATCAAAAGAAGTTATAGTCTTACAGTTATATGTTTTATGCTTTTCCCAAGGAAATCTTTTCATTATGTCATTCCTTTGTTCAAACACATATTGTGCTTGCTCTACAGGAAAGAATAATATATCTGATGTTTGACACCTGATTTCTAATCCCAGCTTTGACACTGAGTACATAGCCCTAGGAAGCCAGATACCTCCTACAGGCCTAAATTTCTTCATACGTAAAGTGGAGGCAAATATTAGTATTGGGGTTTTTTTTTGAGGAATAAGTGAGGTACTATATTTACAAATACTTAAGATAGTTTCACGTATTCTCAAGTGTCTAACACATAACAGTTGCTGAAGAAATAATGAGTTATTCTTCTGAAGTCACCCCAATTGTTTCCTCACCTAAAAAATTTGAGCAGATTCTGTATGTTATGCCTAATTATAAAGTTTCCACCAATATTCGGGAAAAAATTTCAAACAAGGGAAACAAAAAGGCTATCTAGTGATTCTCTCTGATTCTGTAAATAGACATTCAAGAGATGGTCACACCCTTTGTATTTTTTAGTAAATTTATTTACTTTTTAAATTCTGGGGTAATGTTCTTATTTTATAAATGTTTATAAATTTGGAAAGAAAGCTGACTTTAATCCATTTATCTACACACCATGCTAAAATTGGGTTTTCTGTTATACAAAATCTTTGATTATCATACTGAAACCGTTGCATATTATAACAATTCTTGAATATCATTGCAAGGAAAAGCAATCAGCATTGCTTTTTACCCTCTCCCATATATCACTTAAAATTGATGACTACAATAACTGACAAGTCCAAACGTGTTAAATGACAAATGCTCAATGCAATTTCATAAACCTCTCAGTTATGATGACTTTTACAGTAAGATTCTGGGAGCCTGTATGTGAATTCAGTACCAATACACACGATCTCTCTTCTAAGATATGGATGAGTTCTCAAGGTTCTTTGAAATTCTTCTGATTCATTAGTATTTGGTCTTGACATTTTAAAATGAAAAGATAACTTCACATTTTCTACTTCCTTTCATTATGTTGGACTGCTTCAATTAGACACAAATATATACTTAACATTTATCTTCATCACCTGATTTATTTCCCAATTTGCTGAGGACAGTAGGCTTTGTAGAAAGCAACAATGACAGAAAGCAAGAGGCGAGTGGAAATACGTAAGAACACTGGGAAGCAGAAAGCAGTGGAACCCACTCACTAACTCATCAGCACTGGAAAGCATGACCCTCAAACTCAACAAGTTTCCTGTAATTAATGTGGTCAGCTGTTTCGTTTACTGGTTTTACACAGCCCTGAGTGTTTTCCAGATGTAGACTAATGTCATACCTCCAAAACCCAGGAAGAATAAGAATAAAAGAAAGGATAAAATCCTGTCACTTGCAGCAACACGAATGAGACTGGAGGACATTACATTACCTGAAATAAGCTGGACACAGAAAGATAAATACTGCATCTTCTCACTCATATGTAGTAGCTAAATAAGTTGATCTCATAAAAGTAGAAGGTAGGGCAGTGGTAACTAAAGGCTGAGAAGGGTAGAAGGGAAGAGAGGGATATGGGGTAGGGAGAAGTTGATTAGTGCATACAAAATTACAGCGAGGAGGAATAAGTTCAGTGCTCTTAAAGCACAGTAGGGTGACTATCGCTAATAATAATTTATTCTATATTTTCAAATAGCTAGAAGAAAAGATTTTGAATGTTCTCAACACAGAGAAATAAGACATGTTTGAGGGGATAGATGTGCTAATTGCCCTATTTTATCGTTATATATTGAATATGGGTATCAAAATATCACATTGTACCCCCTAAATTGGTACAATTATTATGCGTCAATTTAATTTTTTAAAAGATAGGTAGGAAAGTTAAAATGAGGGAAATAGCATTAGACTAAATTTAAATTAGGTGCCTTATTTCAGGTGGTAACAAACTTTATTCAATCATTCATGATATTATCTCAAATTTGGAGTTATTAAAGTACTTTGACAATGGGCTTCATCTCACTTACTTACAATAATCCTGTGACAGAGGAATCATTTCATGGAAGAAGAAATCAAATCCCAGGAGGGAGAAGAGCTCCATTTAATGTCACTCAAGTAGAACCTAGACTTAAACCCAAGCTTTCGAGTTCCAAGTCCGATGTTCAGGTCAACTTACCCCAGTTGTTTCCCCAGCACTGTGCTGGATTTCATGGAGACGCCGGGATGAATAAGCGGTAGCCCTTGATGCAGGGACAACTGAGGAATGGACAGTCTGAAGACCTCAGCTCATGTGTGTGAATCCAGAATGGATGCAGATGGTCAAGGAGAAAAGGAACCTCTCATTCATTGAGCATGATTGTGTGCTGGACAGTGTGCCATGGATTCTTGTAATGATGGGAGGCAAGTAAGAATCATTTTTCCAGATGCAGAAAATGGAAACCCAGAGATTTTGTCTAATTTTTTATTATTGTCTTTAAACCAACCAAGTGAGACAGGTAAAATTCAAACACAAATACCAGTTCTCAAAACGATTACTGTTGACTCACCTCATTGGGCTGTGAGTCTGAAGGGCTGGGTTTGATCTCAATTTTGATACTTATATGAGAAGACCATGTGTCTCTGTATGTGTGTGTGTATGTAATATACAAAATATTAGATATTAGCAAATTGCTGACCTTAAATCTGATTCTTAATCTCTCTACCATTAAGCTCCCTCAATTATAAAATGACCATAATTAAACCGCTTTGTAGCATGTGTTACTCAGAATAAATTAAATGTCATATGCCTAGCACACATCTGGAAAATGTTGAGACTCATAAATGTTTATTTTGTTCCTTCCTTTCTGAAATCTGCAGAAGTGAGACTGCCCTTCTCTTAGTACAGTCACCTTGGACTACAGAAAGACAAAAAGAGTCATTGCAAAATGTACTTGAATGAATTACACTGCAAGTTAATTTTCTTCTAGGTATGTTAGCCCAATTCTACAATAATTCAGCTACTAATAAAACTATAGGAATAACAATGAGCAGCATTTTTATAGCCGTTGATCATCACAGCAACACTAAGCAGCAGATAGGACAGTTTTGCTACTATTATTTTCGTTTTATTGATGGTCAAGACTTGGGGAAGCTAAATCAATGGCCCTAAGTCCCAAGACATCAGTTCAGGACCCAGAACAAGGCCCTCTTATTCCAAGTCCACTGTCTTTGACAATATCCAACACAGCACAGCATTACACGTCAAACCAAAAGAGACATATGATCATTAAGGAAAACTTAGTGAACAAGATTCGAGCCTTTCTGAAAACTGTAAAGAAAAGGTCTGCACAGGGTGATGTCACCACCAAACACTGCAGAATATTATTATATCTCAAAAACCATGGAAGTATGCCGGCATTGCCTGGGAACAGATACCCTCAGGGCCTCTGTCATCTGGAGGTGGAAATGTGTGTTGAGGTCAGGGAGAGGAGCTCCTGTCAGCAGGAAGAACCATTGCTATTTCTGTTCAGGACAAAACAAAAATGACATCTGTCAAGGCCATTATTCTTTCAGACATGGCTGGGATGAACAAGTGATAAGGATGAGTTTGTAATACTCCCTTGAGAACGGAAAATCTCAAATCCAGAATATGGAGTTTTAAGAGCTGTACAGTGCCTTAGAAATCATTCATGGAAGCCGGAAATAAAACCTGGGACTTGAAATTAAGAGAAAATCCCAACTTCAAGCCCAAACTCTGCCCTGTTGTCTCCAAAGACCGGTTTTTGCACCTGTAAATGAGTCTGTCGTAAAACAACATGAGTCAATACACATGAAAGCACTTTGAGAACTAGAAAGCTCTTTGCAAAATTAAGATACTTCAAAAAAATTAATAGAAAAAAAGATCCAGATTTGTCCAGCTATTAGTATTAGAGAAATGAATATGAACTCAGGATTCCAGACTGCAGTTCAATACTTATTCCATGACTCAATATTATCACAACAATGTGACAAATATTGCCCATATCCCTGGGATTGGTACTGGGATGAAGAGGAAACCACTAAGACTGATGTCTCCTTTGACTGCTGAAAGGGCCAGGCTAGAATGGTCGTTCCCATTGTCCCATCAGCTGCTGGTACTTACCTCTGACAAATCACCTGTAACATATGGCATAGTCCTTGTCTTTCTGCTTTTTGCCTATAATTTAATGGATTACATACTCCTTGAAGGAAAATACTGTTCTATTTATATTTCTCTATGTATCATCAATATATACCAGAGATTCCAGCCTGAAAAGAAGCTCTATAAATACAGAATAAATGGCTCCTACACTCCAGAAGCTCCTGCTCTAGTTAACAGGCCAGGCTCCAACAGGAACTGCAATGGAGACAAAACATGCATTAGAGAATCACGGGCTGGGTGGGTGGAGCAGTATTGGGGGAATTAATTCTTACTCTGAAGAAAAAATTATGCTGTTAATAGCATTAGGTGAAAACTATAGGAGCAGAGAATGTATCTAATAGATGTCCGAGAAAGAATGCTGTGGCGTTAGTAAAGGATTGCATCCTACTTAGCAGCAGGACAGACTGGACTTATGCGGGAACCCACACCCTCTGGTTGCCAGTCTAGGAGCTGAACTCAGCCTTGACCTAAGCAATTTGTATTGATAGAGTAAGAAGCCATATCTCCACTTATGTGCAACTCTCAGTCTTGTTTCCATGTCATTTCCAACTCCTGTGCTTCTGGAACATTCTGTGCTGTTTTACTCCTCCATTCCTTCCTATGTGTTGCTTTCTTTCATGGAATAACATTTTTCAACAGATATCCACACTTCTCCAACACACTTACACAACCCATTCAAACATCCTTAAAACCATACTCAGACATCCCCTGCTGGGTGATGTCTTGCTTAACCTTCTAGAGAGATCCCTTCTTTGGCCTGAATATATGTCTACTGTTTTAAGTATCACATAGACCCTAATGATTTCTTTATACCATGTTATATTATAAAGATGGGGACAGTGTTATCCACCCCCAAATAATCCCACTGAGCATAATTGCCTGGGGCCTAAAACATCATTTTTCAGTAGGTTAATGCATAACATAATAAAGGAATAAAAAATTACTGAGTGCTTGCTCCCTTAACCCTCATCTGCTTGTGGCTGATACATACAGGTGTGCTGGAGTGGACAAGCTGCCCAAGACTGTAGGCTTAGTAATAACGAGGCTATAGCATTTAAACAGACTATGGGTACAACTTCAAGATTTTAATTTACTTTTATCTAAATCAACAGGGTCCTGGCTATAATTCTCCTGTTCAATAAATAGAAAAATCTTTTTTACAGACAACTTAATAGGGGATTTAGTAGTGAGGGCTTTGGTAATTTTCCACCTGCTAATGGGTAAACAACTGCAGTCCTAGGACATCCAGGGCTATGGGCACTGAATGGTAATTCTCTGGCTGCAGCTTCTAGCAATGTATTTACTCAGCTGTTAGTGGGCCCAGCAGCTGGGAATGGGTTCCCCAGCCAGTTGTAAGAAAACTACCAGGGACTCATTTATTTACTATTAAACTGTAAGCACTTGGCAGGGCATCTGGTCCCACTTTCCTAGGTTATGATTGGGTACTCATGAGACATTCGTTGTTAGAAAAGCAGCTGGAATATTTAAAATGTCAAGTAGGAAATTCAGAAGTTTTAGCATCTCACCACAATGTTTTATGGGGTGAAAAGGGATGTTAGGCTGAATTGGAGCACATTTGGAACCTCTGATATTTCATAGATTGAATTTATCTTCCATGGATTCAATATACCTGAAATAGTTTTGTTTGCTTTTACAGTATAAGGTTTTTTTGAGTTGGACATGACAGTGGAGTCTCAAAAGGGATTTTGTGGGTGACCAGTGTCTAGAAAAAACAACAGTTGAGTGGGCAGGGAAACTGCCTGGTCTAGTGGAGAGAAAGGACAGAGCTGGGATTTGACATGTCTAGGTTTTCATCTTGATTTTTTCACTTCATGCCATGACCTTGGAAAAAATCCTGTAATTCCGTGAAGTTTAATTTTATCATCTGTAAAATTCAGTGATAGTGTCTACAGCAGGGAACTCTGAGGATGGTCTCATGCTAAGTAGCATTTTATTAGACATGATAATTGACATGAGAAATACTGGCAAACATTCCAGAGATTGATTCTGCATGGCGCCATAAGAATTAAAATATTGTTCAGATTTCATTTCACCCACATATTTAGTTAAAGACTTATATGTTACTCAGGCAGTTAACCTAAGTATATAGATTATGTCCCGTTTTTCTTGTCTAGATAATTACTGGATATGATGTAGAAGTTCCTCAGTAAGTAGGTGTTTATCCACCTTCCAAATAACATTTTGTTTCTTTTTCCAAAGTGGAATCCTATAATGCTGTTTGGTGAAACCCCTTGAATGATTCCATTTTGCTTAATTATAACTTTCAGTTTTGGACCATGTCCGTAATATCAGACAAAGTAATGAAAACGGCAGAAAAACTGAGTTTAAAATCTAGCTATTATCTGCTGTATGACTTAAACATATATTTTTTAAGCCTCTCCTCCTCCGTTTCGACCTCTGTAAAATGATGACAGCAATATTTACACCCAGAGGATTAGGGAGATTCATTGTGTTACAAATGGGAAAGCGTGAGCTGAGGACCCATAAATGTGTGCCTCACATTCACGTTTCAATTGATGGTGAACAGAAAATGCACTGATGCATGCCAAGCTACTCAACATGAATTCTAGAAAATAGTAGACCAGAACAAGGGTCATTTCGCAGTATATTTATTATAAGGCTATTCTGACCCTAGACCAGCCAACATCCCCTGAATTTACTCCATACCTACCCCCACTGCAGACAAACAGTTCCCAAATATGGCGGGGCTGTCCAGTTTTTTGGCTTCCTGATCTCCTTTCTAGGTCCCATAACTCACCAGCCTATTTCATGCCATCGTGCCTTGGCAGAGGGCGCTCTCTTGGCTAGGATGTCCCACCTTCCCCTGTCACCACTCCTTGCCCTCTCTTTGTCCACCCCCCACAAACATAAGCTTTTTCATCCTTAAAATATATTTGCTATCAATGATTCTATAATTAATTATTTAGTAAACCTTTCCCCACAGATAGGAGCATCTCCCCATGAATGCAAGATAAAGAAGCATTTTAAATATAACATATAAAAGGATTCAAAAAGGATACAGGTGCTAGCTTTAATGACATCATTGTACCTGGAAAACCTCCAACTCTCTTCTCCACCTGTCACAGTCAAATTTTTCTTCCTTGCTTTGTTAACTCATATATTCATCCCGAAACTTGTTCACCTATTATTCATTAGACATTTCGCTAAGCATAGAAAATAAAATACAATGCTGAACAAGACATACTCCTCATCCTCATGAAGTGTGTTGAATTGTTAAGAAGTTGCAGATCAGATTTTCATTTTAAAAAGATTATTTTGACAGACTAAGAAGGAGGCACTAGGGAGAAAAACCTACCATTAGAAAAATCCATTAAAAGGTGGTTACAATAATTCAAATGAGAGTTGATGATGGCATACACGGGGAAAATAGCAGTGAAGTGGAGAAAATTTGGATAGATAGCAACAGCAGCAGTAACTCTTTATGAAATATTTTCCATGCATTAGGAACTGTGCAAAATGCTTTGCAAACATACTTTATGTTGATCCTCAAAGGAACTCTCTACAGAAGATATAATCCTCCTTTAACAGATGAGGAAATTAAGAGATCAGTTATTTGCCAGAAGCGACACAGGAAATAAATAGCAGAACATGGATCTGAACTCAGGCATGTCTGTCTCCAAAGCCTGAGCTCTTAAGAAGAATTGTGTGCTTTGCTTGGCTTGATAGAGGACACAATCAATAGGCAGCATCACAAAGTTTGCTACGTGCAATTTATGTATCAACTCATATCCACTCAACCCTGTCTACCTTTGGTTCTTGACTGCTTGCCTTTCTTATGGGTACATCAGCCCTAGGGATGGCTTTCCTGTGGTTTTAGAGCCCATTTGCTTCTCTCTCTTCATTTTCTAGCAACACTGATTGTCTCAGCCTTCCCGGAGGAAAGGGCCATTAGGCTTGTTGAGACAGAAGTTGCAGAGGCTCAAACACCCACATCTGATCCACCTGGATCCATGGAGGCTTTGGTTCTGTCAGTGGCTGCCTAGGGGGCTGAGTAACCCAAGTAACAGAAGAGGGAGTGTTCTTGTCCCTTAGGGGCAAACTTCCACTTCTCTTGAGTAAGTTCATATGAAAGAATAGCTGGATCATATGGTAGAAATATACATTGAGATTTTAAAGAAATTGACAAACTGTTTCCAAACTTTTTTTTTTTTTACTTTCTTGCCAGCAATGTAGGAGTGTTTTAGTTGCTTTACATTCTCATCAACACTTAGTATAATTAGCCTTTTTAATTTTAACAATTACAAGAGATACAAAATAGTTTCTCATTGTGATTTTAGTTTGTATTTGCCTAATATTAAATGATGTTGAGGGTTATGTATTGCAGCATCTGTATCAGCGCTTCAGCTTCACCTTGGACTTTTATGTTATGGAGTTGGTTTCTTTTCTTAAACCTCATGAATCAATCTCTGCTAGCTTCAAACTTTTCTTCTGCAGCTTCCTCACCTCTCTTAGCCTTCATAGAATTGAAGAGAGTTAGGGATTTTGGCTTAAGGGAATGTTGTGGCTGGTTTGCTGTTTTATCCAGATCATTAAAACTTTCTCTCCATCAGCAATAAGGCTGTTTCACTTTCCTATCATTGTGTGTTCATTGGAATACACTGTTAATTGCTTTCAAGAACTTTTCCTCTCACTGTTTGGCACAAGAGGTCAAGCTTTTGGGCTATCTTGGCTTTCAATGTGCCTTCCTCACTAAGCTTAATCATTTCTAGCTTTTGATTTCAAGTGAGAGAACTGCTACTCTTCCCTTCACTTGCACATTTAGAGGCCATTATAGGTCATTAATTGTCCAAATTTCAATATTGTTGTATCTCAGGGAATAGGGAGGCCTGAGGAGAGGGAGCAAGCAGGTAAGTAGGGCAGTCAGATCACACACAACACTTGTTAAGTTCTCCCTCTTATGTGAATGCCTCAAAACAATTACAATCACAGCATCGAAGATCACTGATCACAGATCACCATAACAGATGTAATATAATGAAAAAGTTTGAAATACTGTGGGAATTACCAAAATATCACACTGAAACATAACAGAAGTGAGCATATGCTGTTGGAAAATGGCACCCAGAGGCTTACTCAATGCGGCATTGCCACAAACCTTGAATTTCTAAAAATGCAATGTCTGTGAAGCACAATAAAGCAAAGCACAATCAAATGAGGTGTGCCTGTATTAATTTTTACAAACAAGCTTGTTGGGATTATGATTGGGATTGCATTTGTGGAGAATTTGAATCTTGATAATATTTAGTTTTGTAACCTTAGAATAAGGTATATATCTCAGCTTATTTATGTATTCTTTATTTTTTGTCAGTAATGTTTTGTTTTCAGTGTACACATCTACCACCTATTTTGTCAAATAAGTCCTTAAGTATGGTGTATTTTTGATACAATTGAAAAGGTTATTGTTGCTTTAACTGATAATTTTACCAATCAGATCAGGGCAAGAAAGAAAGATGGATTAAAAAATATGACTCCAAGATTTGCATCTGGATAAGAAGGCAGTATAGAAATAGTTACATTCATAGAAAAAAAAAACAGATTAATTATACTTAAGATATGTTGAAATTAATAAAGTTAATAAAATGTCCAGTTTGGTCCTATGGAGAGATCAAAATTTGGGTCTAGAGTGAAAGATGAAGACTCAAGAAAAAAAATAAAAATTTGGGAATCATTGTATTGAGGTAATGATTATAGTTACAGGTGAGAGTAACACACATTATAACAGCACTACTTTCATCTGCGTCTCTTCCAACAGACTCTGAGTTTCTCAGATTGGGGCCCTGTCTGACCTTTTTATTTTGAACTTCAAGCAGAAGGGTTAGCACAGAGTGGACGTCTATTCATTCTTACCGGGTTTATGCCTTATGGTTTTGATCCTAGTTTTGACACTTATTAGCTTTATAACCTTCAACATGTTACTTTACCTCTTTGAAACTCATGTTTCTACTACACGTGAGCAAAAACAGTCCAGTGCATGGTACCGTTCCTAAAATCAAGAGGCATTCAATTAATGGTAACTTAAAAAAAAAAACTTCCTATATGATTGTTAAGTATATGATAGTAATAATGAACATGTTTAGCACTTTCTATGTGTCAGGTGCTAAATGCTTTTTATATATTCACTTTCTTAATCCTCATAACGACCTCAGGAACTGGGTACTCTAACTAGCCATATTTTACAAATGTGAAAGAAGGAGGGATGGGGAGATTGAGAAGTTGGTTGGTGGGGGAGCTGAGATCTGAGTTTAGGCAGTGTGGCTCTCCAGCTTGTACTCTGCAACTCCACCACACTGACTACATCTCAAGGTACATGCATGGGCATATACATATATATATGTATATATGTGTGTATATATATGTATGTATGTATATGCTCATGCATGTACCATGACAGAAAGTGACAACTATATTAAAATGGCCATTTTTGTCTCTATATATCTGTGTGTGTGTATATATATACATATATATTGCTATAACAAAAAAAGTCATTTTTTGAGTCACAAAAATGGCCATTTTAATGTACTTGTCACTTTTTATCAATTGTGCAGTCCAGGGTACATTTGTGTACAGGTCAACTGTGCCTTAAATATTTCCTGGCTCCTGGTCTTCATCTCACCTGCCATCATTCTATGCACAGGAAAATATTTAATGGGCTGGGACTTATCTTCAAGGCCAAGATGGAATATTTTTATATGCCCAAAGATTCTGTGCCAACTGAAGACTTCTCAGGGAATAGAAAGAAACCTAGCAGGTAGATACTGATATGTGCAAATCTCCTTGCAACTTGCTTTTCACAACTACAGTAAGCATTAATAATTAAGTCCCTGATGTGATGAATAACACATCAGGTCCTTCCTGCTTATTTATACCTGCTTGGCACTTCAAACTTATGTAATTATCTGATCAATAAACAAATGCTTTTTGAAAAGTAGAACTTAATGCATTTTAATATTCTATGGGCATGAATTTTAGAGCAATGCAATACTTGGCAATGACAATGCTTTTTAAATTTAGAGTTATTTTATAACACAGAGTGGAAAGGATTGCATTTTCTCACCCTACCTCATTTAGATCTTATCAATCTAGCTCCATTTCAGGTTATAAAAATCACTTGATTTTACAGAGGAGATGTTTCTGTTTGCAATTTTTTAAAAATCCCTCAGCATCCATCTGAAGGCATCTCCAGAGCAGAGTCACTGCTCTGTCTCACCCACCATCTCAGGCAAAAGGAAGTGCCTGTCTACTATACTCCAGTAAACTTGGTAAATGCCTCTATTAAATCTAGCATCTCGTTGTATCAGGCCCAGGTGTATAGATCATTTCAAAGATGGAAAGTGGCATGTGATATTTGGCATTCCTGATGCCATTTTAGTTAGTTGAGTATAATATATTGGTTGAATGTTGCCAAATATGAAAAGTGCATCAGGGTATTTCTGGAAAAGCACTGAAGGTAAAGGGCAAGCTCAAAAAAGCTAAAAGCATCATGATCTCTTGCCAGCAGCTAGCTTGGCATCCTGGGACTTCCCTTTAACTGTTTGTGCTTTAGAGGGTGTTGGCCAGTCAGAGCAGTAAAAGGCAGAAGGCAATCTCTGAAAGCAGCTGAACATTATCCCGTCCACCTGCACGCCTTCCATTCGGGAACTCTTAACAGAAGGACTGAGGAGAAGCTCAGCCAAATTATCTGAAAGTGACTGTTTTCAGGAAGGAGTATTACATGGTAATGGGCATTAAGACTTCCTAAAAGGTTCTCATTCTGGTTAAGGTAGAGGGAGCACACTCACAGTTTAGATTCAAAGTCGGCTCAAATCTTGGAAGTGTCCACTGGTGTAGCCAGAAAGAGCCCTAGGAAAAACACTGTTCCTGATTTGAGGAATGGGAAGGGGAGCCATAACTGAAAGAGAGAGTGTGGGGAATCTTCTGTTGTATTTTTCCTCTCTCTCCCCAAGCAAGCCCCAGACTTATATACTGTGGCAAGGATGCTGCCTTACATTGGAAGTGGTAAAATAATAATTCTAGTTACAATGTAAAACATTAAGTTTGCATGTTATAATTCATAGAGTAGTGACTAAGCTAAAATAAATTAGAAATATATAATTTAATTTTAAATTTGAAATGAACTTCTAGAGCCTGTAGTTCAAGCCCTTCATTTGCAGATGAGAAAGCATGGTCCCCCAGTGGCAAAAGATACATCCAGGAAGTGACAGATGAAACAGGCACAATCCTGGTCTCTTATTGTTCAGGCTGGGCATGGTGGCTCATGCCTGTAATCCCAGCACTTTGGGAGGCGGAAGGCGGGTGGATCAATTGAGGTCAGGAGTTCGAGACCTGGCGAAACCCTGTCTCTACTAAACATAGAAAACTCAGCTGGGTGTGGTGGCATGTGTCTGTAATCTCAGCTACTCGTGAGGCTGAGGCAGGAGAATCGCTTGAACCTGGGAGGTGGAGGTTGCCGTGAGCTGAGATCGTGCTACTGCACTGTAGCCTGGGTGACAGAGTGAGACTCCATCTCAAAAAAAAAAAAGAATTTTTATTGTTCAGCCCAATGTTCTTCCTTCATAGCCTAGCATGAAACTTACTTTCAGTATCCTCACACCATAAGGTAAAACTGCTTTATATTTTCCTGAGTAATGCTGTAATACAGAGTCTTCATATAGCTTCATGCCATCACTTTTTTGATGAAAATGCTTTAAATAAAAATGTCTAAGAGTCCGGGCGCGGTGGCTCACGCCTGTAATCCCAGCACTTTGGGAGGCCGAGGCGAGTGGATCATGAGGTCAGGAGATCGAGACCATCCTGGCTAACAAGGTGAAACCCCGTCTCTACTAAAAATACAAAAAATTAGCCGGGCGCGGTGGCGGGCGCCTGTAGTCCCAGCTACTCGGGAGGCTGAGGCAGGAGAATGGCGTGAACCCGGGAAGCGGAGCTTGCAGTGAGCCGAGATTGCGCCACTGCAGTCCGCAGTCCGGCCTGGGCGACAGAGCGAGACTCCGTCTCAAAAAAAAAAAAAAAAAAAAAAAAATGTCTGAGAGTAATAGGCCTATTTTCTTCTAATTTAATTTAAATGCACACTCAAGGAAAGTCACATTTTCGATAAGAAGAAATATCTAAAAGTGCTTTTAGAGCCTCCTCTTTATTGAGTTTTAACCAAGGATGCCCTTGCATTAAGGCCCTTGGGATGGTTGTGGTTCCTGCCCAGGCTGGTCACTTAACGGGACAATTTCAATGAAGTCAGCAGAAAGTTAGTGGAAAGGTCTCCTTCATATTTCCAAAAATGAATATCAATAGTTCCAGCTCTAAATCTCCTCATTAACATTCACTAGAAATTAGTAGCCAGACTTTCAGAAGAGACTCCAAGAAGGAATCAACCCTATTGACACTTTGATTTTGCACTACTGGCCGCCAGAACTGTGAGAGAATTAATTTCTGTTGTTTTAAGTCACTAAGTTTGTGATAATTGGTTACAGCAGTCCTAGGAAACAAATACCCATGGGAAAGATGTTGTTGAATGAGGACAGGACAAATAAAAGGCTGAAGGAGCTTTGCAGAAAATGCTGTTTGAGCCCACTTCAATTTATAATAAAGCTGATACAGATTTGCTAGTATCTATTAGTTATATAAATTCATATAAGACAAATATAGATTATTTTTATATTCTAAACACTCATGTTTTTCTCTGTAGATACAGTTTTTAAAATATCAATTTTTTCTGATTCTTACAATTACTCTATGAAGCAGGCAGGCCATACACTAGTAAGTCCATTTGATAGACATGTTAGATGGTCCCTAGGAAGACAAAGTGACTCACTGAGGATCCCTCATCCAGTTAGCGGTAGAGCTGGCCCTGGGATCAGGAGCTCCTGGCTCTCTAAGTAGACTTCAGATAAAGATCACTTGATAGAGCAGGAAAGTGAGACTCGATAAGCAAGGGTTACTTGCCTGACCACATAGCATAAACAGAATCCAGGGCCAGTGTTTTCTAAACATAGGCTTGTGTTTTTAACTGTGAGGCTCTACTTCGAATCCCTACTTTGCCTCTGTGTGTGTGAAACGATCAAATCATAGGTTCAGGTTTCAATAATATTCTCTGTGACTACTCAGGAGAGAATCCTACAGGAGAAATGAATATGAGAAAATATTTAATGTTTTGATTATCTTTTGATGAAACCTTCCAGATTCACTGCAAATAGTTCTGATACCTCAATGAGTACAGAATTTGTATGGCTGAACTGGAAGAACCACACTTAACTTTGCTTTATAGCTACTTTGTGCTGTTTTACTTAACAAAACTTTAGCTTAATCTGCCTACTAATTGAAATGAATTAATAATCTTGAAATTCCACAAGATTTATAAAACCTCAGTTTGAAAGGAACCTTAAAAGCCTTCCTTGCCTACCCCATACTGTACTTGCACAGTGATAATACAATGTAAATGTGAAAGCCTTCTGGGACATAATTTTCACTACTTCCTAATGCAACCTACTTGAGTGTTTTCTATCCCTGACAATTTTTCTTCTGAGATGGAGTCTCACTCTATCCCCCAGGCTGGAGTGCAATGGCACGATCTTGGCTCACTGCAACCTCTGCCTCCCAGGTTCAAGCGATTCTCCTGCCCCAACTCCCTTGGGATTACAGGTGACTGCCACCATGCCCAGCCAATTTTCATATTTTTGGTAGAGATGGCGTTTCACCATGTTGGTCAGGCTGGTCTCGAACTCCTGACCTCAGGTGATCCACCTGGCTTGGCCTCCCAAGCTGGAATTACAGGTGTGAGCCACTGTGCCTGGCCGTATCCCTGACAATTAGAAAGCATTTTCTTACACTGAGCATATTTTCTACTTACTGGTTCTTTTTTCACTCCTTGTTTCCAAACAGAATGCATCTAATCGCCCCTCCACATGAAAACCTCTAAGAAATTCCCTTCTGTTCGACTGTTCAAATTCATTCACCATTCTGCTGCCTCCTTGATTAATGTCAATATTTATCTATTTATTCATTTATTCATTCAACAAAAATATATTGGATGCAAATCATGATAGAAATAGTATTCAAAATTTACATAATATTTATCATGAGATAAGCATTGCTGTGTTAGTTAATATTGAGTGTCAACTTGATTGGATTGAATGATGCAAAGTATTGTTTCTGGGTGTGTCTGTGAGGGTGTTGTTAGAGGAGATAACATTTGAGTCAGTGGACTGGGAGAGAAAGACCCACCCTCAGTGAGGGTGGGCACCATCCAATCTGCTGCTAGAGTGGCTCCAACAAAGCAGGCCGAAGAAGGTGGGCTAAGCTGGCTTGTGTTGAGTCTTCCCCCTTTCATCTTTCTCCCATGCTGGATGCTTCCTGCCCTTGAACATTAAACTCTTGGTTCTTTGGCCTTTGTCTTTTGGACTTATATCAGTGGTTCTCCAGGGCCTCTCAGGCCTTCGGCCACAGACTGAAGGCTGCACTGTCAGCTTCCCTACTTTTGAGGCTTTGGGACTCAGACTGAGCCTTTATTGGTTTCCTTGCTCCTCAGCTTGCACATGGCCTATCATGGGACTTCACCTTGTGATCGTGTGAGTCACTTCTCCTTAATAAACTCCCTTTCTTATATATATCTATCCTATTAGTTCTGTCCCTCTGGAGAGCCCTGACTAAAGCAATTGCTCTAAATGCTTTACAAATATTAACTTTTAAAATCTTCACAATAATCCTGAGATAAGTACGATGATTTGCCTGATAATACATGTTTGAAGCTTAACAAATACTTTGAATAAATGAGTGACTAAATGGATAGGTAAATGATGAATGTAACATAAAAATATTTCATCATATGAACTTTCCTAATTCTCATTCTCTTTTGATTTTGTACCCAGTGGCATTATATGCTTATGATTACTGCCTAAGCCAAAACAACTAATAAGGATATCCAGAATGGACAATGCCATCAGGGCACTTAGAATTCTGAAACAGATGCCTCATTCACAATTGTTCTCAAGAAGCTATTCTTCAAGATATTCTTGGCAAAAAGCCTTATTTGAAATTATTCGAATAAGCAGATGACAGGAAACCCTGTAAAACCCAAACCATGATGAAATTCATGATGTCTGCCTAGGAGGAGGCATATTCCATAACCAACACAGAATTCCACTATGAAAGGGCTCCCAACCCTTTTAGATATATTCACCTTGGCTCTAACAAGCTCCAATCCAAAATTAAACCTGTAGCTCATCTCTTTGAGGGCTCTACAAACTCTGTGATGATTACTGGTTGTAATTTCCGTTGCTATGATGAGAATGCCCTTCGGCTTTCCTTAAAATTGCACCCACTAGGATAGGAGGAGAGCAGGCCCTTGTGACCCTGGTTGGGTACAACTCTACCATCATTAGGCATTTCAGAAAAAGGATGGCCTAGATATCAAAAATAGATATCCATTTGTAAGCATGTGCAAATCTTCTCTATTTGTAAGCACCTACAGATTGTTTTCAACATTTCAAAATATTTCAGAGAGGTTTTATTTCTGAAGGAAAAATGGGTTATAATTTGATGCAGTAGCTTGGGGTAGGTATAAATAGATTTTATTTCTATAGACTTTCACATAAAATCACCAGATTTCTTGGGAATATAGAAGGTTTCTTTTGGCTTTATTTTTGTTAATTATTATTCACCGAGGCCTACTTTAAAAACAACTATTTGTAAAAGGCTATTTTTGTTTCTCCAGACAGAAATTATTCTATCTTTCTCTAAATTACGTCCATTTAAAATTTATTTTTGTCCCTCTTTCTTCTGGAGGAAAGATGTCTCCTTGAGTTTAGGGGTCATGTGTTATCAACTTCTGTTTCATTTCTTTATTCACTTGAAAAAGGAAGTTCCTACTTTCTAGGAGTTTACAGTCTAGTAGGAAAATCAAACAATGTATAGACAATTAAAAGGATGGGAATAAGGTTAGGGGCTATGGACAGAGTGACATCTGTGCTGAGAACTGATGAATAACTAAGAGTTAGGCAGTAGAATGGGCACCACTGAATGTAAAACAAAGAGAATAGCCAGTTAAGAGGCCTAGCAGTGAGAGAAAAAGGAGGATGTGTTTGAGATAATTAAAGGAGCTCTTTATAGCTAAGAGTATGGAGCATAATATGAGGGCTGAGGGCCAAACCTAAACAGCATAAAAGGGCTCATCTCATGAAGGTCCCTGTGAACCATATTGCATTGTAAGAGGGCTAGGTGGTGGGAGAGTCCAACTGACTGAGAAAATGATAATTATATTTCTACTTTAGAAACATCACTTTAGTTGAAGAATAATAAGTAAAATAGAAGGATTATTTCTTACGTCAGAGAAAAAGCTGGTAGATGGGAGGGTTAATTCTGGTAAGGATAAAATCAGGAGATACTTTAGAAGTAGAAAATTGATACTTGATATTAATTGAGATACAGGTGTGTGTATAAGAAAGAATGTGTTAAGGCTAACCTCCTGGATTCTGATTTGGTGTTCTGATTATCAGTGTTGTATAGCAAACCACACCAAACTTAATTATACTCATAATGTCTGTTGGTCAGGAATTCAGAAATGGCACCCACCACAGAGATGGTTTTTCTCAACTCCATGATGTCTGGGGATTCATCAAAAACTTGAAAGATGGGGGTAACTTAAAGACTGAGGGACTTGAATTAACTAAAGCCTCATCCACTCACATTTCTGGCAGCTGGGTGGAAAGAACTAATGATTTGGACTATCAATATTTTCTCCCCATGCTGTTTAAATCCCTTATAACATGGCAGGCTTGAGGTATTTGTACTTCTTCCATGGTGACTCAGGGTTCCAAGTACAAATGAGCTAGTGAGCAAGGTAGAAGCTGTACCTTTTGTGATCTATAATTGTAAATAATCCAACATTATAATAGACATGTTCTACCGGTGCAAAGGAAAAAGTGCATGGACCCTATCATTCAATACAGAGTGCCAAAGTTTCTTAAGCCATGTTTTAAAACTACTGAAGTTTGAAATCTGATTTATATTTCTCTCACATGTGACATACACCTGGCTCCTCCTCTAGGACCAGAAATTTCTCACTCCGTTACAGAATCAAATAAAAAATCTAAGATCTCATAATCTAAATTAAATATAGGTGCAGATGGGACTTTAAAGGACAGTCTCTCCAGTATGAATCTTCTTGATCTAAAAACTTATGAACAAAAGAGATGATTTTTCTGTCTCAACCTGATTCCTCCCCATATAAGATTGTGGGTCAATAAGTTTCTTTTTATTTCATACTGTTTCTGTCTCTGTCAGCTCAAGCTGATACAATTCCTTTACAAATATTTTAAGGTTCCTGTGTATCAGTTTATGATACTTTCCATTTAGGCAAAAGTCACACTTACAAATAGTGTTTCAATAAGCTCTTCTTTGACTTGGACTGCCTTGAGGCAATAGTCTTATAATTTATAAGCGCTTTACTGAGAGGGCTTATGAGGCATGCAGAAAGATGGAAAGACATCTTTAGATCTTCTTAAGACTTCTTAAGAGTCTATAAGCACCAATTTAAATCTTGCTGAGGTCTTGTCAAAAGGGTTTTCTAATCACATACTTGGTTTGTCTTTACCCTGTTGGCATCACCCTCAATTTGACCTTTGGTCTAGGCCCTTTCTTACTTTGAGAATATTATTCTGGGAGAAACTAGGAAAATAATAGTTTTATTTTTGAATGCAGAAAATTCTGGGTCTTTTCTATTTCCTTTAATTTTTTTTTCTGAAACTTGAAAGATTCATTTTTAGCTCATCTCTTTCTTTTTTATCTTATCATACACAGCTAAAAGAAGCCATTGAAAGTTTTAACAATCTGCCTTTAAATCATCTTAGGCAAATCTATCAATTCATTAAGTGTATTTTCTGATTTCCATGACACTTTAGTTGAACGTATTGACAAAATTGCCTCCCCGAACTCCCAGCCTTTTCTTGAGCCCTTAGTCCCACTCACTGCCTGGTCCTATAGCCACTGCTACATCTTTCAGGATTTTGTTGTAGCTGTAACCACAATTACTTCCAAGTGCCAAAGTCTGTTCCGGTAAGTATTGATGCATAACAAACCACCTAAAACTTTAAAATAACAACCATTCTACTATGCCCATTCTATTATTCACTGCAATTCTGAAGGTCAATGATTCAGAAGGGCATATCCAGGATGGCCTGTTTTTGGTCTGTGATGTCAGTATGAGGCTTCTGCTTTTAAGAATTGAAAGCTGAGGGTAACTCAATGCCATGAGCTGGAATTAACTAATCTTATTTATGTGTCTGGCAGATGGGTGAGGAGAATGTAAAGATGAAAAGGGAAAACTCCAGTCTATCTGTATCCCCCGTGTGATTTTTCTTCATTACAACATGGCAGCCTCATTGTAGGTGGCCTTTTACCTGGTGGCTCAGGGCTCCAAGTGCAACTTCAGGTAGAAGTTTTATTAGCTTTTATGATCCGATCTCAAAGATCTCATAGGAGAACTTCAGCAGTACAATATTGGCTGAAGCAATCACAATCCCTCCAAAATTTAAGACGAGGGAATATGGACAGTACCTCTCGCTATGGAAGTAATGTCAAAAAAAACCTCGAAGACATGTTTCAAAACCTCCACACCTTAGTATGAATGTTTTACTGAATTGAGGAACACAAGAATAGAAGCAAGTTTGTGGCTAGGATAATCCAGGTCAGGTATGGAAATTTGAATTTTGAGCTGTCTGTATAGTATCTAGTTGGCAAAAAGTAGAGAATTTTACTCACATTTGGAGCTCAGGATGAAGTTCAGGACTGAAGTTAGAGTTTGGAAAAATGCATCTGATATTTAAAATCCTGAAAGTGGGTGAAAGTATCTGCAGGGATGTGTAAACTAACAAAAGTAGTCCCATGACATAGGGAAATGCATAGGTGAGCACACTCAGGATGCAAAACGAAGTAAACAGAGGCAGGTGTGGGTCCCAGAATCCAAATGAAGAAAGCATTTCAGGAAGGAGGAAATTAATTATGCCTAATTATGCAGGTACTATAGGCAAGTGACTTCAAAATGTTAAAGACTGAATTTGAGGTAGCCACAAGAATACCATTGTTGACCACAGAAAATAGTTGTTTAATGTAATTTCTAAAATATATATATGTACATAAATAAACAATAAAATATTGTATTTTAAGTTATAAAGCCCTGGTTTAGAACATCCCCATTGTTCCTTCCTAGTCCCAGGGAGGAAGTGCCAGATCTTGAAAACACCAGACTGCAAAACATCCAATACTGCAAATTCATACCCTCCCTGACCACAACTTCAATGATTCCAGGTCATTTGCTTAAATATCCCACCTTTCAGAGTTCCTACATCTAACAAAGTGATTCTAGCTTGACCATCTCAAACAGTGTGTTTTTGTGAACCAGCATTAAAGATACTATCTTATAAATACCCCAACTCTCTGAACAGTCTCTCCTTCCTTTGTTTAATGCTTGCTTGGCAAAGCTCCATCCTTAGATAAAAACAGTTACTTAGCTTCACATGCCTGTATCTGGAAATCTTGTTATATTTTTAACAAGCTGCTTTCCCACTGTCCAATACTTTTTCATACCTCTTCTCTCCTCAAGCTTCTGACCTTCCACCTCCACCTTGGTCTTAGTGGAAGACCTTGTCTAGCACTTCAGGAAGAAAAGGAAACACTTATAATGATGACACATTTAAAACATTTGAAGCACCTTAATCTCCCAGTAACTATTAATCATTATTATTATTAACCAAGTGTGGGATGATTAAAAGAGAAGAGATGTTTCCACAGTCGGGGGAGAGCAGAGGGCCAAAAGGGCCGTTGGAGAACAGAGGCCAGATGGATCCCAGATCCTGACCCTGAACTACCTTTGGATGCAGTTGTATTTATAAGATGCTCCCATTTGAGAAGGTTGTGTGTGAAGACATGAAATGGAGGGCACGTTGGAGAGGTGGAAGGGGAAGGGTCCCTGTGTAGCAGACAGCAGAGACTCAATGGGATGCAGTGGAATGGCTTGAAAATGAGAAGTGTGAGGAACATTAGGGGCTGAAAGCCCAGCATGGGGACACAAGAACAGCACAGGATAGGTGGCTGCATGGGCTGCTTACCTTAGAAGACGGCCAAGTACATCAGTCAGTTGCACAAAAGGATCAGTCCCTGCAGCTGTCTGATGAGTGGACTCTGACCTCCTATGGAAGACAGTTACCCCCCCTCTCTAGAATGGACTGAGTGCACCCGGAGGGGCTCCACAGTCCCCCTAAAAAAACAGTGTTTAGGCTTCCCCTTGTCTGCTTTTGTTGCTTTTTTAGGGATCTTTTTCTTCTTTGCCAGATGGATTCATCCTTCCTCTTCAAAAACCAGAAAAAACAATACCCTTGAGTGAAAATGTTTCTGAATCTCTAGACAGAGTTAGCAACTATATTATAGCACTTACCAATTGCAATGCAGGGAATTACTCACTGTCTTTTCCTCCAAGTATACACTAAGTTTATCAGAGGTAGACACTGCTTTATTAGATATTGATATGTTCTCACTCCTCATTGCTTAGCACATTTCCCTATCCACGATTGGTATTCAGTCTTATTTCTTGAATGAAGATGTCAACTGCATGTGTGTTTGTCTTCTCCACTAGAGTGTGAGCTCAATGGTATAAGGAGCTTTATCTTATGCATTCATTCATCACAGCTCTCGAGCATTTCTGACACACAGTAGGTGCTCAATAAATGTTTGGAGAATATCATCTTGTGGCTGTATTATTTTCCCCTCTCATCCACAATCATGGTTTGACTTTGATAAGTGACAAGACGAGAACTGATTTTGGTATAAATGTTTCTCTACCAAAATATCACAAGTTCTCCTCCAAATATATACAGCCTAAGAAGAAATATCAGAAAAAAAAGCAAATCCCATTTGTATTCAGAAATGGTGCAACCTTCCCATCTAGCCTGGACTCACACGACTGAGCTGGAATAAGGTTTTGGAATCTAGAAGCTGTGTTCACTCAGTATTCAGGTGGCGTTCACAGAGAGATGCAACAGAAATGATAGAATTTCCATGGTCTCTGAATCCTGCTACCTTTACTGTTTTCAGTCTCATAGAGATTCATAATTACAAGAAAGATTCATACTGCCTTTTATTTTCTTTTCCTTTAGATTAAAATTATCTTGATTATTAAATGCTATATTTACATTTCCAAGTATATCATAAATTCCCAAGAAGTGATTTTTTTTATTTCTTTACCTAAGAGTAATTTTAAGCTTAAAATCCTTTTAATCCAGCTCAGCGGAAATTCTTGGAGCCTTGACTCTGAGCCAAGTGCTGTATAAAAGACCGTGGGGAGCATCATTGGGGTGTATTGTGTGTGGGGTGGCAGGGGCATGGAGGGTGAAGGTGTTACCCTCTCCCACCCCTGAAAAATGCACTGAAGCAAATAAAAATATTTTACGGCAAAATATATGTTTTTGACACATTTTGAGTTGGCTGTTCAGAGAGCCAGCAAACAGAAGTAGGCTTGCAAAGCTGTCTTTTGTGGGAGAGATTTGCATCTATAGAGAATCTGCATTGACGCTGTCAGGCCTTCCCTTGTCCAGATCTAGGAAAGATTAACTGAGAATCTGATACCTCTAAGGGACTGAAAGAAATATTTCCCATCTATACTCTCTGACAACTGCTACCTGTGAGGTTTCATTTATATAAGAAGACCACCTTTGTTAGCCAAGCCTCCTCTTCTCTCCTCCCACAGCTTCTCTTGACAATCACCTGATTTACCACCATAACTTGCTTTTGGCTACTCTCGGCCTTTATTCTTTCTGTAACCTCAAGATGACATATAAGCTTCTACATCCATTGAGAGGGGGGTCAGGTAATCACTCGTGACTCTCCCTGTGTACACGTTAATAAATTGTATGTCATTTCTCTGACTATTCTGCCTTTTATGAGTTGATTTTTCAGTGAAACTTTGATGGGTGAAAGGGAACCTTTCTTTTCACCCCTACACACTTAAGCCTTAATAAGGCAGACTCTGGCAGGGAAACATATTATCATGTCCTGTCCTCACTGGGCATAAGAATCTTGACCCAAATTATCTGGTGTGGCTCACTTAGTGTAGGTATTTCCTAAAGGAATGTTCTTCAGAACACAACCCTTTAAGATGCTCATAGAAAACAGTAGGTAGAGGGGGCAGGGCTTCATGTGTTTGCAAATGCTGGAGATAACTTCCTCCTAAAAAGATTTTTTTAATGTCTCATGGAATTCTATTGTACATGTTTTGGGAAATGTTAATCTAAAGTAATATCTGAAAACCTTTTTACTGTAAAAGGTTGTATTATTAATGTAAAATAATAATTTAAATTACTGAATTTGTTAAATTGTTGGATCTGCTTTCTGAGTTGACCTCCAGTTAGAGTCCTGTCTATACCCAGTGAGGTAGCAATGGCCAAACAGAGGGTTCAGATAGCAACCTCTTTATGATGGATTTGAACCAGTATGGCCAAGACAATCGTTTCTCTTCTGGACTAGTGTGGAACTTTGGCTCTATGTACCATATTAGCTGTATCTGGGTGGCATGGGCTGTTCTTTGATGGCTACTTTTTTATTGAGGGTCTATATTAGTAGTAAAACTTAGTCTTTACTTATGCACTTTCTCAAAGTTGATCCCTTATGGTTTGTCTTGATGCAGATTCTCACAGGGAGAATCACAGAGTGATTACCTGACCTCCCAATGGATGTAGAAGCTTATATGTCACCTTGAGGTTACAGAAAATCTTGATGCAGATTTAAGAAAAAGCTACAGCCTGGGCTTAAGCCCGTGGATATGGGATTCAAGTCATGCTAGAGAGCTGGTCTAGTGAGAAGAGTCTGAACATAGTGCTTCTTAGTGGAGTTCAAGTAGAGGGCAATGAACAGTCTTGGAGTTAACTGATGAGCAAGGAATTGTTCTGGGCATATCATGCAGATGGCTGTAAAATCTTTCTTGACTTTTAGTCATGAGTAACTACTAGAAGGTATGGAAATCATGGTCATGAATGACAATTGCATTGCATCTTTGAGACCACCTGGATTCTGTTGGCCTTGGTGTTAGAGACTACAACACTGAGAATAGAATCCTTTAGCAAAACAACAACCTATTCTGGGCTAGAGTAAAATATACAGTATAGACCCCTTTCTGACTTAAGTTATTAAACTTGAGGTTCTTTAATTATCTGGAAAGAAAAATTTCTGTAGGAAAATAGCTTTTCTGTGATTCAGGGACCATATTATTATATAGTATAAACTTTATATGTTTTCTCAAAGGAGAGACTTTTTAACTAGATTTGATACTGAAAATGGTGCAATCCTGATTGTAGCTTATGAATGTGTTGTATTTCTCTGGAGGAGTCAATGGGTTTTTTTTTTTTTTGGTTGTTTTTGTTGGTTTATTTGTTCTTTCTCAGTTGAGTTATTGTGCTGTGGTGGCTAGGTTTTCTTTAGAATGCTTGCATGTTATTGATTTTAATCAACTTCATCTAACAAAAACCACATGCACAAATCTTTTTGAGATACAGGTTTTACTCCATATACTCATCTCTATTGTGAGTATAATTAAAGTTATTTGAGGCCACACCCTTAGTCTTCTTTCTAGGAAACATCTTATTCCACTGAAAGAATCTGCCTGGCACTACCTTAATCCTTTTAGGGATATTTTTACAGTTTATCTTTTCACAGCCTTGTTTTAATAACTTCAGTTTTTATTTTAGATACATAGGGTCCAAGTGCAGGTTTGTTACGTGAGTATATTGCTCTTAGGGATCTTGATAAGTGGTATGATAGCCACACTCTGGTTTGAAGCTTGCCTCAAGACTGAGTCTTAGTGGCCTTTCTAACTCAAAGGTTTTCTTAATTTTTAACTTTACTGTAGAGGATTAAAAAAAAGTTTCATTTTCAACCTCTTTAAACTCCAGCATTTTGGATAACTCCACATTCTTTTGCATTTCTGCTTGCAAACTAATTAGTTCATTTCTGAGCTCATCCCTTTCTCAAAGCACACAGTCAAATGCAGGTGGAAAGAACCAGTTCACACTATCAACATTCTGCCTCAAAAACTCCTTGCCCAAATCTGTTGCGTATGTATTTTTTTCTTGCTATCTATGTTGCTTCAGGTGACAGATTTACCAATTTTTTTCCAGCATATTACATAGGTTTTCATTTTTTAAAATTCAATCTCCTATTTTGGTTTCCTAGTTGGTTTCTGTAAAGTTTCAAAATAGTGTCACATTTTAAAGATTTTATTATAGCCAGTATCCTTATAATAATATTGTTCTTGCTCAAGAGTCAGGTTTTCTTAAGTGACTCTGCTTCAAGTTGTGGTTTGGGTTCATTTCTGATCCAAATGTCTCTCTTTATAGGTCCACTGGGTATCCAGGACACACATTTTCTATAGTGGACAGGAGATGCTCAGAATAAGTGAGAGGGAATGTTCAGTGTCTATTAAGGCCACAGCTCATCACAGAAACCATGCCATTTTCTCCCATATATTATTTGTAAAACTAGTTATCTGGACAAGCCCGCATAAATGGGATGGGGAAGTATTCTTTGCTCATGATGGACCACAGCAAAGAAAGGAAGAATGTCAGCAACTCACAAAATTTACTAGAGAGAAGATGGTCCAGGATATTACTCTCTGGAACATGCAGCTATTGAAGGTTTCAGGGAAAATAATCTTATGCACACCTATTGCTGCTAACGCTGCTGATGATCAACATTACCGTGGCAATTCAGTGAAAGAGCCCTAAATAATGTTGGCTTCTGAACACTTGCTTAGAATTGGCAGATTCTACTTTTTCTCTTTTCAAAAATTATGTTATACTTTGGTGCTTCCAAAATTTTTGAAACTTCCACATTTTCTCTAGATTTCACAAAATCACTGACAATGGATGGTGGTCATATAGGTGAATTTTTATTTATTTGTTTTATTTTTTATTTTTTAAGTATCCCAAACCACGGTCAATTCTTCTCAACTTTTTTATGTGTTGAAACTTCAAATTTTCAGATAAATTGAAAGCATGGTGCCCATGAGACTCTGATCGGGAAAACAGAGGTACACTCATTATTTTAGCAGAAAGAATTCAGCATAGGAGATATGTTCAACAGACACTGGAGGACTAAAACCTAGATGCACGGAAAAGGGGTCCACAGAGTTTATAGCCAGACTTCAAAAAGCAGAGCAGGTGCTGCCCAGCTGGAGCTAACACGCTGGGGGCTTGGAGGAGGCTCCTTGCGAAGACGGGGCAAAGGCAGGCTGGAAGATGGCAATGAGTCCGGTTCTTTGATTTGAATGTTTGAGAAAGGAAACTGGAACCAAGTGCTACTGGGAAACAACTGCCTATTAGGTTGAAGAATTGCTGGGGGGATGCTGCAGGAACAGCAAGTAGACAGAAGGCTTCACTTTGCTTCTCCCTCTTGCAGCCTTCAGTCTCTCTTCTGCCACCGTAGCACAGGAGCCTAATGTGAGGACAGCTGGCTAAGGAGAAATAGGGTTTCCTGAGTTTCATCCCAAGCATCATAAACAACAAACAAAGATGTGGTGTTGGGATCCAATAACAAATACCTATATGCTCTTTACTTATTTTATCAGTTGATAAAATTTTGTGTCATTGGTTTATCTGTTTATCAACTTTTTGGGGGGAGGAATTTTAAAGTGATGATACCAACAAAAAAAAAAAAAAAAAAGAAGAAGAAGAAAGTGATGATACGTCTTCCCCAAGTACTTTAACAGGTGCCCTGCAAATGACACAACATCACTAGCACATATGAAAACAATAACAAAAAGTCAATACTTCTGTCGTAATACAGTCTATACTAAAACATCTTCAACTGTCCCCAAGATACCTCCCTTTTATAACTGTTTTTTGTCCCCTTGATTCAGGATCCAACCAAATTCTGTACATTGCATTGACTGTTAAGTTTTTTGAATCATCGAAATATTTTAAGTGGTATTAAAAATGTTAGAGTCTCGGTCATTTTTTTTTTTTTTTTTACAGAATGTTCCTCATTATGGATATTTAAAAAGTATTTTCTATGTGCAGAATTGGAAATGATACTACAAAGATAATGTTATATAATTTTATTTTAACATCAGAGGCAGATATTGTCAATTCGTCCCATTATTGGTAATATTTATTGGTAATACTAGGTTTGATCACTTAAGTGGTGATAGCCTGGCACCTTCATTTTAGAAATACATTTTCCCTTTTATAATTACTAATTAATACATGAGATGAAACTTCAAGATCATGTGATTATTGTATTTCCGAGCAACTTTTTATGAGTGACTTTAGTATCTCTCAATGATACTTGCCTGAATTAATTATTATCTTAGGGGTTGCAAAATAGTGATTTTTTCCTAAGCATTATTCTACATTTATGTGATGGCTAATTTTATGTGTCAACTTTGACTTGGCCGTGGAATGCCCAGATAGCTGATTGAACATTGTATCTGGGTGCATCTGTGAAGGTGTTTCAGGAGATGAGCATTGGGACCAGTGGACCAAATGAAGCAGACCTCCTCCCAATGTGAGTGGGCATCACCCAACCCACTGAGGGCCTGAATAGAGCAAAAAGGAAAGGAAGAGGCAGGTTAAATCCACTCCATCTGACTACATGAGTTGGGACATTAACCCTCTCCTGCCCCCAGTGCTCTTGGTTCTCAGGTTTCTAGACCCAAACTGGAACTGGAATCTATAATATCAGCTTTCTGAATCTTGGGCATGTGAACTACACCATTGGCTTTCTTGGGTCTCCAGCTTCCAGAGGGCAAATCAGCCTCCATAATATCATGAGCAAATAACTTATAAAAACCTCTTCATATATCACATATATTGTGTGTCTATATATATGAAGTAGAAAATATATATTTATAAATATATATTATATATGTATGATATATAATATATGTATGATATATAATATATGTATGATTCATAATATATTATATACATATATTATATAGTATATAATATATAATATACGTACTATATAATATACATATATAAAATATAAATATTTATAAATATATAATATATATTTATAAACCTGAATATATGATATATAAATATATTATATATGATATAATACATTTATAAACATGTAATATGTAATATATTTATAAATATATAATATAGCATATGTATAATATATATTTTTATAAATATTATATATGTATATATTTCCTGCTGGTTCTGTTTCTCTAGTGAACTCTAATAGAACTTATGAGCTGACTTTCTTTCCATTTTTCTCCTCTTTATCCCTGTTTTCTACATAACAATAAGGACACATAGTTTTTTTTAATTCAACATGTTATAATCCATTTCCAAAATTAGTCTATTTGTGTCAAATTATGACAGATTTAGACAATAAGAGCTTTGTAAAGATGGCTCCTGTGTTTCACTCAAACTTCTGATTTTAGTTTCAATTTCAAGTCACTCAACTCACAGTGAAAATGTAGTTCTTTGAGCTACAGAGTGCAAAAGCAGAAGAAAGAAATCATACAAATAACACTTTTTCAGCATTTACAAATCCAAGCATTATCTCCTTAAAAAGCTAAGGGGCTAAGCAAAATTAAAAGGTGGGAAAGGGAACTATGACCCGAATCCCTAATTGTTCAGTACTGTTCTGTCTGCCTTGCCCATCATGAGTTGTCCTCTGCCTGTGAATATTCTAATGTTTCCAGGAATGTCACAAGAAAGAGAGTACAAGGTTGTTCAATGACACTGGCTGGGGGGATGTAGCAGGCTGGCAGGGAGTATAGCAGTTCTGAGCAGTCTTATGTTAGTGCAGGACCCAGGAGTTCCGGTACATCTCATTTTCTATTAGTTCAAAGTTACATCACTGAGTGACATCATTTGAGTTAAATTATTGAGAGTTACACTATTATTCTCTAATGTTCTCATGCTCACCATGTTTATATCTTCCTAGGTGAGGTGGCCATGCTTATTGGAATAGCTATTTCATTTGGGGTGATATATCCATGATTACAACCAAACAAGAGGAGGCATTCTTCATAATATTTTGAAATACACATAACACCCTGCTGTATCCCTTATTCATGGTCACCTAGGCTTTCAACACTTTTTTGCTTTTTGCCACATGATGTTGCAGATTTATTGAGCATTTCCACGTCTCAGATCTGGAATCGGCCATTTCTTAGAGAGGCCCGACTCCCTAGCATTTGGGAATTAAGATCTGAGAGCCATGTGTGTTCACTGCTTCTGTGTCATCATTGACTCTAGGCCCTTTCAGTAGAAAAGCAAGAAAATATTTGCATATTTAAACCATGAGATCATCCTGACATTTCTAATTCAAATTTTACCTGGCAGGATTTCCTTAGTTTAGTTTATTTGATATTTTTATTTTATTTTTCTTACAAGGAAAATATTGGGTTCTAATGATATCAAGGCACTTACTTATTTGCTTGTCTGTAGTAGAAGTAAACACTTTCACATTTTTAATATCAATATTAATACTAACAAGAAACTTACTAAATAAAGGTTCTGGTGGTTCTTTTTGTCCTTAAGCAATATCATACTAAAAGTGTATATTTGGAGTACTGCATTCAAAATTGTCTTGGATTATTTAGTTTCTCTGACTGGTTATGTCAAAAATTAAAATAGAGTTAGACTTTTACTAAAATAGAGTTAGGTTTTTATTTCTGTTTTTACTGAGTTTTCTATAACTCCATAACTATTTTTAGTCTAAAGATGTTTGCTTCTTTAAAAGTAGGGTATTGACTGGGCACAGTGGCTCATGCCTCTAATCCCAGCAGTTTGGGAGGCTTAAGCAGGAGCATGACTTGAGCCCAGGAGTTTGAGATCTGCCTGCGCAACATAGCGAGACTGTGTCTTTACAAATAATAATAATAAAAATATTGGCCAGGCATGGTGGCATACACTGAGGTGGGAGGATCACCTGCGTCCTGGCGGTTGAGGCTTCAGTAAGCCGTGATTGTGCCACTGCACTCCAGCCTGGGTGACAGAGCAAGACCTCATCTCAAAAAAACTAAATTAAATTAAAACAGAGGATTGTCCCTCCTAATCGCCTTCCATATCCTGTATTTTATTCTCTTTTACTTCTTTCATCCATTTATTCCAGTGAGAAAAATAATAATAACGATAGCACGTATTGAGTACTTACTGTAATTCATGTGTTCTTCATTCAATACTACTAAAAAAGTACATGTAAAGAATAACAATCACATGACAGATATGATTTTAAGTATACAGACATATTCCAAGTATACATGCTAGGAGCATAGTTTAAGAAGGGTTTTATGGTAAATGGCGGAACTTTGCCGTTTTTCAGCTTTTCAAGTTACTTACTTCATGTAAGTCTTTGGTTTTTTCATCTGCAAAATAGAGATGGTAAGACTTTATCTTCATGCAGGTTTAAATGAGTATAATTATCAAAGATTGAAAACTGAATATTTCAAAGATCTTTTCAAATATTGCACTTCTTGGTAAAAATCATAAAGATAGAACAAACGAAGATAAAGACAAATGTCAGTTTGGATTGGATCAACTACACCAGAGGCGCTGAATGAATAGACCTCCGGGGGGACATGGAGAACCCTGGCACATGATGCTCACTTGGCAACTGGGAAAATGACAACTATGTGCTAGGTGCTGACATATAGTTATCTGACATCATCATCATCACCCAAATCACTTTAAAATAAATATTAATTCATGGTTCAACAACCTGTAAATCTAAAGATAAGATTACACATTCCTCAGCCTGGTAGCAGAGCCTGAGGTCCTTCTACTAGAACCTTCCTTTTATAGCTAAAAGAATGCCTGGGGGCCATGGGCAATGCACGTGGTTTTCTAAGACATAATCATAAAACTATCTTTCCTGGTGAGGGGATTTGTACATTAGCAAATAAGAGAATTACATTCACTGCAAACTCGCAACTTTTGCCTAAGTAGAAATGACCAGAGAATAAGCATCCACATTTGGAAAACTGAATAATAAAAATTGCCCTTTGTTCTGGGCCTAATCCTGCAGTGTACATGGATTCTCTGCCAGGTTTTTCAGAATGATCAGGGAAAGTTGAAAACAGAACCACTTAATTCATTTAAAGATCAAAAGGGTGTGCATATGATATGATTTCATTAAGAATTAAATAATCCACATGGTTTCAAGGTTAATGAGAAAAAACTACCCAACATATCTGCTTAAAATTCCCAGAAGGCATTTGAATGAGGAATAAAGGCCTTTAACTAAGAACAGACTCTACTAGGTTTAATAAGAAGTGATTTCCCCTAATTGCAATTTCCTTGAAAAAGATATTCAAGGCCTCAGAGTTTGACAAATTGTAGCAAAGGATTGGTGTAGGAGATTCAACTGGACAAAAAAATGGGAGTTTTGAATTCAGCAAGCTCTATGATCTCTTGAATAGAGCCTACCAATTTTACTCTGTGCAGTGCAGGCCCTTGAAAATATCAAATAAAGTTGAAGAGCAAAATGTGTGGAAATTACTTAATTTGTTGATTGCAATGGTTTTTCCCATTAGGACTATTACTCAAGAGTGAGGTTAATGACCCTGCAGGAGCCAGGAAGAAGCAAGAGAAATCTCAGGGAGCTCAGAACACAAAGCCTGATGATGAGAAAAAAATGTTAAGAGAGCAGCACCCAGCTCAAAGGTGGAGACATCGTGACAAAATGAACTCAGGAGCAAATACAGGGATTTTGCTCTCACTGTGAGCAGCATGGAGGCCCTCATTCTGAGCCCTAACTCCTTGAGGGAAATAGAGAATCGAATAAATCTCAGTCTGGAGTCATGGATTTATTTTTTCTTATTCCAGTTAAGAAAATCATTGGATTTTTAACATTTTGGGCTCAAGGTCTCACTCTGAAAATCTAATGAAAAGTCATGATCATGCCACCAAAAAAATGCACATAAGCATACTCTAGCAAAATTTTGCTTGTAATTTCAGGTATATGTAATCTAAAAGCTTTCCTTCCTACTGGTTAAGAACTTCCACTTTATAGGGCCAATAAAAGCAGGTAACTCCATTCTAGGGACTTACCCTGTGACACTCTTTGACAAAAATCATCTAATTGAATCCTCATCACAACCACATAACATGGGAATCTATATCTCTATTATCTAGGAGAAACAAAGTGCAAAGAATTTCAGTCATCTAGAAAGCAAGGGTGACTGTTAAGAAGTATGAGGCAGAGACATTATTGGACTGCTTGGCACCCCTGTGGCCCCCGCTCGTTTTTATAGCTTCATGGAGTTAGAGACAGCTTAGAGACCAGTTCTGTCCAATGGCTTGAGAGCAAAAGCAGAGTGTGCCATTTCTGGACCACGGTTAGAATCAGTTTGTGACTCACTAGCTTTCCTCCCCTACCCTGCTGACCATGGAAGCTTCATGTTAAGATGGAAGACAGTTTTGCTGCTGCTAAGAAATGCAAATCCTAATTGCCGATGATGTAAAACCACAGGTTTATTTCTTTCTCACTCTACCTGTACAAGAAAGGGTTGCTGGGGACTGTGCTCACTGTAGTTACTCAAGTACCCAGGCTGGTGGTGGTCCATTGCATAAGTGCCCACGATTGCTGAGATGGGAAATAAAATGTTGGATTGTATACTCCATAATTCAACAACTCTTGGTCTGCCTCTCAGAAATGATAAACATTAATTCCCCTCTCATTTCATTGGCAAAGATATTCACTTGCCCACTGTGATGGCTAGTATTCAATTAAACACCAAACTATGTGGCTGTGAAGTTATTTTGTATATTTGATTCATATATAGAATCAGTTGACTTTAACTAAAGGCGGTTATTCCTGATCATCTGGGTGGGTAGGCTTAGTGTAACCAGTGACAAGCCTTTAAGAGCCAAACTGGGGTTTCCCTGAGAAAGAAGGAATTCTGCCTCAAGATTGTGGCATGAGCTGTTGCCGAAGGGTTCGTAGCTTGCCCATCTGCTGTACAAATTTTGGACTTAAAAACCCCAACAATGATGTAAGCCAATCCCTTGAAATAAATAAATACATATAAATGTAAGTAGATATCCTAAGGGTTCTATTTCTCTGGAGAATCCTGACATACACAGCCACACTAAACTTCAGTGGGGCATATCTACTGGGCCTGGAAGTGGAAAATCTCTGATCAGCTCTAAAGAACACCAGAATGTCTGAGTCATTATCTTCCAGAAACTACTTGAGTTGCATTGGGTTCTGTGTGAAAGAAAAATAAGTTTACGATAAAACAAGGCTGAAATATTTTTATTTTTTTGTTTAATTTTTTAGAAACTGTATTGACATTTCTTCAAAGGGTATAAAATTAAAAAATAATCACTGGGTATACTTTTAAGAAATAAATACATCCATGTAACCAGTATACAGATTAAGGAAGTAAATATAGCCAACACCCTCAAGAAATCACCTTTCTTTCTATTAAGCTGCTGGATTTTTAAGCTGAATTTTTCTTCACACATATCTTAGCCTATCTTATCTAACGTACAATCCAAATTGAACTTAGTGTACTTTATTTGTTTTCAAAGCCAACAAAATTTTTCCCACAAAGAGTACTGCTAGGGTCTCTTCCCAGCACAGCACATATATACATAACACATTATTGTTATTGCTAATTAATATTTATCAAATACTTAGAAGCCAGGTGCTGTGAGCATTTTACTTAATGATAACATAGATAACAATGGTGAAAATATCTCCCAGTCACTGGGCTAATTATCATAGTTTGTGTTAACATTTCTAAAAAGAAAAATCTTGAAGTTAATGCTATCTACTTTACAGATGGGAAAACTGAGGAGGTCACCTGACTTGATAAAGCGAATCTTCAAAGAGAGGATGATCTAACCCTGTAGCATATGCTCTGAGCCACTATTTTGTACCTTTTCTTGTAGTCGGGACTCTGCACCATGCTGTGCAAAAATGTAGACTGCTGTGCTGGGGGTTTGGGTCCAAGCTGGGAGGCTTTTGTTAGCCCATGAATGACAGGGAGTCCTTAACAAATTCCTCTCCCTTCTGGCCTCTGATTCTTCTCCTTCTGGATCTGTGTAGGCAGATTCAACCTTGACTAGTGATGCCCAATGTCAGGTCCCTGGACACTTAGGGTCAGCAAAGCTGGAATTTGTGAGCTGCTTTTCCCCAGCTGTTATTAAAAGTTTCAAAAAACATAAAAATTTGAAGAATATTTTAACAGACATCTGTACACTCTCCTCCTGCATTTGTGAACATTTTGTCATATTTGCTTCCATCTCTCTGTTTCTCTTTCTTTCTCTCTCTCTCACACACCCACATATGCACACACACACATGGAGATACACACACACATATTTTAGACATCTCTCATGTAAACCTTGCACATTTAAGCATCTACCTCTTATCTCTCAAGGACAGCCTCCTTCATAACCACAATTACTATTAGCAGCCCTGGAAAAATTGGCAATAATTTAAAAATATCACCTAGTATCTCCTTCTTGTTAAAATTTTACTAATTATTCCAAAGATATATTTTATAGCTTTTATTGTTTTGAATCAGAATCCCATCAGGGTATGGGATCTCATTTGGTTCTTATGCCATTTCAGTCTCTTATAGTCTAGAAATACCCTATCGAATATAATTCTTTAGTATCACTAGCTATACTTCAAGTGCTTAATAGCCACATGTGGCTAATGGTTACTATATTGTACACCAAAGATAAAAAATATATTCACTATTACTTGAAGTTTTAATGGACAGGCCTGAGTTGGAACAATTCCTGCATATTTTCTTTTCATGATATTGGCTTTTGGAAGAGCCCAAGAGACCTGTTTTCAGGAACAGAAAACCAAACACCACATGTTCTCACTCGTAAGTGGGAATTGAACAATGAGAACACATGGACACAGGGAGGGGAACAATACATACCAGGGCTAGTCGGAGGGTGGGGGGCGTGGGGAGGGACAGCATTAAGACAAATAGCTAATGCATGTGGGACTTAAAACCTAGGCGATGGGTTGATAGGTGCAGCAAACCACCATGGCACACATTTACCTATGTAACAAACCTACACATTCTGCACTTGTATCCTGGAACTTATAGTAAAATAAAAAATAATCTAAAAAAACAGTGCTGTTTTACAGAATTCCCACATTCTGACTTTGTCTGATCAGTACTTCTTGGTATCTCAGAAATGAAATTTAGATCTAAATCTTGATTAGATTGAGATTAAACGTTTTTGACATGAATAATACACAGACAATGTTATATTTCCCAAGGTATCACATCAGAAAGCTCATAGTATCAGGTTGTATTACTGTTGCCAATATTATACTTTATTCCTTGGTTACGATCATGATATCTCTCCATTGTTAAGCTGTTTCTCCTTTGTAACTACTAAGTAATCTGTGAGGAGATATTTTGGTACCATGCAAAGTCCCTATTTTTCTAAGCAGATATTGGCCATGCTTTCTGTATCCATTGATGATTCTTGCCTGAATCAATTATCATCTATTGAGGACTGAAAAATTATTTTTCTAGTTACAATTCTATCATTCTTTATATGTTCATTAACTGACATTATTTTGTAAAGGGAATATCTTTTTTCTCTATTTTTTCTTTCTTTTTCTTTTTTCTTTGTTGGAATGCAACTATGAACTCATAGAATTTTACTTATTTCAATGACTTAAATCAGGTAGTGTCTCTCTCTCTTATTTTACTCTCACAGCTTCTAAATTTGGCTAGTGAGAGCTCCTTTGAGCTGGCTACTCCGTCATTTTGTCATGACCATGTCAACCTTCAAAAACTTTCTTTTTTTTCTGACACATCAAAATTTCTCAAGTTCATCTTGAGATGTACTTTCTCTGGCTTAGGCCTGGAGCAGTCATTTCTCCAAGGAACCCTGGTTGTCTCTTTACTGGGGAATGGTATTCGGCAGTCAACATGTGTGTGACCACTTAGTTGTCTGTGACCTATTTTAATATTTTAAAAATCTAGCTGTTAATTAAACAGCAAACCTCTTTACTTTCAAATGAAATTATATCAGTTTTGTAAAAAAGTAATGGGTTGATGATTCTAAACTGATTAGAAACTCTGAAGAGTATTTCCACTGACGTAGTTTAATTTATAAGGGGAAACGAGACATTTCACCACTGCAGTAGAAAAAAATCTCAATCCCTTTCCTGTTCTTCCTCTCTATTTAAAAGAGCAATGCCCAATTTCTAGCCATCTTTAATGACGTTTTAAACTGTGATTCATCTTAGTACTAATAGTGTAGCAAGATTATAGTTAATAATTTTGAAGCTTCCAGCTAAGAAAATGTCCTGGAGGGACATTGGTATTCCAGATTCTGAGGCTATTTAGTTCTCATGTAAAGGGATCATCTATTATCGTAGAATGCAGGTCAGTAAAACAAATTTGACAGAATATTTAGGAAAGAACTTCTTCTGGTGAATTTTATACATTTTATATATATATATATACACACACTGTATTTTATATATAGTGTATATATATTTTATATATCTAATAGTTCACCAAATATATATATATTATATATAATATATAGGCTAAATTTATATTGTATATATTTATATTATACAATATATATACTATATGTAGTCCACAAAATGTATATATATATACACATATATATATATAAACCTGTTTTATTTCTCTTTTCCCAAATGTTAAAAGCTTACCTTTAAAACTTTAAACATTGGGAGGCCTAGGTGGGCGGATCACGAGGTCAGGAGATTGAGACCATCCTGGCTAACACGATGAAACCCCGTCTCTACTAAAAATATAAAAAATTAGCTGGGCGTGGTGGTGGGCACCTGTAGTCCCAGCTACTCGGGAGGCTGAGGCAGGAGAATGGCGTGAACTCGGGAGGTGGAGCTTGCAGTGAGCCGAGATAGCGCCACTGCACTCTAGCCTGGGTGACAGAACGAGACTCTGTCTCAAAAACAAAACAAAACAAAACAAAACAAAAACTTTAAACAATCAATTATTTGTTACGTGCCAGGTGTTCGATAGAACACTTTTTACATATGTCATAGTTTCTTGATTTTAAGATGTCATCAATTATAATACACACCATAAATTATTGAGGACAAAAATGAAACATGTTATAAAATCTATAGTCTATTTTAATAACTGTCATGACCATGCATTTAACCATCTCTAATTTGTCAGAAACCAATTTATTCTTTAGTTTTTTAGTGAAGTTTGATTCAAATCTTTTCACAATAAAGGTAAAGATTCATTTGAATCACCTGTGGCTATTGGAAAACATTCACAGATTACTGACCACGGTGGTATACTGCTTTTCATAATTCATGCTATGACATGCTTTTCAACAACTGATAGACCAATGTCAAAGTATGTTGAGAAGCAACAGGGATTTGTTTGCATTTCCTGTTTGGTTAATCTTGGCATTTTGTTTCTAACCAGATTGAATTTCTTTAGGTAACATATTTTAATCAGTTTATTGAGATATAACTTACATATTGTAGCCATCTAAGTATGCACAACTCAAAGCATTTTGAAAGATGCATATGCAAAAGATAATGTTGCTACTATTGAAAGACAGAATATTTCATCGCCTTAAAAGTTTCTGTGTACACACTTTTAGTCCCTCAACTCCAGGAAACCACCAGTCTACTTTTTGACCCTGAGTTATCCAGAATTTTTGTATCTAGCTTCTTTTACCTCACATAATTATTTTGAGATTCATTTATATTGGTATATTCATTTCATTTATTTTTTACTGAGTTGTATTTCACTGATTGGAAACATATTATCTGGTCACCTGTTGATGCACATTAGGTTTGTTTCCAGGATTTTTGCTATTTTGAACAAAGCTACTATTAATATTTACATACAAGTCTTTGTGTTTTCATTTCCCTTGAGTAGATATCTAGAAATGGAATGACAAAGTCATGTGTTTAGTGTAAGTTAAACTTCATAAGAAACTGTCAGACAGGTTGCTCAAATTGTTGAAACATTTAATATGCCCCCCAGCAGTGTATGGAAAACCCAAGATGTCTTATTTATTGATTTCTAACTTAATTCCATTGTTGTCAGTGAACATACTTTTGATAACTAATATTGAGTATCAACTTGATTGAAAGATGCAAAGTATTGTTCCTACGTGTGTCTGCGAGGGTGTTGCCAAAGGGGATTGACATCTGAGTCAGTGGACTGGCAAAGGCAGACCCACCCTCAATCTGGGTGGGCACCACCTAATCAGCTGCCAGCTCTCCCAGAATAAAAAGCAGGCAGAAGAACATGGAAAGACTAGACTGGCTGAGTCTTCTGACCTCCATCTTTCTCTTGTGCTGAACGTTTCCTGCCCTCGAACATTGGACTCCAAGTTCTTCAGCTTTGGGACCCTTGGACCTTTGATCACAGACTGAAGGCTGCACTGTCGGCTTCCCTACTTTTGAGGTTTTGGGACTCGGACTGGCTACCTTGCTCCTCAGCTTGCAGACGGCCTATTGTGGGACCTCACCTTGTGGTCGTGTGTGTCAATAATCCTTAATAAACTCCCCTTTACATATACATCTATCCTATTAGTTCTGTCTCACTAGAGAACCCTGACTAATACAACACTCTTTATTATATCAATTTTTTCAATTTACTGACATTTGTTTTATAGCCCAGAATATGGGCTGTCTTGGTGCGAGTACCACATGCTCTTGAAAAGATGGTAGATTATGCAATTATTGGTAGTTTCTATGAATATCAATGCGGTCAAGATGGTCAATAGTATTATTCAAATCATCTATGTCTTTACTGAATTTCTTTCAGGTTGTTTTTCCAATTGCTGAGAGAGCTATAAAAATCCACTATGTGAAATCAACTATTCCTCCCTTTAATTCTATTTTTTGCTTCATATATTTTGAGGGTCTGCTGTCAGTGACAAACACACTTATGGTTTTATGTGTTTGTGATGAATTTTCATTTGACTAAATCATTATGTCATGTTGTCTAGTCAGTTTAGCCTGCGATAACAAAATACCAGAGGCTGTGTGGTTTACACAATGGAAATTTATTTCTCACAGTTCTGGAGGCTGGGAAGTCCAAGATCAAGAGCCAGCAGACCCTGTGTCTGCTGAGCGGCCACTTCCTGATTTGCAAATGGCCTTCTTTTCCTTGTATCCTCACGTGGCAGAGAGGAAAGAGAGATAAAGCTCTCATCTCCTCCTATAAGAGCATTAATCCCATTCATGAGGGCTCACTTCACCCTTATAACCTAATTACCTCCTAAAGACCCCACCCCCTAATACCATCAGATTAGACATTAGGTTATCAACGTCTAATTTTGGAGTGGAGGGCACAAACATTCAGTTTATAGCACATGCCCATGTTTACAGTATACTTTTCCTTGTCATCTAGTTTATCTAATATCACTATAGCCACTCTAATTTTCTCATTTCACTCTATTATGTGCATGGTACCTTTCCCATCCATTTACTTTCCATCCATATGTGTATAGTTATGCATCACTTAACAACGGGAATATGCTCAGAGAAATGCTTTATTAGGCAATTTAGTCCTTGTGCAAACATCATAGAGTGTACTTACACAAACCCACACACTCATTAGCCCAGGCTTACATGGGGTCAGGACCATCAATATCACTGCCTTTCATCTCCATATTTTGCCCCACTGGAAAGTTTTCAGGGGCAATCACACACATGGAGCTGTCACCTCTATGATAACAATGTCTTCTTCTGGAATGCTTACTGAAGGACCTGCCTGAGGCTGTTTTATCATTAACTTATTTTTTTGGTAGGTAAAACACAAGTTTAAAATTGTAAATACATAAACCAGTAACATAATTTCTAGTTATCATTAGAAAGTATTATGTACTGTATATAATTGTTTGTGCTAGATTTTTATATAACTGGCAGTGCAGTAGGTTTATTTACACCAGCATCACCACAAACACACAATAATGCATTCCACTCCCATATTACAATGGCTACAACATCACTAGGCAATAGAAAATCTTCGGCTCCATTAGTCTAATGGGACCACCATTGTATATGTGGTCCATCCTTGACTGAAATGTATTATGTATCACATGACTGTATTTATATTTGTATAGCATATATTGGGGTCTTGCCTTTTTATTCACTCTAATAATCTGTTTTTAATTGGAGTGTTTATTCCATTAGCATTTCATGTAATTATTTACATGGTTGGATGTTGGTCTACTATCTTATTTACTATTCTATTAATTATATTGTTTGTCCTCACTGCTTTTTGCTCCTCTGTTTTGCTTCCCTGCTTTCTTTTTATTAGTAAAATTTTGAGCAATTACATTTTACTGTATCTCTTGGCATTTTAGCTGCACCTCATTGTATTTTTAGTAGTGATATATGGATTGAAATATGCATGTCTATCCTTTCACAATCTGCTTAGATTTTATATTGTGCTAATTCACATAAAATGTGGAAACTTTGCAGCCAAAAAGGTCCAATTAGTCTTTCTCAACCATGCCATATGCTAAAGTTTTCATATGCATTATATCTCATTTTTTTGTAAAACCTACACAGCAATGCTGTGATTTTGCTTTAAACACTGATTTTTTAAACAAGTTTAATTTTAAAAAGTCTTTAATATTTATTCATGTATTGAGTATTTCTGACATACTTTTGTCATGAATGAGTTTTACCCTGATATTTGCCTTCAGCTTGAAGAACTACCTTAGCATTTCTTGTAGTGCAGCTCTGCTGGCAACAAATTGTATTGTTGTTTTTAACTGAAAATATCTTTATTTGTCTTTATTCATTTGCAAGATACAGAACTCTTGGTTGAAAGTTTGTGTTTGTTTAGTTTCTGCCAACACTTTACAGATATTTTTTCAATGCTTCTGACTTCTATAGTGATGAAAAATACTTGGTAATTTCAAATTGTTTCTCCTCTTTATTTAATATGTAGTTTTTCATATTATTCCAAAATTTTTGACCTTCATCATTTCTGACAAGAACCCTTGGTAATTAAAATTGTTGCTCTTCTCCATGTAACATGAACTATTTCTCTGATTGCTTTAAAGTCATTCTCTTTATCTTTGATTTTCAGTTGTTTGGTGCTGATGTTCTTACCCATGCTTTTCTTCATATTTGTCCTCTTTTCAACATATTGAGTTTCTTGAAATTAGGAAAATTTTTGGCCATTATTTTTTCAAATATTTTCCTGTCCCATTCTGTCTCTTCTCTCTTTCTGAGACCACAACCACGTATATGTTAAACATTTTAATATTGTACCACTGGTTCCTGAGGCGCTCTCTTTCTCTCTCTCTCTCTCTCTCTTCCAATGTTTAGTCTATCTCTAGTTCAGATTGGATAATTCCTACTGATCCATCTTCAAATTCATTGACTATTCTCTGCAATTACAATTCTGCAATTACACCCATCCCTCTTTTCAAAATATTTCAGATATTATTTCTTTGGATTCTAAGATTTAATTTTGGTTATTTTTCATATCTTCTATTTCTATTCTAAGATATCCTATATTTTCACTTAAAATTAACTTTCTTCCTTAATTTCATTGAGCACATTTAGAGTTACTATTTTAAAGTGCTTGACTGCTAGTTTCAGCATTTGTATAATCTCAAGATTTCGCCTCTGTTAACTGTCCTTTCCCTAGAGACTGATCACATTTTTCCGATTCTTCTTAAGTCTGGCAATATTAGATTGCATCCTGAGTATGGAGAATGTTTTGTCAGTGACATCGTGGATTTATTACTTTCCTCTGGAGAATGTGATGTCTTTGTTTTAGCTGACAATTTAGTTGGCTAGACTCAAACTGCGGTCTTGTCTCACACGTGGTGAGCAGCGGCTCAAATCACAGTTTGTTTCTTTATCTTTTAATGGAATTAATTTCAGTTTGTTTAGGGGTCAGCTAGATTCTTAGAATTTGCATGCAGAAACTAGGGCTTTCCTTCTCTTACTTTCTCCCTTCTGGGATTCTCCTCACCTTCTGCTGGTTATGGTTACCCTGGACTCCCTTGTTTTATTCCTCAGACCAGAAAGTCAGTGAGTTTTCCATTGGAGCTTGAGTCATCCCATGCCATGCTGGAATGCAATAACCCTCTGGCAAAATCTGCAAAAACACAGAACTCAAATCATGTTTTCCCACATTCATCATGTCAATTCCGCTCCAAAATCATTCTGCCTTTGATTTCTATTCGGAGTCTTGTGGAAGTTGTTCTGTACATTTTCCTCATACATGTTGATCTGCTAGAAGCTTACCCCACCGTATCAGAAGTGGAACCTTTTTAGCTGAAAATTGTATACTGGGCGTTACATAGTTTCTAGTGGAAGTCAATGCGAGAACAACCTGTTAAAGTTGGCCTTGAATTGTCAGTGAAAAGACAAAGAAGAGAATAGTTTTAATAGGAAGAGACCAGAGAGACCAGAGACCAGAGCTGGTAAGACAAGCTGGGAGGCTTTCACAGAAGTTATGTCGTGAGAAGATAAGTGCTTGAGACTGATGAGAGGAGGCAGATTTTAAAGATATTTAAGAAGTAAAATTGACAGAGCTCGATGTGCTAGCGTTTGGCGAGTGAAAGAGAGGGATATATGAGAATGGGTCTCAGTGTTTTGTTTGGATGAGTGACGACATAGATTGATATGAAAGAAGCAGGAACAGCATTTTGTCAAGGGAAGAAAGTGGGTAGAAGGAGTCCAGTTTTGGAAATTCTGAGTTTGAGAAGCTTGTGGACAACCAAAATGAATATGATTATTATATGCAATTTGATGTATGGGTTTGGGTTTGGACCTTTAGCAAGGAAATCAAGATTCAAGCGTGTTTGGCATATGTGTGGCAGTGAAGCTCTGGAAGTCAGTGGTCCTTTTTTCTTGTGGGCAGAGGCAGCTGATGGAGCCTTGTGGGGAAAAAGTTGAAGGGACCTCATGGTGAGCTTCATCTGGTTGAGCAGAGGGCAGCCTGGATTGATTGGCCAGGGTGCTTGAGAGTTGGTAGGCCAAATAATGAACCTGTTTCAGCAATTCAAGCATGATGGCCTCTGAGATAAATAAAGAGGGTGGAAGGATGGCTAGAGAGTGAGACTTTCTGGACATTTAAAGCCAACTGAATGTGTTAAATACTTGCATATCTTCTTAATGCGTGTTATTCTGGTCCTGAATGAAAAGCAAACAAAAAACAAGGTTTCCCACAAATGTCTCACCTCTCACCTGCAGCCAGTCCCCCATCCTGCATGCAGCATTTCTGATCTGGTGGCAGAGAAGGAGTTCATGGTCCCATCATGTTGATAGAGATCAAGGCTGGATAGAACAATGATTAAACTCATGGTGCGACTATGAATTTCAAAGCAAAGGCTTAGGGAAACACAGTAAACCTCCAGTGATCACGTTCTGCCCTAGAAAGTCTTAAATTATTTACTCTTTTTATCACTTGCAAGTTCTTTTCTCTGCTATCCCACTGGACTATTTCTCTCCTCTGAGTCCTTTAGAGCCTTGCTTTCATCACTTGTAACATTTAAAGTAATCCCTTAGACTTTGGACCTGTCAGTTATTTACAGGCAAATGGCAGAGCTGCCATGTGAAGACTGCAGATACAGAATGCTTCCAGACTCCTTTCTATTTTGCATTATTTATGTCACAATGAGCCTAGCTTTTCCTGAAATCCTCCCTCCTCACTCTCTTTTTATAGTCTCTGGAGCTCCGAAACTGAGTTCTGGAGGCAAGAATAGTTCTTATCAGAAGGCAAAAAGAAAAACAACTTCTTTGTAAGGAATAGGGCTATTTTTATTCATAGGCAAGTCCAAATAATGCGTTTCGGTTTTGTCTATGATATCCCATGACACAGTGAGCTGAAAACGTTTTTGTAAAATTCAAGACAGTTTGAGTGCATCCATACTTTGAAATAGGAGACATAGACTGTATTACCTGTAAAGTTGGCTTCTGTTGGATAATCGAACTCAGATTTAACTTACGGTATGTACACATGTATGTATGGATGCATGTTTGTATTATTAAACATGTATAATGCATACTAGGTGGCCAAGCCATCTTTTAAGTGATTTACAAATATTTACTTGTTTAATCCTTGTAGTAACTCCATGAGATTGATCTGTTTATAGTTCCATTTTATATATGAGCCTGCAGAGGCACAAAATTTTGAGGGACCAAGGGCATGATAAAGTAAATAGCTTCCTCAATGTTATGCAATCACAGGGGATGGGGCAGCATTTCAGTCCAGGTTTGGCTCTGAAGTCAGTGTTTTTAACTAGTGTGCTTCACTGCTTCTCTTAATTCTGAACCACCCCATCCTCACTACAAAAATGGAAAATTTCAACAATTGAATTCCAAGATGTTTTTCCCTATTTAAGGTTTATTATAGTGTCAGTCTCTTGAAAACCTTTGAAAACATCATGAAACCTTGATCACTTGTTTACCTAACAAATGAATGTTCTCATAGTTCAAATATTTTTAAATTAATAATATTCTGTTCATGCATTAGCGATTACGAAAACACACTGGTCTAATAGAAATGCCAATTATGTGTGAAATATAATGCAGAAACCTGGCCTTACACTTTTAGGCTTCCATTAAAAATTCCATATGCACAGAAAAGCATTTTCTTCCAGTGTACATGATGGTCAGTGGCGATTTCGAGTGTTTTTTTCTCCCCAGTACCTAGGATCGTGTGGCAGATTAAAGAAAGCCACACATTCTTTGACACTCTTCCCAGTAAGAGAAGGAGTCCATGTTCTTTCCCTTGAGTTTGGGTGGGTTCTGTAACTGCCTTGATCGATACAACTTGGAATAGTGACACTAAATCAGTCTCTGTGTCAAGGCTGTAAGAACCTGGAAGCTTCTACATCCTATATTGATATACTCACTAGAAGAATCCAGATGTGATGCAGGCACCAGATCCAGGTGGTGGAAGATCATTCAGAGAGGAACCATAGCTCCCAGCCCAGAGCCCTGGTTGAGCTTCCATCAGATCCATCATCAGCACTGACTTGCCAGCCACATCACTGAGCTGTCCCAGTTAATGCTGTGTGAGATGGATAAGCCATTCCCAATGGGCCTTACATATATGTCATCTTCAGCAAAACAAATTATTTTTGTTTTAAGATGCTAATTTTTGGGGGGTAATTTTTAATGTAGCAGTAGGCAAAACAGGCAGAGTGTAGGTAAGTTGCAAGGGCTACATTAATGTAAGTGTGTCAGTTATAAATACTATAGGCAGGGTACCATCCAGGTTTTGTGGGGCCTGAAGCTTATACAGTTAGGGGGAAGCATATTTAAAATTAATTCAAGAATTATGAAAAAAAATTAATTTTTTGAGTAAATATTTATTTAGAATGAGAAAATAAATTACAAAAAGATACCAAAAACTTAGAGATTCCAGTCCTTTTCTTCTGAGATTCCTTTAGTCAATTTGCTAGAAAGGCTACTGCTGGCCATGCTTCCTGACAGCCACTGAACATTGCTCCCCTATCTAGAGCATTCTATAACTCCCAGCAATTTCCACTACTCAGAGAAGCGTCATGCAGGTGGGGGCCCTGAGAGGCAGGTGGAGGTTAGCTTCTTGGTGAACCTGCCTTTGAACATGAGCAACCTCTACATTCTGCTTCCTCAGTGACTGATGCCTGTTACAGGCAGAATGTTCGTGTCTCACCAAAATTCCTCTGTTGAAGCCTTATCCCCCAATGTGATGATATTTGGAGATGGGGCTTTCGCAGGGCAATTAGGTTTAGATTAGGTCCTGAGGATAGGGCCTTCATGATGGGATCGATGTCCTTATAAGTGGAACATTAGAGAAAGTGGCCATCTACAAGCCAGAAGATGGCTCACATTAGGAGCCAAATCTGCTGGCACCTTGATCTTGGACTTCCCAGTCTCCCAGAATTGTGAGAAATAAATATCTATTGTTTAAGCCACCGATTTTATGTTTTAAAAATAGTAACCTGAGCATTCTAAGACAACACTCACCAAGATGAGGTAAAAATGATCATAAGAAACAGGTTATACAATACAAAAGCATATTTATTTTATCAAGGTAGGAGAGAGAAGAAGAAGAACAGGAAGAGGAGAGGAAGTGGAGAAGGAGCAGAAGGGGGAAGAGGAAGAAAATGAGCAGGGAGAGAATATTCTATCTGACAAGAAAAGCATTCTCATATAGTATCTGTCGGGTGTATAACTTAGCACAAACTTAATGAAAGTCAATAAGGCAAAATGTACCAAATGTTTACAAATATATAGGCACTTATAATGCAGAACATTTAAATTAAAATTCTCAAGCAAAATCTGCATGTAAGATATGGTTATTGTCTTGGGGTCCATCTACCAACCCTGATCAAGATATACATTTTAGTTTAGTTTTGTCTTAGTCCAGGCTGCTGTAACAAAAACCATAAACTGGGTGGCTTATAAATAACAGGCATTTATTTTTCACAGTTTTAGAGGCCGAAAGTCTGAGATCAGGGTGCCAGCATGGGCAGCTTCTGGTGGGGGCTCTCTTCCTGGATTGCAGATGAACATTCACCAGGTCCTCACAAGGCTGAGAGAGACAACAGCGTCTCTCTCACTCTTCCTCTTCTTATAGGGCCACAATCCTATGGGATAAGGACCTTACCCTTGTGGCCTCGTTTAACTTTAATTAACTCCTTAAAAGCCCTATCTTCAAATACAGTCATATAGGGGGTTAGGGCTTCCATATATGAATTTTTGAGGAACACAAACATTCTGTTCATAGCAAGTTTAGTTCGATTACTTTTTAAAGTTCTTTCACTGTGTCCTGCATCTCGCTTGGCTCTGGAGATGCAAACGTGACTCAAACTGAACCGTCTTTCTCTTTCATGTGGCAGTTTGAGCATGTCCTCCTGAAATACACATGAACATATATACTTCTGCTGATGTGATCTAGCCCTCTCCCCTACTCTGACACTCATACACAAATTTAACTCCACTAACAAAGAGAACCCATATAATTATATTAGCAGAGTGTTGTAGGTAAACAGAAGGGATTATCCACATCACACAGCAAAACTGTCCAACCATCTCCCTTAAACTTTCGCTCTTACCAACCATTCTGGCCACCCTCCCTCATCCTAATATGCTTTCTCCTTCTCCTCCTGTCTCTCGCTTGCTCTTTCTTTTTTTGTAGTCCTATTCAATTTTTCCATGTACTTTCTCTTTGACTAGACTCTCATTGTCAGCTCTGCATACAACTTTTCAGCTAACATTCTGAGTTGATTTTCTACTTTTGTAGAACTCATTTGCATTTGATCTACCACCTTGATCAGCAAAACAAAGGCTTCTTGTGCATGTGTGTGCATGTACATGTGTGAGAGAGAGAGGATCAGAGAGAGAGAAAAAGAGAGAAAGAGAGACCATGTCAGGTTTCTTTTGACTAGTGTTTGTCTATCGTTTTGTTATCCTTTGACTTTTAATCTATCTGTATTTCTCTACTTAAAATGTTTCCTTTAGACAGCATATAATTAGGTCTTTGCTGTTGTTGTTTGTGTGTGTGTGTGTGTGCGCGTGCGTGAATTCAATGTAACAAGACCATTGTTATTTAATGTAATTTTTTATATCATTGTGTTAAAACCTAGCATCCTGCTAACCGTTTCTGTTTGCTTGTCTATTATCTGTTTCTTTTTTCTTCTTTTTCTGCCTACCTTTGAATTCAAATGTTTTATTATTCCATTTTATCTCCACTATTGGCTTATTAGTTATATCTCATTTTGAGTTTTTAAGTGATTGCCACATGGTTAACAATATCTACATCTCTAACTTGTCACAGCCTATGTTCAAATAATATGGTACTGTTTCATGAACAGTATAAGAATTTTACAACTGTATATTTCTGATTCATCCCTTGCATCTTTTGCACTATTGCTATTATAAGTTTTACATTTACTACTAGGTAAAAACTATAATTTTTGTTTCAGACAGTAAATTTTTTAATTATTAAAAATAAAGAAATTTTTTAATATTTACCTTATAGCACTTATTTCTCTCTATAGATCCATGTTTCTTTCTATCAACATAAACTTTTGCCAGAAGAACTTCCTTTTGTTTTTCTTGTAATACTACTGGGAATGTAAGGTTATGTGAGTCTGAAAAATACTATCTAGATTCTTATATTGTTTTCACTTTTGGAAACATTTATGCTGACTATAGAAGCCCTCCCCAGAAGCTGATGCTAGTGCCATGCTTCTTGTACAGCCTGCAGAACTGTGAGCCAAACCTCTTTTTTTATAAATCACCCAGCCTAAGATATTCCTTTATAGCAACACACAAATGGACTAAGGCAGGTGGGACTGGGGTGCCAGAGTTTTCCTCGAAGCCCCTGCTCTACCTTCAGCTCTCTGATATTCTTGCTTGCCTGTGCCATGGAGGAGGTCACCCTATGCTCCTGCTCCTGCCCCAAACATACTGGCTGCTCCTTCTTAACCAATCTAGGTTCACGGTGGGTTTGTGGGGACAACTCTGTTATTTTGTGCCCTGTCAGTTTTACACTGATCCTTATTTCTTGGATTTTGAGGCTTTCTTAACATTCCTGTCTCTCCTCTCTATGGCATTAACACTTTGTCTAGTATCTGTTGTTGCTTTTGAGCTGGAGCTTCCTCCTGTCCCTTAAAATGATTTGCCTCTTTTCCCCTAGAAAAAAGTCCTCTAGGGTTTTTTTTTTTTCTTTTATCCTTCCTACATTGAAACTGGTTTTCGCTTGTACCTTGGGAATGATGTACTTTACTGCTCCTCCCCTAAGAGCACTGGGGTCCAGGAAATGGGTAGTGTTTTGTGAGTGGTCTCTCGTAGCAGTCAAGTACATCCTGCATGTGCATAACTGAAGAGGGTCCCTTCTGGTCTTCTGCTCTGCTCCTGGTCTTTCTGGTGAACAGCTTGGGGAGGCCATGGCAAGAAGGTTGGGAGTGAGTGCAAATTCTTCTTATGTCTGGACCTGCAGTTGCTCTGAACTGACACTTGACCTTTAAAAATTTGTTAAATTCTGGTCGTCGTCTTCTTACTTACTTGAACGGCAGTCACTTGTATCTCCGAGTTCTGTTACAAGAATTTGAGAGTTCTGTTACAAGAATTGAGAGAACAAGAATTTCATGTTGGAAAGGTGTGCCCTCATTTGGAATTCAGGGTATGTATTTGCCTTGCAACGTCAGTTCTCTGATGGCCTCAAGGAAAGTGACTGATTGTGACCAAACCAGCTACATGGTGGGAGTTACGCTCTTTAAACTTTTCTTCATCCCAAGTGGAAGCAGAATTCTATTCTTTTAGGAGACTAACAATAATATAAGACTCTGAAATGAAAGAGAGAGACAGGGCAAGGAAGGAAGGAAAGAAAAAAGGAAGGGAAAGAGGAAGAAAGGAAGGAAGGAAAGAAGGAAGGCGGGCTGTATATAGCACTTTATTATTCTTAATATGCAATGCCCACATCTTACATTACTAACCAAATTTTATTAAGCCCTCACTGAGCCAGGTACTTATTAAGCCAGGTCCTGCCTATTTTAAGCTTTCATATATGTAATCTCATTTAATTATCATGTCAATCTTATGCATACTAATACTACACTCATTTTACTAATATTTTACTCAGTTATAATACTCATTTTCTAAATCCTGAGACTTAGAAAGCTTAATTTGCTCACGATTATACAACTAGGCTTTTTGTCAGTAGTACTAAGCTTGTTCCTTTTTACGTAAGCTGTCTAAACATGTTTGTGGTATCTATAGATATTATTTCTTTAATTTACAGATGAAGACGCTGAGGTTAAGAAACAAGTGACTGCTATGAGATCATAAAGAAAATGCATAAGTGGTGGAAACAATTAGAAAATAGGTGTTTTGATTTTAAGTTGCAAGTGCTCTCCATTCCACAAAGATATTGGAAATGGCTTGAAGGAGGGTCCATGGAGTATCTTCTCTAAATTCTCCACAGCACTTTATACAGCTCCAAATGCATAATGAAACTTAAATAAATCTTACTGAATTAAAAAGAAGGAAAAAACATGAGAGGAAGTCATCGAGAATGGAGAGAGGGAGAGAAATAGAAATAGAGGGAAGATTATAAAGATGAAAAGGACAAGAAGAACAGTCCATATTTATAAAATATTTTAGAAGAAAAATAAAATTTCCTTCTACGTGCTGTCAGGACATGCTTTTTAATTTGTGGAAGTCACACACTGCAGATGTTGCCTTCCGGGTTGCTGGTAGGATCACCATGACAAAGGCGCTGCCTCATCTATAAATAGACGGTCAGATTGATTTCACATCCTGCCCTGGTTCTTCCGACTGCTTGATGGGCGTGACAACACAATCGATGAGTGATCCCATCCACTCTGCCTGCACAGGCCTCGCCTGCACTGTCTTCTGGAAGATGACAATCAGGCTCATTAAATCCAGCACAAAGAAGCTTCAAAGACGTTTGTCCTATCAGAGAAATTGAGCCTGAGTCCTTTGCCATTGCATCAAAAGGAATTGAGATTTAATCAGCCATCCCGTCCAAACCTATTGCTAGTAAGACAGTTTGGATCTTTCCTTTGCCTGTTTGGATCGATGTTAACTGGAACTTCAATGGCCAGAGCTGATGTCCGTTCCAGCCCAGGTATAAAAAAGCTATTCAACTGGACATTGATAGGTTTCCATTGTAAGTGTTGCTTTAATGTATTTGAGGTACCTGGAACTGTGGCTTGAAAAACTAACTCTGAGTCCTGCCACAGAAATTCTTGACCTTGGGCAAGTCATTTAACTACCCTGAGCCCCAGTGTTTCCTTCCTACTGTGCTTAGGAGCATAGATTATGCACTGGGTCAAAGCCTCTGCAAACTTGAGAGTCTCTAAAAGTCAGTGCCCTCATATATGAATATAAACAACAGTAGCATGTCCCTCAGAAGTTGCTATGAGCATTACATAAAAGGAATGCCTTGTCCATGGCTTCCTGGTCATATGATGGCGAGAATGATGACAAACTAATCATTCAGTGTATGAATAGAAAAAAACAGTTAAATCGTAATTTTAGAAATATTAAGGTGACAGCTCTTATTATTATTATTATTGTTATTAGAAATATTTAGAGTGCTTAGTCAAGGTGTCTATTAATATGTATTCATTCATTTAATTAGCATGTATTATGGACATATTATGCAATTGAGCTACTTATAAAACCAGAAACAACTTTTGTCTATTATAACAAAGATCAAGAATCACATACTGATTTCTGGTTTTGCATAGACCAGTTCCACAGTGATCTGCGAAGTTTCACCCCTACATAGATGGTCAGATTCAATGCCATTTCTCATGCTGGCCTTCAAAGCTGACACGCTTGTGAACAAGAAAGAGCAGGTCTGAGGGCCTAAAGGCAACTTTGAAATTTCTTTGTTAAGTATGTGGAATTCAAAGTTTTTTCCAGTTAAACTTAACCCTATTCTTGCGAGGGAAGTCTCCATTTATTTGAAGATTTCTTTAATGCTCTGCCATTGTTTTAATACCATGCTTGTTTTGCACTTTAGAATAGTATATAAAAAGTCACAGCAAACCCAACACGTCTATGTAAAAGCCAGTGATGGAACTGGAGTCCCATTTAGGGCAGGAAACTCTTGTCTCTAACTAGAAACTCAGCAAATACATGTACTGTCACCTCCCCAGGTGATGAAACCTGAGCCCCAGAGTAGAGTGTGCTGGGCTGTACACAGCCCAGCTCTGAATCCAGATCTTAAGAGGCTGTCTGTGTTGTGCTAACCTCCTTCCTCCCTGATGGCAATGCGGAGCCAGGCAGAGGATAGAGGAAGACAGAAATATGATTGGATTTGCATGTTATTATAGAAGACACTTAGGACCGATTTTGCATTTTTACTTTGCTATGGTGCTGAGAGGTTTTCTGTATCTATCTCAGAATGTTATCCCGGCTATGCAAGTCACCTGAGTCAAAGAACTGGTTTGGCAAAACCCGATAACCAGATCAGCCTGAGGTTTTCATTTGTAGCTGGATTGACTTAGGGATGGGGTAGATAACTCCCGGATGTGGAAAAAGTCCAAACTCTCACTTATGAAGAAATGTCCTTCTCCTAGATGTAACACCTTTCATTCCCCAAAGGATTTAAGCTTCCAGTGCTGAGACCCTTGGGTGGAGAACTGCTTTTAGGAGTGAGTCTTCAGCATCAGTTCCTTTCTGTTCCTAATTTTTTGAGGGTGGTGTTGGAGGAACCCATGGGCGGGGAGATGAATAGCAGAGGGCAGCCTGAAAACAGAGGGAGAGGAGGCTTGGAAAGACCAAGACAAATTAAGTAAGTTATATTTAGCAAGGGAGAAAGCAATATTTGTACTTTGTATCAGAGGCTATATTACCCCTTTCTCTCCAACATTATTTAATCTTTTAATTTTCACAGCATTCTATTAGAAAGTCATTACTATAATCCCCATTTTCAGATGACAAATGGAGACTCAGTGAAGTTCTGTAGCTGGCCAAGGTCACAGGATTACTAAAAAGCAGAGCTGCAGGAGTCCAGCTCTGCCAGATCCCAAAGCCCCTGATCTCCACTCCACCTCATGCATCCAGGGGTGATACTGTTTGGGTGGGTGGGGACAGTAATCCCTGAAATGCCCTTTCTTTTCATATCTGCCATCCAGAGGAAATTCTTCCTCTGAACCAGCCCCAGATCCTCTGTTCAGCCTCCCTGTAGCTTCAAGCTGTTCTCCCTCCCTGTCCCCTGGATTCTGGTATCACATGTCTATATCACACACTGCAGATAGTCCAACCCCCACAGTTTAGGGGGGTATCTCATTGTATTTCAAGCAAAAACCTGATTTCATGTGCATCTTATGCCTTTTTCTTGACTGGTGAATATCTTGTCCACATAAAGTGCTCAATAAATCCTGCTCTGGATACTGGCAGATGTGGATAATTAATGCTAAGGAAACCAAACAGCAGCTCTGTGAATTTCTGTGACCAAGATACTGATCGTTGTCTGAACTGACGTGCAAACAGGGTTCATCCAGGCACACACACCCCTGGGCCATGTTCGCACAACTCTTCCATTTGCATTACCTTCTCTCCTGCAGAGAAATAGTAGATTACCCATTGCCAATGAATGGAGCTCATTCTGTTCTTGCTCATGGGAAAGTAAAAAAATCTCACTCATTTAGAATGTGGCTTCCAGAAGAAGGAGGTGATGTGAAGGTTGCAGTAATCCCAGAACCAGGCAGATGGGTGAACAGGACTGAACTCACTGTATGTTGTGCTGCTATGGCACACAGTGGATTTTCCACAACAACTTAGTCTAGATACTGGGAATTTTCTGTTTATGGCTGCAATTTCTCATATTTGTGGGATTGTACTATGTTGAATTACAAGGATGAAGTGAGATGGAGGAAAATATCATTTATTATGAATAGAGGATATCTAATTCAGTCCTTTGTTCACATTCACTCTTTTATATCATTTAAAAAATACATTATATGAATATGCCCTAGCTCTTGTATTTTTTATTCTTCACCTGTTAATGAACATTTGGGTTATTTCCAGGTTTTGGTTATTTTGAGTAACACTGCTTTAAAAATTCATGTAGAACTATTTGTGTGAACATATGTTTTTATTTGTCTTGAGTAAAACAGAAGTAGAATTGTTGAGTCACACGATAAGTAGATTTAACATTATAAAATCTGCCAAACATTTTTCCAAAGGTCTTATGCCATTTTACACTCTCACCAGCAGTGTATGAATTCCAGTTGCTCTATGTCCTCATCAACACTTACTATATTGCTAGTAATTTTAGCACAGGCCAATCCGGTTGACATGCAACTTCGCAATAATCAAAGAGCAGCCATCACCACCCTACATCTTCAGAAACACAAAACTGACCCAGAAAAAGACAACTGGTGATATGGTTTGGCTGTGTCCTCAGCCAAGTCTTACCTTGAATTGTAATAATCCCCATGTGTCAAGAGTGGGACTGGGTGGAGATAATTGAATCATGGGTGCAGTATTCCCATGCTGTTCTTGTGATAGAGAGTGAGTTCCCACAAGATCTGATGATCTTATACGAGGCTTCCTCCTTCGCTCAACACTCATTATCTCTGCTGCTGCCCTGTGAAGAGGTGTCTTCCACCATGAATGTAAGTTTCCTGAGGCCTCCCCAGCCATGCTGAACTGTGAGGCAATTAATCCTCTTTCCTTTATAAATTACCCAGTCTTGGACAGTTATTTATATAACAGCAGCATGAGAACAGACTAATACAGTAAATTAGTACTGCAGAGAGAGGAGTGCTGCTATAAATATACCCAAAAATGTAGAAGTAACTCTGGTTCTGGGTAATAGGCAGAGGTCTGAACAGTTTGGAGAGTTCAGAAGAAGACAGGAAAACTTTGGGAAAGTTTGGAACTTCCTAGGGACTTAGAAGGCTCAGAAGACAGGAAGATATGGAAAAGTTTGGAACTTCCTAGAGACTCGTTGAATAGCTTTGACCAAAATGCTGATAGTGATATGGACAATGAAGTCCAGGCTGAGGTGGTCTCAGATGAAAATAAGGAACTTGTTGGGAACTGGAGTAAAGGTCACTCTTGCTATGCTTTAGCAGAGACTGGTGGCATTTTGTCCCTGCCTTAGAGATCTGTGGAACTTTGAACTTGAGAGAGATGATTTGCAGTAGCTGGGAGAAGAAATTTCTAAGTGGCAAGTCGTTCAAGATGAAGCAGAGCAAAAAGTTTGGGAAATTTGCAGCCTGACAATGTGACAGAAAAGAAAAACCCATTTTCTGGGGAGAAATTCAAGCCAGCTGAAGAAATTTGCATAAGTAACAAGGAGGAATGTTAATCACCAAGACAATGGGGAAAATGCCTCCAGGGCATACCAGAGACCTTTGTGACAGCCCCTCCTATCACAGGCCTGGAGGCCTAGGAGGGAAAATGGTTTTCTGGGCCAGGTCCAGGGCCCCACTGCTGTGTGCAGCCTCCGGACTTAGTGCTCTGCATCCCAGCCATTCCAGTCGTGGCTAACAGAGGCCAAAGTACAGCTCAGGCCAGTGCTTCAGAGGGTGCTAGCCTCAAGCCTTGGCAGCTTCCACATGGTGTTGGGCCTTAAGGGGCAAAGAAGTCAAGAATTAAGGTTCATGAATCTTCGCCTAGATTTCGGAAGATGTATGGAAACTCCTGGATGTCCAGACAGAAGTTTGCTGCAGGGGCAGAGCCCTCATGAAGAACCTCTGTGAGGGCAGTGCAGGAGGGAAATATGGGTGGGATCCCCTACGTAGAGTCTCCACTAGGACACTATCTAGTGGAGCTGTGAGAAGAGGACCACTGTCCTCCAGACCCCAAATGGTAGATCCACTGACAGCTTGCACACTGTACCTGCAAAAGCTGCAGACATTCAATGACAGCCCATGGAAGCAGCTAGGAAGGGGGCTGTACCCTGCAAAGCCACAGGGGCAGAATTGCCCAAGGCTGTTGGAGCCCACCTCTTGAATCAGTGTAACCTGGATGTGAGACAAGGAGTCAAAGGAGATCATTTTGGAATTTTAAGGTATAATGACTACCCTATTGGATTTTGGACTTGCATAGGGCCTGCAGCCCCTTTGTTGTGGTCAATTTCTCCCATTTGGAACAGGTGTATTTACTCAATACCTGTATCCCCATTGTATTTGGGAAGTAACAAACTTGCTTTTGATCTTCCAGGCTCATAGGCAGAATGGACTTGCCTTGTGTCAGATGAGACTTTAGACTTGGACTTTTGGATTAATGCAGGAATGAGTTAACACTTTGGGGGACTGTTGGGAAGGCATGATTGTGTTTTGAAATGTGAGAGCATGAGATGTGGGAGGGTCCATGGGGGAAAATGATATGGTTTGGCTCTGTGTCCCCAGCCAAATCTCACCTTGAATTATAATAATCTCCATGTGTCAAGAGTAGGACCTGGTGGAGATAATTGAATCATGGGGGTAGCATTCCCCATGCTGTTCTTGTGATAGAGAGTGAGTTCTCATGAGACCTGATGGTTTTATAAGAGGCTTCCCCCTTTGCTTGGCATGCATTCTCTCTCCTGCTGCCCTGTGAAGAGGTGCCTTCCACCATGATTACAAGTTCCATGAGGCCTCCCCAGCCATGGTAAACTGTGAGCCAATGAACCTCTTTCCTTTATAAATTACCCAGTCTCAGGTGTATCTTTATTAACAGCATGAGAAAGGACTAATACAACTGGCAAAAAGGAGTTCACATTGTAAATAGACAACTAAACATTTAGCACTTTTCTACCTAATTTTGCTTCTGGCAAGAGCATGAGCTGTAGATTTCAGTCCTGGCCCTGCCTCTTACCAGCTTCATGGCCGTAGGCAAGTTAGTTAGCCACTCTGAGCCTTGCTTTTCTTATCCTTAAAAAGATGCAGTTATACCCACACTAATGGATTGTTGAGAGAATTACATTTTATAAAAAAGTAAATAGAAGGATGTGTATAGAGGATTCAACAAATAAGAGGAGTAGTAATTATTTTTATTATTTCCATGTCCAGTAGGATTTAAAAAAAAGTGTTACTCTTTGCAGGTAGTTCAAAGACTATTTGGAAGGACAGAGAGGCAGACAGGCCATGCAGGTGAGGTCAAAATCAGTACCTCCTTCTGAGACTCCTCAGAAGGAAGGACTACTTTAATCAGTCAGGACTCAAGGCAGCAGGGCTGCTGTTGGGGGAGGGAGGGAAGAGCGAGGAGGCTTCTCAGAGAAAGTAATGCCTGAGCAAAGCTATGGGACAGTGAGCATCACTGAGCTGTTACATGGTTTAGAGGCAGAGTTTTAAATCCTTTTAGAGTAGGTCTCCTTTCTAGGGAATAAAATGTAAGACATGAGATTCAGATTCTTGTGGATTTGGTTTTCTTTATTAATGGTGCCTAATGGCCTGTAATTAAGGCACAACTTGTTAGCTAAACCAACAATTACCATTTGTTTGAAGTGCAAAAAGAGAATAATGAATGGTCTTATTCAGCAGTTTTTCCCTTCTTTAATGGTTTGAGCAAGAGTTGGTTTTCAATCTCTCTCTTCTTCTCACTCTCTCCTTACCCCCTCACTTTACCTTCTCTTCCTTCCTGTTTTTCTTCCTCACTCCCTACATCCTTCACTCCACCCAGACACACACACACACACACACATACACACAGTGGAATTCCTCAGCTTTTATATAAATTGGCTCTCTTTTTAAGCATTTGGGGAGTATTTCCCATCATTTAAACTTATTTCACAGCTTTCGTTACCACTCGACCTTTGCCCCAACACCTGATGTCAGTTTAAAATGAGTTCCCAACTGGAGGCAGATGAGGCTGGGTGGGAAGGATGGAAAAGCCAAGTGGGCCTGGTATGGCTTGGTTAGAGGCAGGGCTGCTCTGATGCTCAGCTCAGTTCTAGTATGAGATGGATTTTCTGTTTGAGAGAACCATTGCTGCTGTAACATAGGCAGAAATGAGAGAGAGAGAGAGAGAGAGAGAGAGATACTGAGACTTGGGGTAGTATCTTTGGAGACAAACACATCTGATTCAAATCCTGGATCTGGCCCTTATTTACTCTCAGTGGTGAGTTTTTAACCCCTCTTTCATTTTTCTTACCTTTAAAATGAGATTATAGATACATATACACACATACTCATACATATATGCGTGTTTATGTATGTATGTATGTATGTATATGAAGACTTTACCAGAATTGAATGAAATATAAAATTCCACAGTATGATGCCTGCCACATAGTGTCTCATATATTTTAATAGCTATTACTTATTTTTATGAGCTAATTCGTCCCCACCCCAAAATTCATATGATGAAGTCCTCAGCCCCGATATGACTGTATTTGGAGATAGGGGCTTTAAGGAGGTAATTAAGGTGGTCATAAGGGTGGGGGGCCCTATTCTGATAGGATTGATGTCTTTATAAGAAGAGGCAGAGACACCAGAGGTGTCTCTTTTTCTCTCTGTGTATGCACAGGACAAAGACCATGTGAGGACACAGTGAGAAGGCAGCCATCTGCAAGCCAGGAAGAGGCCCTCACCAGAAACCAAATATGTTGGCGACTTAATCATAGATTTTTAGCCTCCACCACTGTGAGATAATAAATGCCTTTTGTTTAGGGCTCCCAGTCTCTGGTGTTTTGTTATTCAGCATGAGCTGACTAAAATACTTATTAAGTGTCACCTCTTTTTTTTACCTCAAGCACCTCAGAGTGACTCCTATGGGACAAAGGACAGAAAGCCTCATCATGAAATGAGTGGGGAAGGGTCTGGATTTTAGAGGATGAGGCGCTCACTACTCAGAACATTCACCCATGAAGTCCCTCTCACCCTTGCTGGTCCCAGAGACCCTTAGCTCTAGCTTTGTCTAACTCTTCACAGTTTTGAGGTGATGCACAAAAACAGATGCACACAGAAGAGGTAAACCTCTGTGTTCATCATTCTTGCATTGCTATAACGAAATACCTGAGACTGGGTAATTTATAAAGAAACGAGGTTTAATTGGCTCACAGTTCCACAGGCTGTACAGGAAGCATTGTGCTGGCATTTGCTTGGCTTCTGGGGAGACCTTGGGAAACTTACAATCACGGTAGAAGGCAAAGGGGAAGTCCACACATCACATGGCTGGAGCAGGAGCAAGAGAGAGAGAATGGGAGGTGTATTAGTCAGGATTCTCTAGAAGGACAGAACTAATAGGATAGATGTATATATAAGGGGGAGTTTATTAATTAGTATTGACACACATGATCACAAGGTGAAGTTCCACAATAGGCCATCTGCAAACTGAGGAGCAAGGAAGCCAGTCCAAGTCCCCAAACCTCAAAACTAGGAGAGCTAATAGTGCAGCCTTCAGTCTGTGGTCAAAGGTCCAAGAGTCCCAAAGCTGAAGAACTTGAAGTTTGATGTTCAAGGGCAGGAAGCATCCATCACAGAAGAAAGATGAAGGTAAAAAGACTCAGTCAGTCTAGGTCTTCCACGTTCCTCTGTCTGCTTTTATCTTAGCTGAGCTAGCAGCTGACTAGATGGTGACCACCAGATTGAGGGTGGGTCTGCCTCTCCCAGTCCACTGACTCACATGTTAATCTCCTTTGGCAACACCCTCACAGACACACCTAGGAACAATACTTTGCATCCTTCAATCCAATCAAGTTGACACTCAATGTTAACCATCATGGGAGGTGCTGCACAGTTTTAAACAACCAGATATCAGGATAACTCACTCACTATCATGAGGACAGTACCAAGGGAGATGGTGCTAGACCATTTATGAAAAATCACCTCCCACCAAGCCTCACCTCCAACATTGGAGGTTACAATTTGACATGATATTTGGGCAGGAACACGGATGCAAACCATATCATCTCTCGTCTCCAACTTACATGAAAACCATTTTTTTTTCCAGATTAGGTGTGCTCCAGATTACCTGAAGAATTTCAAAGTGTGTCCATGGTTTCCCAAGGCAGAGGCGTATGTTTTTACATAGAGGGCTTCAGTGAGTCTATAATAACAGAAAGACTGAGGAGACAGGATTTTTTTTTAAGGTTAAATGAATTAATACTGTGGAAGCCAATGGTGGCAGTGTGTAAGGAAGACAGAACTGTGCAAAGTCAGTAATCAAACATGATTAAATCATGCTGCTGCAGACAACTGTTCCCCAGAGTTAGAAAACCAAGCTAAAAATATGACTTCGTAACATTCTGCACCTCCGGTGCACTCATTGCACAGTCTATAGCTGCAGATAAAATTCTACCACGACAAACTTAAGGGTGGTAAAAACGACACCCCCTGCCATTTCATGTTGTGCAGTTGCAGGTTAAGGCTTAGCATAGACCAGAACAAAAAAGAGCCATATGCAGATTCTTCATACACGGAGTCCCTTCTTTGCCCCTCTCTCACATAGATCATAAGGGGAAATGAAAATAGCCTGGTATATAAGATTAACTTCTCTGGGTCCAATTTTTAAAATCTGCCAATGTATAAGCTAGCCTATTGCTCCTCAGAACTTAGCTTTCTCTTCTGTTAAGTCAAACTGATAATATATATCTCTCATGCATTAGGATTAAGTGAAAATATTACCTATGAAGTCTGTAGAAAACTTCCTCTCACATGAAATCTGCTCGGAAATGGTCTGGTTTCTTCCTTGTCTCATGACATTACTGTATTTGTTCAACATTCAGGGAGAGAGCAGAATGCAAATGCATAGGTCTTGAAGTCAGAAGATTGCTTGACAAAATGACCATAGGAAAGACTTCAAGCCTTTCTGGGTTTAGAGTTCTTCATCTGTACAATGGAAATGATGTTCCCTATGCTTTTTCGGCTTGTATTTCATTTAAGTTTAAATGGGAGAGCTGGAAAATGTTCATACTATAAAGCAGTATACCAATGGTTGGTAAGGAAAGGGCTTTCAGTTGGGAGCATGCTACATCTCAGAATCATCTCTACATTAATAGCATAAAATTCAAATCCTCTAATATGAAAGATGAGAAGTTCTAGGAGAGAATCGGGTATGGTAGCAGGCATGTATTTTTACTGAAAATAGTTACTTTCCCAGGTAATACTGAAATTTCCTTCTCAGTGAGAACTATCTCAGTGAACAAAGATATATTTGTGAAATATAAACAACGGTGCTATCACTAATTTCAAGTCTTCTGCATATATTATTTGGTAAATTATAAAGTAGAAGTTATTGTCCCTATATTTAAGATAAAAATATTTTTAAAGCTATGCAACTATTTTAAGAGAAGATGAATTGATATCATGGAACTTGAATTCAGAACCAGGCTTGTCTCACTGGACCCATCCTAACTCTGTGTCCCTTAGAGCATCTTATAGTCCATTAACTGATCTCAAAGGCCAAAGGCTCAGGGTGGAGGCTCAAGTTTTACTCCACAGACAATATAGACCTATTTCTTTGATCATAACGTTATGAGTAACAGAGCAATAATGAAATATTAAAGGAAACTTAAGGAGATCAGGGCATAACCTAAAACTTGTGAGATCAGTGTCTAAAAACTGCCCTAGAAACACATCAGTAGTATTCTGTAGGATTGTATATGGGTGGGAGATGCATTATATAAATTACATAAATCATGAAATATAACTTAAAATTAATTATTTACCAATTTAAATACCACTCTTAGTAAGCAATAGAAAAATTAAAATCAAAGATAAACTATAAGAATCATCTCATGGAGAAACTCACAAATGAATACTCTGGAAAGTCATCACAGATGGCCATAAAGAATTCTACCCCTCCTTGGACATACATCTTACTGTTCTTATCAAGGGTGGAGTCAGTTTCCTCTTTTCTCGAGTCTTGACTGGCTGATGACTTGTTGTAACTAATATAAAAATGGCAGAAATGACCATGTGGTCTTCCAGGCTTAGCCTTTTAGAGTTATGGAAGATGGTTCTTTTGCCTTCTTGACAACCAGCTGTCTTGCAAAGAAAATCCAAGCCATCCTGCAGAAGAGAGGTTACGTGAAGAAAGCTGTGAGGATGAGAAACCATAAGGGGAGAGGGTTCACATGGACAATAGAGATGCCCTAGCTGACAGTTAGCCCCAAAGCCCCAGACAGCTGAGAGAAACCAGCCACCAAATGAATGCAAAACCACTTGAATGGCCATAGCAGATGCCACTGTGTGCTATGTTGTAAATGTTTGTGTTTCCCTCAAAATTCATATATTAAAACCTAATCCCTAACATGATCGTATAAAGATGTGAGGTCTTTGGAAGGTGATTAGGCCAAATGAGATTCATGCTGTTATAAAATAAGTCTCTGAGCTGTCTTGCCCCTTTCACCATGTGAGGACACAGTATGAAGGCGCCATCTGTGAAGCAGAGGGGGAGCCCTCACTAGACACCAAATCTACTGGTACTATGATCTTGGACTTCCCAGCCTCTAGTGTTCTAAGAAATAAATTTCTGGTATTATAAGTTACCCAGTTTAAAATGTTTTGTTATAGCAGCCTGAAAAGATCAAGACACTGTATGGAACACAAGAGCCACATAATCAATCTACACCATGATCAGAAAAAGTAAATTATTGCTGTTTTAAACTATGGAGTTTTGGGGTAGTTTGTTATATAGAAAAAGTGACTAAAGTTAAACCTGCAATCAAGGTGTCACTGTTGTGCTGTGAGGTGGGATAAGCTAGCATGCGTGTGTACGTGTCTGGCTGATGGGAGGCAGATGTCTGCAGACTTTCCCTGATGCCGTTCTATAGAGTCTCCTGGTACCGTTGATGAATACATAACTGATCTGTTCCACAAATGGCTACAATTTGTTTATGATGTGTCTTGAGAATGTTCTGATTAGCCTTGTCTCTGATGTTTGCAAAAGTTGTAAATGAAAGCTAACTGTAGTTCACTCCATAGGGTTTCTGATTAAAGTTATACAGGAATCAGCTCCCTCAAAGTCCATCACATGTTTAGATCCCATTGAATTCTATGCTTATCCCCTAGATCAAAATTACTGCATAGACACTTGGAGGAAATGCTTCACTCATTCCTTAACAAAACTGATGTGAGGCAATCAAGCCACTGAAGGGAACACAGAGCAGGTCATGCAAGAGGATTCAATTCTATATGAAATATTGGGCTGAGGAATAAATGAAATTTCAAACCCAGACTCAATGGTCTACCCTTAGTGTCACCTTCTATGTGGAGAGGAGAGTACCAAGAAAACATGTAGAATTAGCTTCCCTACTTCAGACTTCTCAAGTAAACCAGTTGCGTGTATTATTAATAATTTTCTTTTATATTTTTTTAATTTCTTCTAAAAAAATGGAATACATGTGCAGAATGTGCAGGTTTGTTACATAGGTATACGTGTGCCATGGTGGTTTGCTGGACCTATTGACCCAGGCTCTAAGTTCCTTCTCCTCACCTCCAACCCCCAACAGGCCCTGGTATGTGTTGTTCCCCTCTCTGTGTCCATGTATTCTCATTGTTCAACTCCCAATTATGAGTGAGAACATGCAGTGTTTGGTTTTCTATTCCTGTATTAGTTTGCTGAGGATGATGGCTTCCAGCTTCATCTGTGTCCCTGCAAAGTACATGATCTCATTCCTTTCTATGGCTGCATAGATTTCCACGGTGTATATGTACCACATTTTCTTTATCCAGTCTATCATTGACCGGCATTTGGGTTGAGTCCATGTCTTTGCTATTGTAAATAGTGCTGCAATAAACATATGTGTGCATGTATCTTTAGAGTAGAATGATTTATATTTCTTTGGGTATATACGCAGTAATAGGACTGCTAGGTCAAATGGTATTTCTGATTCTAGATCCTTGAGGAATCGCCACACTGTCTTCCGGAATGATTGAACTAATTTACATTCCCACCAACAGCGTGTGAAAGTGTTCCTATTTCTCCACAGCCTCACTAGCGTCTATTGTTTCCTGACTTTTTAATAATCGCCATTCTGACTGGCATGAGATGGTGTCACATTGTGGTTTTGATTTGCATTTCTCTGATGATCAATGATGTTGAGCTTTTTCTCATGTTTGTTGGGCACGTAAATGTCTTCTTTTGAGAAGTGTTTGTTCATATCCTTTGCCCACTTTTTGTTGGGGTTGTTTGCTTTTTCCTGTAAAATTGTTTGTCTTGTAAATTCTGGATATTGGACCTTTGTCAGATGGGTAGATTGCAAAAAACATATGGAGTACTTCACGAATTTGTGTGTCATCCTTGCACAGGGGCCAAGCTAATCTCTGTATCATTCCAATTTTAGTGTATGTGCTGCCAAAGTGAGCACTTATTAATAATTTTCTATTGCTGTGTAACAAATTTCCATAAACTTAGTGCCTTGAAACAATGTAAGTTTGTTATCTCCTAGTTTCCATGTGTCCAAAGCCAGTAAAGCTTAGCTAGGCCTATGATCAGGATCTCCTAAAGCTGGAATCAAGTGACTATCTGAGCTGCATTTCTTCTAGAGCTTAGAGTCTTTTTGTCCAAGTTCATATAGTTGGAAGAATTCAGTTCCTTGTGGCTGTAGGACTGAGGTTCTTGCTTCTTGGTGGCTGTCAGACAGGGCTGTTGTCAACAAGTACAGGCCACCCAGAGTTCCCAGACACCTGACCCTCTTGCAGGCCTTCTCATAACGTAGTAACTCATGTACTCAAGGCCAGGAAGAGAATCTCTCATTTCAGCTTGCTATGATGGAGTCTTATGTGACATATCATGATCATGGGAGTGGCTATCCTCAATTTGTCATATTTTATTGGTTAGAAGTAATCACAGTTTCCACCTGCACTCAGGAACCAGAAATTATGAAAGGGCATGACTTATTGGAGGTCATCTCAGAATTCTACCTACCATAATGTGTTAGGAGAGGTTGCTCCCACATTATTTTCAGATAAATACTGCAATCACAACACCAGAAGTGTGCAAAATAGCTCTCACATTCTTCTTTTTTTTTTTTTTTTGAGACTTGATCTCACCCTATTGCCCAGTCTGAGTGCAGTGGAATGATCATAGTTCACTGCAGCTTTGACCTCAGGGGTTCAAGTGATCCTTCCACCTTAGCCTCCTGAGTAGCTGGGACTACAGGCACATGCCACCATGCCCTGATAATTTTTTTTTAATGTAGAGACAGAGTCTTTTTATGTTACCCAGGCTGGTATTGAGCTCCTGTAGTCAAGTGATCCTCCCACCTCAGCCTCCCAAAATGCTTGGATTATAGGCATGAGCCACCCGCACCTGGCCTCAGGTCATTCTTGACCCCTTTATGAGAAGGCATACTCAAGGCCATTGTTGAACTAAAGGATGAAGACTAAGTTCAGTGGTAGAAAGGTGTGAGGAAGCACAAAGATTCTGCTGTAAAAATGCAAATTCAAAGGACCAGGGGCATTGGAATGAAAATTGCTACATGAAAATCTGAAGGACTTGAGTGCAGCTGAAAGAAATGTGTCTTCCTCCTTAATTGTTTTAAATATTGAGGCATCCATTGAAAAGTTTTCAGTAATTTTTTTTTCTGGGTCTTCTTAAATTAGGAAAAGTAGCTGTATGAAGATGGATCTCAATAGTGAAAGAGTATGCATTGTGATGGCTCCTGTCAACAAGAATTTTCCAGTGAAGATTGTATTTACTTGTGCAGAGGCACATTTTAACTGGGCACCCACATTATGCTAGGCAATTTCATGTAAAGAATCATATTTAATCCTCACTGTGAGATGATGCTATTTTCACTTTCAGTTACAGAAAACAAGGCCCAGAGAAACAAACAATGTCCTCCATCTGGATTGTGCCTGCTGTAGGAACAGGAAGTAGGCTCTGCTCATGTCTGGGTATCCACTGCTTTCAGATCACAGACAATCAGTCACTGCTCCTCACACAGCTGCTAAGTGGTGTGATCAGGACTGAAACCCCAGTGCCTCTGACTTCAAAGCCTATGCTGCTCCACTGCACCACAGCATCCATTTCATCAAAGTCAGGAATTCCCCTGTTTTATCTTGAATCTCTATCAGCTGGCCCTGGGTGGTCGTTGTTCATGTTACTCATCATCTGTGTTATCAGTAGGAATGCTTCCGGTATTACAGAAAGGGGACCATGCGTCAGAAAATGGTTACAAAGTGGCAAAAACTGACCTGACTGGGGATGTAGTCAAAGGGCAGGAACGGAGGGTGGGACAGGTCAAGGAGGTGACCAGAAAGGCACTCACCAGGGGAGCAAAATATAAAGAGGCACCAAAACACTCAGCGGTCCTGATAAATAATATTTTAGTGCAATATTTTAAAAATCAGAATTTTTGTAAAAATATCCAATGGTGAAGAAAATATCAACATTGTAAGTAAAGATGGGATCGCACCCTGCCCTTGCCAAACTCACTCACTCACTTCATCGTCGTTACCTTACAGCCCTGAGAGGAGGCAGAAGCCATAAAGAATGAGACCAGAGGAAAAAACCTCTCCTACTCCCATTTCTCCAGGTTTCTAGGAACAGGAATGAGGGAGAAGCAAGGGAATTCTTATCTGCAGAGGTCAGATTTCAGAGAAGTGACCATGATCTCTAGGAAAAGCATAGAAGCTTACCCATGGAAAGATCAGGAATCAGGAGACCTGTGTTCTGGTCTGGGCACCAGCACTAACTCACTGTGTGATTTGGGGCTAGCCCTTTTCTTTGGGCCTCAATGTACTCATTTTTAAAATGGGAGCTTTGAATTGAGTGCTTTCTGGGGTCCTTTCCAACTCAGACATTCTACAAGGCTATGGACTAGCAGATTCCAGGGAGAATACTCTGTCCTTTACTCTATGTGGAAGTGCAGAATTCCAGAGAAAACTTCAGTGGGTCAAATATGGACATCTTCTGTCTATTAGCTTTCCTTGCCTCTTTTCTCTTTCGTTTAGTGGTCAGTGGGCCACAAGAAGAGGCTAGTGGTCAGTTTCCACTGGTCCCTAGAAGTCAGGTCCCATGGAAGTTTGAAGTACTTAGCTTCTTGTAACTCTAGAACATCAGAGCTGACAGTACAACATTGGCCAGCTACGTCATAAGTCAGTTTGTACTAAAGATAATAACTACTGCAATTAGCTGGGTATGGTGGCACATACCTCTAGTCTTAGCTACTTGAGAGGCTGAGGTGAGAGGATTACCCGATCCTGGGAGGTCAAGGCTGCAGGGAGCCATGATCTTGCCACTGCACTACAGCCGGGGTGATAGAGTGAGACCCTGTGTCAAAAAAATCAATCAAACAGACACACAAAGATAATAGCTGCTGTGTATGGATATGTAATTATGTAATAATAGCTGAGAGGCTGTATATAATAATGGTCTACTCCTGCACACAGCTGCTGGTATAGTGTTCTGTTTCTGCCTCTTCCCAGATGCATTGGTCAGGGGGCCGCCAAGATGCAGAGCCCACAGACTATTTCAATCATCAGAGAGAATTTAATAGGAATTATTGTTAAAGAGGTATAAAGTTGTTAATTAGGTAACTGAAAGTGTAAGAAGAAATCTCAAAGGTATCACAGAGGTAGCAACTGCAGGACACATGACAGCCCCTACGACTGAGGGAACAAAATGAGTGTGAGTTGGTTAAATCTTTGAACCTTAGTAGAGGGCCCCTTGGAACAAAAACAGAGACCTCTGAGAAGACGGCTGGCCGGCTGGTGTTGCTTTGGGGGCATACGATTGAGCTTGTCCTGCAAGTGGTGAAAAAAACTGTAAAGTGGGTTCAGCTACTGCAGCTGGAAAAAATTGCTCCTGGCAGGGAGAACAAGCATTAATGGGGGAATAGCACATGCATGGAAAGTGAGGCAAGCAACAAACAGAAAGGGCCACGTCCCTCCAGCCTTGTAGAGCATAATGGGAATCCAGTTGGCAAGGCAAAAATGTGCTTTTCTGAACCTCGTCCCCAGCTCCACAAAGCAGCGTACAGAAGGGTGGGTTTAGAGCTGAGAGTCCATAACTTAATAACTGGCACACTAGCTACTTGACCTTAAGCAAATCACCTGACCTTTCTGTGCATGCATTTACTCATCTGTGAAAAACGAATACTAATGAACTCTTCTGAATAGGGTTGTTATCAAGGTTAAATTAGTTAATATACAGAAGTGCTTAGAACAGTTTCTTCAGTGCCCAATAAGCTAGTAGGCACTTATGTTAAAATAAGTGCCCAATAACATTTACCTGTGTGTTAATTTTAATGTGTCAACTTGACTGGGCTAAGAACTGCCCAGATAGCTGGGCAGGTAAAACATTACTGCTGGGTGTGTCTGTGAGGGTATTTCCAGAAGAGGTCAGCATTTGAATCAGTAGACTGAGTGAAGAAGACCCACTCTCACCAGTGTAGGTTGGTACCAGCTAACGTGTTGAGGACCTTAACAAAACAAAAAGGCAGAAGAAAGGTCAGTTCACTGTGTGTGAGTTGGGACAGTCATCTCTTCCCATCCTCAGACTTTGGCACTTCTGGTTCTCGGCCTTCTTATCTGAACTAAATTACATCACCATCTTTCTTGGTTCTCCAGCTTGCAGATGGCAGATGGTGGGACTTCTTGGCCTTCATAATTGTGTGAACCAATTCCCATTATAAATATGACATGTCTGTGTGTATACATACATATATATAGACACATATATATAATGAATGTGTGTATTCATACGTATATACACATACACACACACATATATGTGTGTGTATGTGTGTGTGTATATATGTGTGTGTGTGTATGTATATGTATATATACACACATACATATGTGCCTTCTATTGGTTCTGTTTCTCTGGATAACCCTGAATTATGCAATCTGGTATTATTATACAAAGGAAAGAGGAAAGAGCAAATATGTCTGCCTTGCCCAAGGCATTAGATTCACATTTTCCTTACATTTTGTGGCTTAATTTCCAGAGTACTTCTCAGAAGTGAATGTCAACTTCCTGATGTTTATACTCAAGGAGAATGAGGTTTGGAGATCTGAGTAGTTTACTGAAGGCACTCACATTGAAAGATTTTATGAAGCTGAAATTCAAATCTAGATGTGCCCCATCCAAAGACCACCCTCTTTATACAGCAACATGCTGCTTCCCCTGGATCAAGAAACACAAGGTAATTATCATCTTATTGTACCACTCACTCATGAAGAGTTAAGCTAGACTTTACTGTCCTTAAGCCTCAGATAATTCACCTGTAAAATTAGAATAAAACACTTGTTTGGAACACTTGATCCAACGTTATAAAAATAGCATGATCGATCTCAATGGCAAGTCCAGCAAGATAAAATAGTAAGGGGAGAACACAAAGTCCTCTACGGTAAGGTCTGCTCTAACACAACATATGTGTTTCTATAAATTACAGCACTGCGGGAAAGTATGCCAGAAAAAACACAAGACTTATGGAAAAAATGGGGTTACAACACTAAAAAACTTGATCAATGACACACAATCACAAAGAAAGTCATCTAATAAAAACAGTAGTGGAGTTGTGCGCGTGTTAAATGGTTAAGATATACTTAGATACCAGAATAAACATGGCATTTTCCTTGCAGAAGACCTGGAGTTTGCTTGTGGAAGTGGGTGCCAGCAGGGGGCAGCTTGGGAGTCCCTGTGAAGTGGAGACTGGGGTTGATCAGAAATCAGAGAGAAAGTTCTAAAACCAGATGTGAATGGGTGTGGCTCATAACACACCCAGTGATCTGCGGTAGCCGGTAGAGGCATGGAGGTGTGTGTGTGTTTTGCATATTCCTAGGAACCCCGGGGTCAGCCGTATGCAGTTTCTAGCAGATGAAATAATTCATTGCAAAGATATATTTACATTGTGCTCAAACTGTTTCCTAATATACTGATTACACCGAAAGAAGTGCAGAGTTTCAAAACAAATGTTACAGCAAAACTGACTGTTTTTGGGTCCAAAAACTTAGCCAGAAAAATACACAATGAAAGAGACATGAGTTAACAGCCATGTGGGTTAGGACGTCCTCTGTGTTGGCAATTGGCAGAGTGTGGAACCAGTGTACTGGGTTAATGAAAACCGAGATTGCACTGAGAACATATATCGTATGACAACAGCAGCAATAATAATAATAAAGAAATTTACAGACAGGGATCTGGGTGAAGATTATGCTAATTAATTAAACACACAGTTAGAGAGAATCTCTTCTGTCCTAGGCAGAGCCGGCACCTTCTCCGGAGGAGAGCCTGATCTGCCGACATGACTGACCATAGAAAACATTGGCTGTATCTTAGGGATTATGGATGCCATTACCTCCACTGTGAGGAAGGTGCTATGGGGATTAGCTATGACAATTCTCCTGGACACTTCCTAGAGCAGGTCAGGGGCTGGACTGAGACCAGGGTTTAAGGCAGTTAGATCCTGACCGAAAGTATTTTCCACTGGACAATGCTGCTACTTCCCTATGTCTTCTGATGGGAGAATCTGTATCTTCATTGCTCTGGTAACTCAGTAAGTCGTCAATGCTAAGTTCTCTTTAAGTGACTAACTAGGCCAGACTCACTTGGGCAGAGTGACATTAATTAGTCACAGCATGGTCGGTGTATAGATACTTTGGACTAGAACCAACATCTGTCGAAATAATGATGTTAAAACTAAGCGTTTGTTCTGCAGAGGTTCTGCCCTCCCTCCTGCCCCTCCCCCATAGATGCATTCCCTCCATCTTTGTACGTGCAGGGCCTCATTCTTCATATCACAATGTCGGGTAATTGTTGTAGGTTCAACTGCCTGTCTCCCTCCCTAACCGAGAGTTCCCAGGGAGCAGAGACTGGGCTTTATTCATTTCAGCACCACAGGGATCTAGCGTGGGGTTTACACATAAAAGATGCTTATGATGTCAGCTCCATGAGAACAGAGACCATGTGCTCATGTCAGCCCTTGGTGTCTAAGCCAGTGTCTGGCATCAAGCAGACGTGCAGCAAATATTTGTTGGCTGAAAGCATGATCCTTAATGAAAGGTCATTTCCATTACATCAGTTAATTAAATAAAAATATATCTGTTCAAAATTATGTGGTCAATGAAAAAAAAGTCCAAGGGCTCTTTAATGATGTGGGAAAATGTTCAGAGTATAATGCTGAGTTAAAAACAAAAAACAAAACAGGCCAAACATTGTGTGGCTCACTGCTGTGATCCCAGCACTTTGGGAGGCTGAGGTGGGCAGATCACCTGAGATCAGGAGTTTGAGGCCACCCTGGCCAACATGGTGAAGCCCCGTCTCTAACTAACTAAAAATACAAAAAAAAAAAAAAAAAATTGCCAGGCATGGTGGTGTGCACCTGTAGTCCCAGCTACCTAGGAGGCTGAGACAGGAGAATCACTTGAACCTGGGAGGCGGAGGTTGCAGCGATCCGAGATTGCACCATTACACTCCAGCCTGGGCAACAACAGGGAACCTCCATCTCAAACAAACAAACAACAATAGCAACAACAAAAATAACAGGCTGAAAATATGTAGATTCAGAATGATACTCATCATGTTAAAGAAATGCCCTCTGGTTTACATGGTTGTCTCTGGGTTCTGAGATTTGGGGTGACATTTACTCTCATCATTGTACCTTTAGGTCACTTTACAGATTATTTAAAATAAGCCTGCATTACTTTAAAAATGGGGAAGAAAATGTTTTAAGAGCAAATAATTTCATCAGGTGCTTTAGTTGGTATGTTTGTTCAGTGTAATTTAAGGGATAGGATGACTTCTGGGAAGGGAACATTTCACAAAATTGTTTTCTTTGCCTTCAGAAGGCCAAATTTTCTATCAGTTTGATGATTCTGGTAATTCGCACATTAACTGGTGGCCTCCTTAGCGGGTGGTGCCCTGAGGAAGAGCATCTTTATTTCTGGGTTTCTATCACAGAGGCAAGAAGGAATCCAGGAACAGAAGGGCCTTCCAGCCTTGTTTTATATTGCTTTATTTATTTTAATTGTGTGACTTTGCTCTAAACTGTGCTGGGGGGTGGTATAAAATTAAAATACACTCACATTGACTAAATCATTGACTGGCAATAATTTCCAGAGATTTGTTTGTTTCTGTTTTTTTTTTAAACTCTGAATTCTATGTTCTATGGAAAGCATTAGTTTCATACCTTTATTTTCATTTCATTATAATGTATGCCATTTTAAAATAGAAAAGAAAAAGAAAACCATCTCTATGAATATAAATCCTATTCCTAATAATAGATATAATCACTCAACATAATAGACCAGAGGTCAGCATAATACTCACCACAGGCCAAATCTGGCCCATAGCCTGCCTTTATATGACCTATTAGCTAAGGCTAGACTATTAGCCAAGACTGTTTTTTCATGGTTTTAAATGACTGAAAACAAATTTTTTAAAAAATAAGGTTTCATGACGTGGGAATTACATGAAATTCAAATTTCAGTGTTGATAAATAAAGTTTTATTGGAACACAGCCATGCCCATTTGTTTGCATATTGTCATACAGCTGGCTTTTGCTCTGCAACAGCAGAGTGGAGTAGTTTCTGTAGACACCAAATGGTTTGCAAGCCTGGAATATGTACTTCCTGGCCCTTTGTAGAAACAATTTGCGAACTCCTGTAATAGGCCTAGGTCAGTATTACAAGGAAAGTTGGAATAACTTCAACCTATATAAAGGCGAAGCTAGATCAGACTGAGAAACAGTCAGAATTCTGAACTAGAAGAAATTGGGAAGGCATACCACTGAGTCCCATTGTGACATGGTTCAGGCCTTCATCCTCTCATCTGGAATGACCCCAGCAGCCTGGGAACCTGTTCCAGCCTCTCATCTTGACACATGTACTGTATGCCTACAGTCCAATCCACCGCTTCCTGCCACCCTCACACAACTGTGGCAAGGTTATCTTTGTAAAGGGAAACTGTGGTTGTGTTACTTTCCTGCTTACAGTCTCCAGGGCCAATGGATAGTTTATGGTAGTGGTCCTAGCTCTGTGCTTTGAGGAGTTCTGGATTCCTTGGAGGAATGTGTAAGGTACAGAGATGGTGTGGGAGGGTTCGTTGAGTAAGCAGGTTGTGGATCTTTCTCTCTGTGCCCCCATTTCAACCAGAAAAGCTCTATTTCTGCTTTATTTGTGTATTATATTTAATTTGAAGAATGGATTCTGTTGTTTAACAAAATAGCTGGAAAGCCACTAGTGGGTCAAGTTGAAGCCTCTTGTCCTGTTCCTGTGTGATCTAGTGTGATAGACACAGTGCTAACCAAACTTTGTTGTTCCCTGTCATTTCCGAGTCTCCCTTGCAGGGAATGGCGTTATTGCCAACGAACGTTGAGTAGAAGTGACTCCCATCACTTCTGGGCTGAGAGAGCTGAGAACCAGTATACTGCCTCCATTTCTCCTTTACCTTGGTAACCTTGCAGGCTACTTGTCAGGATGTTGTATCTAAGAGTTGGCAGATCATGCAACAGCCCGGGTCCCTGAATGGCCATGTAGAACATGATCTCTACCCTGACCTATTTTAGACAGTACAATTAAATAAACAAGCAGACTTTTGTAGTAGAAAATCCCTGGAATTTGGGGTTTATTTATTACTAAAGAATAGCTTTGCATCTGGCCCTTGTTTATCTGTCATTTATTACTTGGTTGGCTGATGTGTTAGGTGGTTGGTTGCTTAATTAATTTAACAACAACAACACACATATATGAAGAGTCTAGTATGTATTATGCTAAGTAGTGAGAATATAAATATCTATCAGCTGTAGCTGCCAACCTCAAGGAGTTTATAGCTGAGTGACTTTCTTTCCATTGCTCACTACGTAAGCACTATCCTGCACAGACCCTGCATCTCCATCATTCTAAACTGTGTATCCCTGAACTCACCCAAACAATTCATTCATCCGTCCCTTTGCCTAAACTGTTTCTACTGTCTATGGACTGAGAAATCTCAGAATCTGAATAACTAATAGCACAACGTGGCTAAAACACACTCTAATAGTTCCTGTTGGTAACAGACCTGTTAAATCATTATGAAAGAAAGAAAACACAGAGCCCAGCAGAGTCAACTTAGCCTAAATCAATTCAATCAGTGTGTCACATGACCCAAGGAAGAGTGAAAACTGCCATCACTCATTCTGATGCCTTCATTTTATGGTGCAAAACATCCAGATGCTAAGAAACACATCTGGAGCTTTTCTGTTTGCGATGATGGGAATGTTCTACATCTGCTCTGTCAAACCTGCCAGCAACTAGCCACATGTGACTATCGAACAATTAAAATGAGGCTAATGTGACTGAGAAACTAAATTTCTAACTTTTAATTCACTTTTAATTCGTTTCCATTTAAACAGCCACGTGTGACTAGTTGCTACCTTATTGACCAATGTAGCTCTACTAGATATTTAGATCTGTTTCTTTATTTCTTTATTTATTTTTATTTTTTGAGATGGAGTTTTGCCATTGTCGCCCAGGCTGGAGTGCAATGGTGCCATCTCGGCTTACCGCAATCTCCGCCTCCCGGGTTCAAGCGATTCTCCTGCCTCAGCCTCCCGAGTAGCTGGGATTGCAGGCATGTGCTACCACGCCCAGCTAACTTTGTATTTTTAGTAGAGACAAGGTTTCTCCATGTTGGTCAGGCTGGTCTCGAACTCCCGACCTCAGGTGATCCACCCGCCTCGGCCTCCCAAAGTGCTAGGATTACAGGTGTGAGACACCGCGCCTGGCTGATCTGTTTATTTAATTCTTTTTGTTACCATAGCCTAAATATAATAAGTTTAAAAGATACAACCATAAGCACATTTTCAAATAACACAAAAGAGGTTATCACCAGCTAAATTCTAAAACTGAATTTTCTCTACCAATACTTTTCCTTTCAACTTCTTTTGGTGCTTCACTCAATTAAAACAGCTCTGGGTTATAACCCAGGACCCTAGACCAAAATTCAAGGTGGACAGACTCAAGTGGTCCCCTCTGTCTCTAAGACCTCTGGTATCAGGGTGTTTCTCAAAACAACAGAGCAATAAATTCAGTAGTAATATTGGAAGTATTCAAATAAGCATTTTCAAAATATTTGTGCATCCTTTTAATAAAAGAAAATATATTTTTTTTATTATACTTTAAGTTTTAGGTTACATGTGCACAACGTGCAGGTTAGTTATATATGTATACATGTGCCATGTTGGTGTGCTGCACCCATTAACTCGTCATTTAACATTAGGTATATCTCCTAACGCTATCCCTCCCCACTCCCCCCACCCCACAACAGGCCCCGGTGTGTGATGTTCCCCTTCCTGTGTCCATATGTTCTCATTGTTCAATTCCCGCCTATGAGTGAGAACATGCGGTATTTGGTTTTTTGTCCTTGCAATAGTTTGCTGAGAATGATGGTTTCCAGCTTCATCCACGTCCCTACAAAGGACATGAACTCATCATTTTTTTACGGCTGCGTAGTATTCCATGCTGCATATGTGCCACATTTTCTTAATCGAGTCTATCATTGTTGGACAATAAAAGAAAATATTAAAAGCTCAATATATGGCAGGCACTATTATTCTAGGTATTTGGGATACATCAGTGAACAAATCAGAAAAAGATCCCTGACTTTCTGGAAACTACCTTTTAGTAGTCCACACAATACATATAATAAATAGGTGAATTGCATGGTATATTAGAAATAGTATTTAGAAAGAAATAGCGCAGGATAAGAAAGGGATAAACAGTGATATTTTAGCAAAGACTGACTGAAAAGATGAAAGAGTCATCAGTGAATCTGAGGGAGAAGGATTCTAGCCATAACTTCTATTTCTCTGAAAAGCGTCATACTTCAAGGCCTCACAGAAGGGCAGGCATTGGCCTGGCCAGTGTCCTGGGTGTGTCTGAACCATAGATCAGAGCATGTGTACTTGGAGGGTGTGGGCAGGAGGCAGGTGCATTAGTGAACTGAGCAGGAGGTGATCTTGGAAGTCTGGGTCCTTCTGGGCTGATGGCACTTTTATATTAAATAACTTCACCCTTTCCCCATGCGTCTCTTAGCAAAGAAGCATGGGATGTAAAGAAATGATACAGATAGGAGACAGGGAACTACTGGGTAGAAGACCGTGGTTCCCCGGCAAAGGCCCCACCCTCAAGACTAAAGACCCGCAGCCCTAAATGAGGACAGGCATTCCTGTTTTCACACCCAAAAGCTGCCTTTTGGCCAGCCATGCCTCCTATCCTGCACCCATATAAACCCCAAACCCCAGACTCCAGAAGCAGACCAGCAGGCCAACAGACCCGCAGATGAACAGTGGAATGACGGAAAGACGCAGCAGAGAAAGAGAGGAGGAACATCTGAAATGCCAAGAGGAGTTTGGCTGGGGGCAGTTAGAGAGGAATCCAGCCACTGGGTGGCTGACTCCAGGGGAAGATCACCTTCCCACTCCATCCCCACCTTCCAGCTCCCCATCCATCTTGCAGGAAAGCCACCTCCACCACTTAATAAAACCTCACATTCATCCTTCAAACCCTTGTGTGACCCAATTTTTCCAGGATGCTGGACAAGAGCTTGGGATACAGAAAGCTGTCACGCTGGCTTTCTGCCTTTGCATAAAAGCAGAGTCCATTGAGCTAGTTAACACTCAAGCCATCTGTGGACAACAAGGCTAAAAGAGCTTTGTAACACTGGGGTTGCGGCACCCATCCCTAGACACTACTCTGGAGCTGGAGCCCAAAGTGCTCGCCCCAGCCTCTGCATCTGCCCATCTGTGTGCTCCCCCTCCTGCAAGGAGCTTGAGCAGCAGGGTGACCAAACAGGTGAGCCACACCCCTGTTGCGTGTCCTGCCAGGGGGATTGGGGAACTCTTCGATTTCAGAAAAATACATACACCATCTTCTTGGTTACCAGGACTTCAGGCTTCTAGATGGCTTCTCACCTTCAAGGACATGGGGAGCTTTCTAGATATCACTTCCCTTATATTATAGATCACGAAATGATTTCACTGAATGATTTCTAAATGCACCTTCTACCTCTAATAACCTCTAACTCTTAGAAAGGTTGAAAACACACCCAGTGTGTTAGTTTGCTAGGGCTTCCATAACAAAATACCACAAATTGGGTGGATGAAACAACAGAAATTTATTTTCTCACAGTTCTGGAAGCCAGAGGTCCAAGATCAAGGTGTTAGCAGAGTTTGTTCCCTTGGGGGGCCGTGAGGGAGAATCTGTTCCAGGCCTCTCCCTTAGCCTCTGGGGGTTTTCTGGGAATCTTGGTCATTTTTTGGCTTACAGACTCATCACCCCAGTCCCTGTCTTTATCTTCACATGGTGTTCTCCCTGTGTGCATTCTGGGTCCAAGTTTTCCTTTTCTTGTAAGGACACCAGTCATATTAGATTACGGGTCCAGCCTGTGCCAGGATGACTTCATCTTTACTAACTAATTACATATGCAATCACCCTATTTCCAAATAACTTCACATTCTGAGGTCCTAGAGCTTGGGACTTCAACATATGACTTTTAGGGGGACACAATTTGACCCATAACAAAAAGATAAGACCAATAAATGGAAAGTCTGCTCCAGAGTACACCTGTCCCTCTTCTTTATAATGCAGGAAGAGTTTGCCCCAAAACATGTTACTCTACACCATTGGGTGGTCATCCCAGGAATGCCTTATTTAACGGCTTCAGAAATCATGTTGACATGAAAGACACTAATATTATAATGATTTTTAAAGTGAAAAAGAAAAAAAAATTTGGATCTTTTTTCTTCTAGAAATGGATGTCTATTTTCAAAATATTGCATTGGCAGCTTCAGCAGAAGCAATCTATCGCCTGAGAAGGAGGAGCTGAGCCAACATGCGCATGCAGATATCAATACAAGTCTGGAGTTATACATAAGCAGAGGGAGTTCTGACAGGGAGCCGGGCAGCCTGCCACACAAGGAGCTCTCTTACAAAAGGCAGTGTTTCTTTTCCCTTACAAATGGCTAAAGGGTTGTGCTTGATATGCCTAGAAGCTGGGGCAAAAGAAATCTCTGGTCTATTCTGTGAGTAACATGCCATTGGGACAGACCCAACTAGAAAAATAACAATTCTCTTAGTTTTCAGAATTGATCAATCTAGTGTGGTCTTACCCTAAAATAGGGAAGGTTACATTTTTAATTCTCTTTTATAGATTCATCAAGATTCAGAAGGCATAAGTGACGTATTTAAGGTAACACAGATTTTAAATGGCAGAAATCAGCAGTTCAGAAGAATTGCAAAGTTCATATTCTTTGCATTGACTGAGCTGCTTTCAGCTTTGAAAATGGTTAGTTTGACATCTAAAAACTAGAAATAAAGCTTAAGATGAATATATTTCTAATTATGAAGGACCAAACAAAATAACTCACAAACTTCCTAAAGACACGGAAAACAAAAATCTCCACCTGTATACAATTATGATTATAGGTTCAAGAATAGCAAAGTGTTTTGACTATTTACTAAGTGTTTTCACACTGAAGATCTCATTTGATCCTACGTTTATGGGATGGTTACCTGTTGTACAATGAGGAAACCAAGGCCCATGTAGTAAATGGTGAAATTAACACGCCACTGCAAGGATGTGGCTAAGCAGAACCCAAGCCTATATTATTTAAAGCAAAGCCAAATATTGATTCAATTAATCTACCGTTATTTTTATTTATTTATTTTTTTTACCATTTATTTGCCTTGATCCTGGATTTTTAATAGGGCCTGCAGACCTTCAAAAAGAGCTTATAACAACCCACCATGACCCTTGGCATTGCTGGCTGATCCTCTAGGGCCTACCCTCCTTATCCTGGCTTTCAGCTTCCACCCCTCACACCAGCTGCAGGTTCTTCTTGTTTATGCCATTAGGGGTGTGTGTGTGTGTGTGTGTGTGTGTGTGTGTGTGTGTGTGTGTGTGTGTGTGTTTGGTAGGTGGGGCTCTTATTTGGCTTAGCTTCCTTGGTCCATGTTTCTTCAATTCCTTAGCTGTGATTAAGAGACACCTCTCTCCCCATCTTACTCCTGAGCAACCCACAGTAAGTGCTATCTGGCTGCCTCCCACTCCCCTCAACCCTCGGCCCCCCTGCTTGTGAATGGATGGCAGGCTGTGGGTGGGGGGAGGCGGGTTAAGGCAGTGGTGTGTCTTTGTAGCAGAGGGACCCTCCTCGTCAGTCTCTGCATGGACAATGCCTCTGCTGAGTAGCCAGACTCTTAGTTCAAAGAGCTGATAGACACAATTCAAACGAAAAAGGTGGGTCCCTTCTAAGGTCGTCCTTGACTTAGACTTGTACAAAATACCTGCAAATCTGGGCTTCTCTTGCTTCCTTGACTTTGTGGACACTTGGAGGGCGGAGACCACCCTCTTGTTCATCTTTGAATGTTTAGCATGTTCCACTAAAACACATTTTGGGTTTTTTCAAAACAAATGAGTGAATGGATCTGTAACTGACTATGTGGACCTTGTGATTGCCTGCTGAATGGGTGCTATAAGAAATCTTTGGAAGAAGAAAGCAAAGTGAAGTGTGGCAAGATGGTGTAGGGCACAGGGTAATGTATGAGGTGGCAAGAGAACAGGGTTGTCCTCTGAGGTCTGGAAGGCCTGTGGGATAAATCCATCCTAGAATTTGCTGGCAAAAGTAAAAAACTTCTCTCTCAATAAACTGTTTTTACTTTTTTCTTTATCAAAACAATGTAACATATTGAATCTATCATATTTCTTGTGGAGTTTGGCCCTATAGCATATGGCATTAAAATTAAGATAAAAAATTAGTCTGTTTTAGAATACAGGGACGAGGAGAGAATTTAACTTCCCAGTACCCCTGAGGGGTTCTTGGCCTCTGTATGCATTATAAGGTTTGCATTATAATATATTTATATTTGATTTTAGCTAAACTTTTTTGGAATAGAGTTAATAATTTTGAATAACTTTCTGCCTGTGAATGCTAATTCAATTTCTAAACAAGAAAATCATTTTAATTCAACTATTTCAATGGCAAATACATCTGAATGCTTTCTGGATGATTTCTGAAAAATCTGTAAATTAGTTGGTGACTATTTCATTGATTTGAGTACTTTTCCACTAGGATCTTCAACTCACAAGCTCAGTCTAGAAGGCCATCCCCTCCAACTCTATCTCATGCCTTGATTTAAACCCCTCTGATGCCAGGACAGGCACTGCCTCCTGGGGCCTCCAGTTCATAAATATTGACAGGGTATACCTTAGATTGAGCCATTCTTTATCTATCTCTAGGTTATTGGCCCACATTTGGGGTTAATGCTTAGCATCATGAAGAATGTGCTTTTCTCTGGACTGTGTGAGCACCCTTAGAGGTCTATCTCGGTCTGCTACAATTGGGTTTGGCATATGGAGAATTATCACCCTGATAGGAGATGATTTTGAATTCTTTTTACATTCCAATTTTTTCCCCTAAATGTGTTCCAATTAGTCTGTGTTGTTGGGCACCGCAATTACTGTTTATTTTTATTCTATGTTTTTCCAAGTTAACTAATTATAAATTCATAGTGTCTCTGGGCTAGGTTGATAGTGGGAAAAATGTATTGCAGAATCTCTCAATTGTGGCTGCTTGAGCTCCAACCACACACAAAAAGAGAGTCTATCAATTGTATGGGAGAAAAGATTTAGGCTCAAAAAAGAAAGGTCACTTTTTCAAGACCACCCCGCATGTTAGGAGCTGTGCCCCTGACAGAACATGGGCATTTGCCTCCTCTGTCCCATGCTCTTCCAGCCATGTCTTCCCCACTACCCCTGCCAGGGCCTCAGTGAAGCTTTCTCCATCATGCTTCAAAAATCAGTGTCTGTCTGTGTACTAGGTCATCTGTTCATTCGCATTTTTATTCACATGTATATCCAATACTTAATGGGCACTGGATGCTGAATGGGCATGTTTACCTGCTATCTGACTTAGCCCTGACAACAGTACTACCAATTCAGCATTTCAGCTCCACTTTACTAATGAGGAAACTGGAGAATGGGGAGAAAAAAATGGCATTTCTCAAATCACACAGTTCGTAAATGGTAAACCTATAATTCAAACTCAGGTCTGCTTTCTGCTCGAAAGGGTGCCGTTCAATGCCAGATATCATGGCTCCACTTCTCAAAGGAAGCACAACTTCTAAACAGGTGGGCCCCTCTTTTGCTCTTCTCCTGCATGTACACTGGGTAGATTCAAAGGTGTCCCTCATTTTTTCCATCTTCCATGAGGGATGTCCTAATCACCCCCTTTCCACAGGATCATTCTCTCTTCCATCCTGGCCTGCAGGGAGCAATTTGCACACCCTCCCCAGTGACTTCCCCATCCTCCAGCCCCATCCTGGTGAGGCCCTGGAGTTCTCACATTCCTTCCCACTGGGCCTCACATGCTCCCCTTCCTGCAGCTCTTTCCAGGCACCCCCGCCCTCACAGATGTTTACATGTTCAGGCTCCTTTCTGCCACAGGGTAGCCTTGGCCTCTTTCAGGAGATTGCTCCATATAATTGTTTCTAGCGCACAGCTGGGGACAGGCCCAGCCTTTCTCCCAACCTTCCCCCTCGCCCCCCGACGGCTTCTGAGAGCTGGATGTACCAAGAAGCCCACTGGCTGGCTCAGACCCACCCTCATGACTGAGCCAGTCCTGACCCAGTTCGAAAATATATCAGGCCCATGATAGCACTCAATTCTAACTTTCCATGTGATTTAGACAAATCACCAGACTTCTCTGTGTGCTTCCTTATACTTCAAGTACCAATTCCAATACTTGCTTTATAGCAGAGGGAGGCAGTGAGCATCAAAATAGGTTTTAAAAACAACAGTGATAACAACAGCAGCAAAACATTAGGCACAGGCACATTGTTTTTACTGATGAACTATGGGCTGCCTGTCACACATTGGCAATGGGGAGCTGAATGCTAACCAACCATCCCTGCCCCCAAGGAGTTCATAGCCTCAGGAAAAAAGAATAACAAAAACCAGCCACGTGAACAATGAGCTCTGCAAAAAGTCTATATGTTTATAATACTTGCAACTAAAAGTCATTTCATTCCACAGCCTCTTTTGAATTTATTTTTATAACAACCCTGCTGGGTACATGCTATGAATATTCCTCTTCCAACAGAGGAAACTAAGTCCTAGCAAAATGGAATCATGAATAAGAGCAGAGTCAGGATTTGAACGGAGGGGATTTTGCTGTTGCTTTTTGTTTGTTTTTGTTTTGTTTTGTTCCTAAAGCCTTTCATTGCTTTTGATCACTTTTCAGCCCAGAGTCACAGATGGCTGTGCTTTTCCATCCGGGCCACTTAATCTGATGGTAATGCACCATTTCTAAGAAGAGTTCTCTACTATTTCCCATGATATTTCCTTCCAAGTTGTTGACACCATTCTGCAGATTTTGATGCTGGTGGTAAATTCTCTAATGAAGACTATTTGCTTCATTGATGTCAAATTACTGCCTTACTGCTCTTATTTTTTGCCTTTTTGTGCACACAAATAGATTTTTGTTTTAATATGGAATCATAAAATCATCTCTTCAAATATATTTTAAACGCAGTTAAACTCAGTATGTGTAATACTAATCATATAACCTAATGAACTAAAGTGGTGATAATGTGTACAACTCTGAGCCCACATGTGACCCCAGTAGCAACTACATCGCAATTGCCACCACCTGGCTAGCAGCAATTTTAAGATGCATTCTGATACAAAAGATGCTAAAATCTGAAAAGTACATGATTTAGAATACACAAAACACAGTATAGTTTTTTCTTTTCCTTTTAGTAAGAACTCTGGATTTTTTTTTTTGGCTAGCCTGTAAGATCCTTTGAAAAACTGGGTCTCACATATGCATACTTGGCATCTAGGATGCAAAAGAAAAATACGGGAAGCGGGAAGCTACAGTGTGCCAGAAATAGGTTATCCATTGCCACATGTGTTGTTTAGTTGGCTTATTACAATAGCCCAAGGGTAGCCTGCACTTTCCCCACTTTACAGAGTGTTTTTTAAAAGTATACTGGGTACACCTTACATAGCTTAAGACACATAAGAGGCATTCAATAAATGTGTGCTGGTGAAATGAAAGAATATGTAGAGATTAAATAACTTGGTCATGTTCAGGCAGTTAGTTGACATTGAATCAGAAAATTGACTCTTGACTGGTCTGACTCAAAGGCCCATTCTTTGGCAATTGCTAGTCTGGCTCCAAGCGGGTGACTACGAGGTCTGGCAACTAATGGGAGACAAAAATATTTACTGTGTCAGTTAGAAGGAAGAAGGAAGGAAGGAAGAAAGAGAAGAAGAAAGGAAAAAGGAAGGAGAAGAAGGAGGAAGGAGGAAAGGGAGGAAGAAAGGAAGGAGGAGAGGGAGGGAAGGACAGAAGGAAGATCGAAGGAAGAGGTGAAAAAAAGAAAAAAGAAAGGATGAGAGAAAGATAATAAGAAGCAAGAAAAAACAGAAGTAAAAACTGAGAAAAGGGAAGGGAAAAGGGAACGAAAAGACAGGCAAAATGGAAAAAGAGGAAAATGAAAGAAAAGGAAGAAAGCAGGGAAGAAAGCTGTCAGTAATGGCTAAACATTAAGAAACTGGATTAGAAAGATAGTGTTTTTGCAAAGCCAATGTTGGCTTTCCTCCAGATTTCACTAGTTTTACAGTTATTCTAGAAAGTTCTCTAAACATCAAATTTTGAAGGAAGGAACCAACACTGCAACTGCTACTTGTTTTCAGGTTCTTGACCAACAGAGGCTTAATGAGTAATGTATTTGCTCAAAGTGAACTGAGGAAAGCAGTACTTAAGAACGCCTCTCACTGGTCAGCTAAGTGAGACAGTAAACCACCCAGGACGTTATATATCCTGTGCATATGTTTAAACCGGTGACTTGGGAAGAAACTGAAAGTTACTTTGTATAGTGAAACTTCCAGGCATAGTTTACTCAGTCTACTCAATACTGAGATCTAAGCCTAACTCCACAGCACCCGTGGGAGTGCTCTTTAAAGAGGAAGATGAGCTTTGAGCACTTTTTTTTTTTTTTTTTTTTTTTGAGACAGAGTCTCGCTTTCGCCCAGGCTGGAGTGCTGTGGCACTATCTCGGCTCACTGCAAGCTCCGCCTCCCAGGTTCATGCCATTCTCCTGCATCAGCCTCCCGAGTAGCTGGGACTACAGGCACCCGCCACCATGCCTGGCTAATTTTTTTTTTTTTTTTTTTGTATTTTTTACTAGAGACGGGGTTTCACCATGTTAGCCAGGATGGTCTCGATCTCCTGACTTTGTGATCCGCCCCCCTCAGCCTCCCAAAGTGCTGGGATTACAGGGGTGAGCCACTGCACCCGGCCAACTTTGGGCATTTTAACCACAGTTCAGCATAATGAGAGAGATGGTGGCTGTTATCATAGGCAGAGATTTTCTTTCTCCTTCATTTCCATTACTCAATTAATTCTTGCTTTTGTTCTGTGTTTGTTAAAGTTGCCATTAAGGTCAGAAAAATTCTTTATATAGAAAACAAAACAACAACAAACACCAGTGTGGTACTGGAGGAGTACTGGAATAGGAGCCAGGAGGTCTTGGTTCTAATCTTGCCTTTGCTACAGGTTTGCCACCTGACCTTGGACAAACTGCTTTATCCCTCTGGGTCTCCTCACAATCAAAATCCATGAATATTTAAGCTGTGACACATTTGGAGACGCACTGCTGAACACATAATATTATTATGCAGCCCAGTGTCTCAGAGTTGCCATCCATAGTCAAGGAGAGCTTTCTATACTTTCAGAAATAGCATCTCGTTTTTAGATAAGAAGTTTTAATTGAACTATAAAGGAGTAATATGCATTTCTTTTCTTTCTCCATTTTTCCTTTTTTCTGAGGCAGGGTCTCGCTCTGTCACCCAGGCTGGAGTGCAGTGACAGGATCACAACTTACTGCAGCCTCGATTTCCTAGGCTCAAGTGATCCTGCAACCTCAGACTCCCAAGTGGCTGGGACTACAGGTGCGCACCACCACTCCCAGCATTTTTTTTTTTTTTGGTAGAGATAGGGTCTCACTATTTTGCCAGGCTGGTCTAGACCACCTAGGCTCAATCAGGTATCCTGCCTTGACCTCCCAAAGTACTGGGATTACAGGTATGAGCCAGGGTGCCCAGTAGTAACACCCATTTCTGATAGAAACTTTGGAAAATATGGACAAAAGCAGGAGAGAAGGAAAAGGTAATCCTGTCATGCAGAGGTAACCATGATTGTTTTGATGTACTTTTGATAGTATTTTAAATATATACATTTATAAGCATATTGGGGAACATATTATATTGAGATTTTTAAAGTTTTTAAAAATTATTTATTACTGTAAACAATCTCCTATGCAATTAGTCTTCAAAAAATGATTTTTAGTGACTGACCACATAGGACTCCATCAAATGGATTAAGTGTAATTAATTTGAACATTTTTCTATTCTTGGTCTTTTCAGTTATTTGGGTTACTTTTGCTATTATAAAAATGCTGTGGTGACTACATATTTGGAAATATGAACGTATTCATGCCTTTTCAAATAACAAATTGGAAGGATAAGAATTACTGGGTTAAAAAACTAGGCCAATTTTAAATTGTCCTGCAGAAAAGTTGCAGCAATTTATCTCACCAGAATGTTCTGAGGATGTTATTGTACACCTGCTTACCAATGTCAAGGAACATGTAACAACAGCAATAAGAAAAACACAACACATTCTCTAACCTACTGAGAGCAGATTTTATTTTACTGATGTGTTTATATTCATTTCACTGATTATTCGTAAAGTTAACGTTTTTATTTCACATTTGCTTGCCACTTGCAAGACTTCTTTTGTAAAGTGCCTTTTGTATTCTTTGAACACTTTTCTATTAAGGGGGAGTGGATGTTCAGGCTTTTCCTATAGCTTTAAAGCCCTTACATGATGAGGATGTAAAACATCGCTATGCTTGTGGTAGATTTTTTTTTGCCATATTTTATTTTATTATTGTTTAAGGTGTTCTGTTTATAATATCTAAGGAAATATATTTTTAGGACAGAAGTCAAATTCCCTGAAGGCATGGAAATATAGCACTTCCCACCAGAAATACATTCTTTTGGTATTAGCACAGAGCTTTTAAAACAATAAACATGAGATTCACATCAGAATTGTCTCTCTCATTTTTTTTTAAGTGAGGTGCAATTCTCGGCCCATAACAATAGCAAAGTCTATAATTTTCATCTTTTAAGTCTATAGCTTTTTAAAAAATAATGCAAAGTATCTAAAGAAGAATGCAAAAATCACTTTAAAAGTTATGTTTTCCATCTCTTCTCTCCATGAAGCAGAAATCACTGTGAAATGGAAGGCATCATGAAGTTAGAACATTCTTTCATGAGGGAGTATTACTGTTCCAGAAGAGCCTAACAAGATATAACTGGAGGGATGGAGTCTTTCCAAAAATTGGCAAAAATGAATAAAAGCTTTAGTCTGAATCCCATGAAGCAGATGGATTAATGCTTCTTAGAACTGGGAGCTTAAAATTTGGATTTTTAAGCATCACTAATTTTTCTTTTATGAACCCTGTCCCATTTTAACTCTTTAGGATTGTAAGTCTATGTATGCATTCTCCTCTTTTTTTTGATATCCTGAATACTTACATGCCTCCTTCCCTCCGTCAACCATGGAGCTTGCCTCTGTGCTCCCCAGCTGGCACCTGGTCAGCAGGGGCCGCCATGGTTTTACTGTTCATACTTTTAATGTTAAGCTATGGCCTAACCAGCTCCTGTATGCCATACACCTGGCCCAGATCCTCCATGCAGGTGACCTAATATCACATTTGCCTTCCTACAAAAAGGAAAATAAAATAAACCATGTATAACATCTCACTGAGATATAACTACTGCTAACATTCTGCTGCCCTTCCCTCCAACATTTCTTCCTTCCATGCTATGTATAAATATTATACATGCTACTGTTTTCCACTGGTTCATTTGAAATTACATTGTCATTATTTTCCCAAACTGTAATTTTTAGTGGGTATAGGAAAATTAATTGAACTATCCTCAACAATAGGTAGAAATTTAGGATGCTTTCTATTTTTCCCTACTTTTGGTAGCATTGACAGAACAACCTAGCATTCATGGCTTTGATTGCAATCCAGTTACTTTCTTAGGGCAAATTCCTAGAGGTTCCAACGTTGTCTTATGTGGATATATAACCCCCTTAGCATACAGATTAAAAACAATACGAAAGAAATCAAAGCATGTTTGTTTGTTTAGAAATGTTTACATTGAGAAGAATGTTTTGGTACATACCAATATTTTACCTTGTGTTTTATAGGATGTGTATGCATATTTCCAATTTCTAAAAGTCATGATTATGACCTAATTTTGCATAACAGGAATTTGAGGAGCAGAGGAAAGGGGAAAACATTAACACAGTTTCTAATACAAATGCCAAGAGGCTCCAACTAGAGAATTATTTTCACCAGAGTTTCTAACCCTTGACTTCTAGGCCTTTCTACTCTAGGAGAAGTGACAAGATTATCCCCAGTCTGAAAACTAAGGAAGAAAATCCTGTTTAGCTGAGAGGAGAGGAGAGGCTGGCAGGGGGGCTGATGCAGGAGGTGATAGGGCTCCCGGTGATAAGAGGTGAGAAGAACAGTCTCTGTGTGCCTAGAGAAGAGATTACCAGAAGTCTGCTATCTGTTTGTTCGCGGATGTCGGACAGGCAGGATCGGTGATGGCAGGTCTTGGGGGAAGGATTATCAGGAGCTAAAAGCTGTCTTCACCTTGGCTGCTAAGAACTCATCTCGGATCTTCTTAGAATTCCAAATCGGACTTTTCTCCTAGCAGTGGCTACATCCTTAACCTCAAAAATACCCGTATTAGCAGATCTACCTCCATGAAATAGACAATTCTTGACAAACTAGTCCCAGCCTATCATGTCCTGCTTCTCCCTGCTTCCCTCTCCCATCAGTGCACTTGACTCTGTTCTGTGTTTCCTGGTTGGAGCAGTCATGGCGCTTCATGTTTCTAGGCCTGTGCTTAATGCTATTCCCTCTGCCTGGAGGGCCTTTCTTCCATTTGGCTTGCTGGAATCTCTGCCTTACTCCTAAACTCCTGAATCATTTTCCTTCCTAGCTCCATAGAAATAATTGCTCTCATCTTGTTCTTCATCAGAAGAATTGATGCTGGGGATATGCTTCCACTACAGCAATATTTCACTGCAGCATAGGTTGTGACGTTGTCTTTCCCATGAGTCTGGACTCCTTGAGGGCAAGATCTGTACCTTAAAATGATCCTTATAATTTTAGGTTCTCGATTAAGTCTCTGACAACATGGATAGCAATAAATATGTTTTTACTGAGGCAAAGAAAGGAGAACACATGAAAAAAAAGGGGGAGAAGGAAAAAAGAGAGAGAGGAAAAGATAAATGCCAATAAAATGTTTACTAGATTGAATTTAAGCGGCAGTTTATGTTAAAAGTGTAAGTACAAGTATGTTTGGATTTGGTGTCTAAGACCTGGAGCTGTATGAACGTGTGAAAAATCTCTCAAACTGAAGATTAATTTAACTCTCTGGAACATGGCCAAGAAGAGTTTGAAGGAAGTAAAAAAAGGCCTATGAAGAACATGCATAAATATATGAAACTCATGCACGAAATCCTCTGAACAGGAGGGTTTTCCTACTTGTCAAGACCTCTCTCAGAGAGGGCTTTTTCTCTGTTGTTTATGTATTTGTCTTCTGCCCTGAGAAGTTAAGTGTATTTCCAAGAGCATATATATTTCTTTTCTTAAGCATTAAACGTTATATGAATCATTTGCATAAAGGGGGTTACATTTCATTTAGGAAATGGCATTTCAATTCCCAGAAGTACTAGTATGTGGAGATTAAAATTCAACTGCAATGCAGTGCACTGCTCTACCACATACCACGTGGGGCGTGCCGGTCTCCCAAAAGCCATCTGCAAATGTGTGAATTAAGAACAATGGGATGTTTATGACTCCTTACCAACCTCCTGTGAAAGTGAAGTGGAGATTTGTTTTCACAAAAATCCAGTAGAAAATGTCAAATTTGTAGGTGATGGAAGGGAACTTCATTCCATAAAGTCACTTTGAATTGAAACTAGACCTCCAGTCGGAACGTCTGAGCAGACTCCTGATCGCATCTTAGCTGAGTTCTACCGAGGATCATGCTCCCCCATGCAGCCATCCTTCGTTTTCTCTACTATTATCTATTGTTCATGTGTCTTTTCAGAGGTGTTTTAGTCTAATACAGGGAAATACACATATGTGTGTACATATGTGTGTGTACATATACATATATGTATAATACTATATATTATATTTATGTCACATATATTTATACATACAGTACACTTGTTCTACATGTGCACCCTCCTCCATGATTTTTGTCTCCTTTTTGATATAAATGGTAAATATCACATCCACTGTTCTGCAACTTGCCGAAGTGCCGTTGTTCACTTAACAATATACCTCTGAGAACATTCCATATCATTATGTAATAAACTAAGTCATTCTCTGTTACAGATGCAGAGCATTTTAGTGTGTGCGATCTTCACTTCACTAGTCCTATATTGAGGTCCATTAATGTGGTTTCTAATCTTTTGTTATCATAAGCAATGCTGCGGTGAATAGCTCTAAATATACTTCATCCTGCATAGTTGGTTTTGTTTAGTTTTAAAATACGTTTGTAGAGGAGAAATTGTCGAATCAAAGTCTAAGTGTGTTTATAATTTTCTTTTCTGGAATACTTTTTATATAATTTACTCTTTGACTAGCTGATACATGTATGTGCTACACAATTCAAAAGGAACAAAAGGATAAATCCATGTCTGTGGTACACAATTCAAAAGGAACAAAAGGATAAAGAGTGAGAATGAATCTCCCTCGTTTTCCTGGAGGAACCAGTTCCTCTTTCTTTTTTATTTTTACATTTTAATTATTTATACCTTATGTATGTTTGTTTCTGAGGATATTCAATGTATGCATAAGTAAGCAGTGTGTCTGTACACATACATACATGCAGATATATGAATACGTATGCATGCATATGTAAGTATGCACACGCACATTTGTGGGAGTGTGAATACAAGCATATAAGCTTATACATGCATGCATATGTATATGTGTGTGTGTGTGTGTGTGTGTGTGTGTGTGTGTTTTCAGCGTTTCAATGTATGAGTTCAGAAAGCTGTTAGCCAGATACTGGTTAATAGATTGGCATCAGACATCTGTTTACTCACTGATCTTTGAAACATGCTTCCTTATTGGCTCATGACTCAGTCTCAGTTATAGGTGATGATACTTGGGCTTGTGATTGTGTAAAATATGGGAAGCCTCACATATTATTGTTTGGGTGATGATTTGACAACGTGTGTCAAATTTTAAAAGGCACTTAGCTTTTGGTTTAGTAATGCCACAGTTAGGGAATTTACCTAACATGGATTTTTGCATATGTTCACCAAGATCAGTGTAAATATTTGAAGCAACATTTTTGTCAAATGTAAACAGCAAAAAACACAAAGCCTGGCAAAAATTAATGAGCTTTTCAATGTTAGACTGCTTCAATCAATTATGGTATATCCTTAAATGCTGTGAATTGTCTATAGAAAACAAACACAATGTAACAATACCAAAAGAGCTCCAAAAAAATTCTAGGATTAAAAAAGGCAAGATATAGAATGTGTAGTAGGAATTTGTCGTGAAAATGAAAAAGCAGCTATATGCACATTTGTAACTTTTATGGTGGTGGCCTTTGAGAAGAGCAAAGAGTGGGTATGGAAAGACCTTACTTTTCATATAGCACTTTCTGTACTCTCTCTCTCTCTCTCTCTCTCTATATATATATATATATATACACACACATATATATACATATATATACACATATATATACATATATATACACATATATACACACACACATATTATTTTTAAAATGTATCAGTAGATGTCAATGGTAATATATCTTGGAAGGGAGCTAATGAGCTGTTTTCTTTTGTCTTTGCTTTTACTCCTCCATATTAAAATATGTATATTTAAGATGAAAACAAAAGAATCATAAATGTAAGAGAAGAAAACAATTACCCAAACTTAAAGATGTAGTGTGGCTTTTAGCCAAACAGTGGTGTTTATGTCCTTCTCTGGATTGGTTTCACCAAAATCGCATTGGAAGCTACATAGAAATGCAGATTTTAAGGATCAGTTCCTGGAGATTCTGATTCAGGAGGGCTAAGGCAGAAGTCAAGGTACATCAAGGAAATGAATAGCAGCAACAAAAAAATGTTGGTGCCTAGTTTCATGCGGGAACCACTAGCCAGGTCAAATGCTGTGGCTCAATTTCTTCATTAAGTAATTCTCAGATTTGGAGTTGGGATGCCAAGTTACTACGCCTTCTCCTATATAACCAACTCATTGTTATCATTTTGATATATTTGTGGGATAGTATAGTGTAGTAGAAAACATTGGGCCTTTGAAGCCAGAAGTAACTGGGTTTGAATTTTGACCCTAAAAGATGCTCACTGAGTAACAGTAAGAAATTATCCAACTTCTCTGACCTAACAAGTTTAGAATAAGAATCAGAGATACTACATATAAAAATTTAACAAAATATGTGGGATATAGTAGTGCTCAGTAAGTGATAGCTATTATTATTTCTAGAGGCAGAAAAAATACATGTGTATCTTTTTTCTTATTTTATATGCTAGCATATAACAGGTGTTGGCAGTAAAATTATCTGTGTTTAAAATACACTAAGTACAAAAGCACTGGAAGAGCCACAATTTAGGGCAAAGCAGGGGCTCTTATGCAGTCCTACTCTTATACAATAGCTTTCAGAAAGCTACCTACCAGGGCTCTCAGAGGACTTTTAATCATGCTCATCTCAAATGCAGTGTGATTTCATCCCAGATTAGAGCAGCAACTGAAATCCCAGGGAGTGGGAAATTGGTAATCAATCACAGCATCTAGAATTTAGAGAGGAAAAAGTAATATTCAACATCATTTTGTTCACCTCCTGCCCAGATGTTGAGTTCCCTGGGGCATTCAGGCATATTTTAAAGACTTGCTTTTAAATACTCCAAGGGTGTCGTGATACTGAGTAGAGACAGTTAAGAGTTGGAAGATACCTCAGGGACTACCTCCTTATTAGTTTATTCATTAATTTATGCATCCAGCACACATAACTCTAGCCCTCCATGATTTAGCATTTATCGTGAACTAGGAATTATGGGAATCACTTTCCATCTATAATTTCCAATCCTTCAGCCACCCATCAAGAGAGGTGTGGTTGCCACATCTTAAATTTGAAAAACTGCAATTCGGAGAGTTGAAGGAGCCTACCTGAGGTGATGCCATTCACTAGGGGTGGAGCTGGCGTTGGGAGCCATGTTTGTCTGGATACAGAAGCCGTAATCTCTAACTCACTCTACCTAGAGTACTCTCTAAGTACACTACATGCCGGACAGCTGTGCAATGACCCTTTGCCCACCGAGTAGCACAGCGATGTGGCGGGTGACCTTGTGGCCAGGAAGGACAAGTGGCTGGCTCAGGAGAGGTTCCTCTAGTTCTGCTACTTGAAAACTGAGTGACTTGGGCCCACCTCTCAGTCGAGCTGCCCTGGTTTTAGGGTTTCAAATGAAATAGAAGTCCAGTAGAAGGGAAAAGATTACTGAGAGCTTGGGATGGGAGGGGCTTGTATTCTTCCTGGTCCCTTTTGCTCTAATCTCTTTTCTCTCGAGTCAAGTTAAGGTTATTTCACTGTCTCATATTGCCGTTCCTGTTTCACAGTGCATTGTCTGAGATGTGAAGTACGCCTTTGTTTTTCTTCTGAATTTTTTCCCTTCAAAATAGCATGCACATCAGATATTATTTGAATGTGTGGTAGCGTTGACAGGCTGTTTTCTGGTCCCCTTTTCTTATTAGAAATTTAGTTCTCTATGTTCTATACTCAGCTCCTTGCTGAACTTATACGTTTTTTCCCCATAAATCCTATACATTCTCTTTCAGGGCCATTAAGTCCCATAAAGGCGATGATTCGGGGAGACCCACTTTCCTGGGCAGCTAAGCCATGCTAAGGGATGAATGGAGAAGCATAGGTGGATGGAGCCGCATGGACCACTTGCTCTCAGAGGGTCTTGGACTCTAAGTGAAGGCATGTGTGCCTTATGGAGTAAAGCACAGCTCTGCTAGAGGGTTCCACACAGAGGAGAGGCTGCATCAGCTTTAGAAAGTTCCCTCTAGTGACTGTTAGAAGATGCGTAGAGACCATCTTCTACTTGTTGAAATGATATTATAACCATGGTACCATATCCCTTCCTGTCTCTTGGCAAACTACATGGCCTTGCAATTACTATTAAAAGCAAGAAGACTCTTCAAGTATTTTGTAGACCATCAACAAAATGATTAAAAGGTCAAATGTAAGGCTCGGTTCAGGTTCAAGTTCAAGGTGGGTAGTAGGTTTTCAAAGGTGAGGTTTTCTAAGCAGGGAACTATCAGCTATTACAAAGGAGGCTTATGTTTTTGGAAACCAGAGTTTTGATTTGCACATATTTATTTTCATTGCTACCTCCCTCCCTCTCCCCAGCAGCGCCCAATGTCTACCACCACTGCCCTCACTTCCATCTTCTTCCAAGCTATGGGCCCTGAACCCTCAGGGAGGAGGAGACCAGTCTGCCTCACCTTGGCCTCTGAAAGTCAAACAGCAGGCTCCTGTCTCCATGTTTAATGAGGAAAGCCCCAAGTCAGGAAGACTGGTGCCCAGGTTTTATGGAGGCTCTGGGCCAAATGGCTTAGCCAGGAATTCAACCAGCACTGCCCTCTGTCCCCTGGGAGCTGCAAAATGCAAACAGCGCTGGTAAAATGGGAGAGCACTTTCCCAAGCAGGAGACTGGAGCTTTTAATGAGCTGAAGTGAGCCTGCCGCTGTCTTCCCCCGGTCCTCTAGTCTGGCTAATTAGATTCCCGGCTGCACAGAGTCCTTTGATGGCCCAGAGACACCACACAGGGTGGAGGCTCAGGGGGTCAGCAGCCCTGGATTGAGTTGACAGTAATGAGTAAGCCACACGATGGGATTTCAGGCGTTTTGGAATATTTCTCTTCCTTTTCACCCTCTCCCCATTCTTCTTTCCTCCAAGTCATGCCTCAAATTCCACTAATGACAGTTTTTAATTTTTCAAAGAAAGATGTAATGGCCAAAAGAGGCATGTGCATTTCCCTGAAGAAAGATATGATATACTCTCAGTTGTGTCATTCATGCATTCATTCTTTCTTTTATTTTTTTCTTTTTCATAGACCTAGTGAGTTTCTAGGCTAGAGATTGAGATACAGGGATGGCTTTGTTTTATATTTAAGAAAGAGAGGTAACCAAGTACTTAAAAAAAAAAATCACCAAATAATTAGGAAAGTGACCACAAGAACATTGCAGATAGAACATAGTAGTTAATGAAAGTTGGGTGTAAAATATTATAGGAGAAACTGGACTGAGTTTTATAATTTCTTTAATGTTAAAACACAAACAAAAATATCAAAATAAATGAGAATTGATGAGTTGAAAGGATGGAAAGGACATTTTGGAAAGTTGAAACAACATGAGCAAAAAAGAAATGCTTGAAAATGACAAGGAAGTCCAAGTGGTTCTGCATGATGAATGTATGAACTCTGACCTGAAGGCCCCCCTCAGCAGTCAAGAGTCTGTCTCCATGTCTTCAATGTGCTTGAGCAGGTAACAGGAGGAAGGGCCTCTTTACTCTCAGCTCTGACAGCCATCCATGGCTAGAGGTACTTGATATAATTTTCAAAATGTGGGTCTGTGGTAGACTGAATATTTGTGTCCCTCCCAAATTCATATGTTGAAGTCTTAACCCCCAGTGGGGCTGTGTTTGGAGATGAGGCCGATAAGGAAATCAATGAAGTTAAATGAGGTCATAAAAGTACGGCCCTGATCTGATAAGGATTAGTGTTCTCATAAGAGGAGATACCACAGAGCTTCCTCTCTCCCTCTCTCTCCATGCACACACCAAGGAAAAGTCATACGAGGACACAGTGAGAAGGCGCTGTCTGCAAACCAGGAACAGAGACCTCACCAGAAATGCAATCAGATGAAAATTTATCTTGGACTTTTCATCCTTCAGAACTGTGTGAAGATAAATTTCTGTTGTTTACAGTGGCACAGTCTATTTATTTGTTTGTTTGCTTTTGTTATAGCGCCTGAATTGACTTATACAGGGCCCCAGGAGCCACTGAGATGGTCGTTTTGCCTTTACTTTTGCTCGCAGAGGCATGCATTCTTTGTAGGAAAAATCACCTCCTTTTAATTGTTGTTCTTCCCAGGGATTTCCTGCCTTTCCTTTAAGATGAATGGGTATCCCTTTCCTTTGTTATGAGATTCCTATTGGAAGATAATTCTTTTCCTTGTGCTTAACGTCAGGCTTGGTCAGGTGACATAATCTGGCTAATAGATGATGAGAGAAAGCAGCTGTAAGAATCACTGCCATGAGAATAACATGTTTCAGGCAGAAGCTGCTGCTTTAACCCAGATCCCAGCATAAAGAAGATGCATGAAACTAAGTCATAGCTGCTGCAGTCAGCACTCAGTGACCGCAGCTGATATAAAATGTAAGAGAAGCCATAAACCTTTGTTGGTCTTGGGGTTGTTTGTTACTACAGCATAATGAAGAGAATGCTGACTCATACTATCAGCATAAACTGTGATTCTGATGACACACATTATATAGCTTCCTATTCCTTTCTTTGTCTCTCATATTTAGACTATCAGGCTTTCCCCATACCACCTCCATCTGCCCTTTTTCATAAGGATAGATTTTTTTTTTTTTCTTAACTGTCAGTACTAAGCTCAGGCCTCCATTTCACCAGGCGTCTTCTCCCAGGGCTTTGTAGGACAAACCCATTGTTGATGTCCCTAATGTCCTGTGCACAGCTTCATCACTGCATTCACCAAGAAAAACAGAAAGAACCTGCCTCTGCCTCTGTCTCCTCAGCCAGACTTAAAGGGCAGAAATCTTGTGTGATTCATTACTCTTCACAACATCTGGCTAAGAGCTGGCACATAAGCTGTTTTTAAAATGAGCCATCTTGGCCTGGTGTGGTGGCTCATGCCTATAATCCCAGCACTCTGGGAGGCCGAGACAGGCAGATCACCTGAGGTCAGGAGTTCGAGACCAGCCTGGCCAACATGGCGAAACCCTGTCTCTACTGAAAATACAAAAAAAAAATTAGCCAGGGATGGTGGTGCACATCTGTAATCCCAGCTATTCAGGAGGCTGAGGCAGGAGAATGGCTTGAACCCAGGAGCCGGAGGTTGCAGTGAGTCAAGATTGTGCCACCGCCCTCCAGCCTGGGTGACAGAACGAGACCCTCAAAAAAAAAAAGCCATCTCTGTGTCACAGAAAGTTCAGTCCCTAGAATTTCTGTTCTAGTAGATCCAGTCTGTTCAGACACCTATTTGGCTTAAGAGCCCCATTCTGTGTGGATTAAGGAAGGCTGTGCCCAACGTTATCATAGTGAGATCAGGGAGTAGAACCATGAATGTAAAGGAAGGAAATTCAATGCGCTGGCTACCTATCAAAGTCATAAACAAGTTTGATTAACAAGATGAACACGTCCTCCACTGCACAGATGGTGCCACATCTCCCGCTCAGCAAGGCTGACCTGAGGGATTTCCAGGTGTTTGTGTCAAGGCAAAGAGGGGCAAGAGAGAAAGATCAGGAACAAGTTGGCAAACATGCAGTTCTCCAGCCCACAGACTGCCTCAGTTTCCTACCCAAATGTGCTCATACATGCACACTTGTCACAAATCAAAAGATTGCCTGGGTAAAGATGAAATAATCTAAATGGCTATACTAAAATCAGCACAGATGAAGTGTTGTGCCTAGCACAACATATATACTCAGTACACGTGGTTTAATTTTTGAATCTGATTTTAATTCAGTCTAATAATAAAAAGACTAGCAAAATGATGCTATTTGGAAACAAATGATAATTAGATTGAAATTTGTATTTAATTCCTCAGAAGTATTTGGGCTTTGAAGAAAAAAAGTATTTAAAAAATACTTGTGTACTTTTCCTGTGTATATTGCTGTGCTAAATTTGAGAAAATAGAGATAAAAAGATAAATTTACCTTCTTCAAGTACCTTTGAGTCAGATGAGGGAAACAAATCTCAAAACAAATGCATTCAAACATTCGTTAGAGTTGCTGTCATAGGCTTTTCTAAAGGGAACAATGGAAGTACAAAGAGGGAGTCATCAATGTTAACTTGATAGGTCGGGAAAGTCTCAAAGAGATAATAAATGGTATGAGTTTTGAAGGATAAGTTAGTGCTCGATGGTGAATATCAGCACACATACTCATAAGACTGATTTGTGGTATAATATGCATGGACTGTAGTTGTAATAAAGAAAAACATCTCCAAACAAATGAATTTCTCTGGGGATGTGGAGAAATTATGCCAGAGAAAATATCAGATATGTAACACTTGATTCAATGTAATTGATTCATTAAACAAAGAATCTTACTGACATCTTCTGATTTCATGGTTTCAGCTTAGATTTGGATATTGGTGAACGAAAAGAGCTTCATTATAACATCACAGACAATAACTTCCCATGTGTCTCCTAGCTTAGTGATTCAACTTAGCTTAATGGAAAGAGAAATGGACTTGGTATTTGAAATACTTGATATGTATCCTTTCCTGATTGTGTTTCACTGGGGAAATACCTGGGACTTAGTTTTTCATCTGTGAAATGGGAAGAAAAGTAACAAAAAATTATTAGTATAATATAAAAATAATAACAAAATAAGGTGGTAGCCACATAATAGTCTATAAGATGGCATAGTGACTTACCATATTAATAAAGCCTATTAAGAATCTAATGACTATTGCTATTTCCAAAAATGAAATTCACAAGTTATTTAAAAACTATGAAAATTTACTGTTCCTTATGAACACTCAAAACACTTTTTCTAGAGTCTGACAGTAAATTAAAAATAAAGTTTTTAATGGCAAAACGGACCACGCCATGCTGTCATCTTGTCTTCCTCTTTACTAATTCCTTACTATGTAGATAAAAAGAATGGATTAAAGAACATTTGGAAATAAAGTACATTCTCTTTTGTATTATGTGGCCTCAAATAAATATATATATTTTTAAAAAGCCCAAGAAGTGTGCAAAATATTCTCACTTTGGTATTAGATTTAACTTCCAGAATCCAAATACATTTTCATTCTCCTACTCAAAGTCCTTGTGCAGCTTTCCATGTCACAAACAGGTAAACTCAGGCCTTTACAGGTGTTCTTTGGCAGTGATAGAGTATTCCTCCCTGTCCAAACTGTGGTTCTGGAAGGGCCAGCTGGTGAGCAACCAGTCCGCAGCACTTGTTGTGAGTTCAGTAGTTGGCTGAGCCCCTGGGTTTGCTCTGATGTTGGCTGGCTGGGTACCCCAATGACTCCTGCTTAGGTGGTCACAAGATGCATCTTCCGGCCAGGTAATTCTTCAATTTAGGATCTGTAGTGGATCAAGGCTGCAGGCTGGTCTCCGCAGTTACGCAGCGTCATTGCTCAAGCCACGTGGGACCAGAGACCATGCTCCTTCAAAATACACAATTGAGGATTGCCTCCCTGTCTGTGTGGAGCCAGGGGGTGGGCTCTTGGCTGAGTTCAGTGGCTGCTTGACCTCTTGGATAAAGCAGGTCTTGCCCCTGTGCTTCTCCAAAATCTGCAGAGGTAGGAGTCTTCCTGCCTGGGCAGGGTTGCTGTGTGCTTTCTGGCTCAATTCTCGTGGTTTGACACATAGCTGAAATGTTAGCCAAATAAAGAATTCAGCAGTGTATGGTCTTTGAAGAACCAGAAGAATGCCTCATACAAAAGGGCTCCCTTCAGGTATTTATTTTAGGTTAACATTCATGATATATCCTAGGGCCTTAACTACATTGGTTTGTATGTGGGTTGTTTTGTGTGTGAATGTGTGAGATACATTTATATCTATTTCTAGAAAGATAAATATACATGACTCAATAGTATAAACTAATGTGTATGTGCATTTGAGGGGAGCAACTGATATTTAAGAGAAATAATTACAAAACATTTAAGATTGATTAGGTTACACTGAGTTGCAATATGGTTAAACAACACATAGTTTATGTCTTTAAATGACATTGTTTTATTTTGATAACTCATATGTGGGGGGAATATTTTGTTATGTTACTAACCATTGTGGTCCTTTTTCAAGAATATGTCCCATTAGCCTATTGACCTCCTGCATCTAGGAAGCCAATTCTATTCCAGCAGAATGCAGAGAGAAAAAGATCTAGGTGACCTAGGGACAAAAGAAAAGATTCAGAATGGGGCCGGGCGCAGTGGCTCAAGTCTGTAATCCCAGCACTTTGGGAGGCTGAGGTGGACGGATCACGAGGTCAGGAGATCGAGACCATCCTGGCTAACACAGTGAAACCCCGTCTCTACTGAAAATACAAAAAAATTAGCTGGGTGTGGTGGCGGGGGCCTGTAGTCCCAGCTACTCGGGAGGCTGAGGCAAGAGAATGGCGTGAACCTGGGAGGCGGAGCTCGCAGTGAGCTGAGATTGTGCCACTGCACTCCAGCCTGGGTGACAGAGTGAGATTCTGTCTCAAATTTAAAAAAAAAGATTCAGAATGGTATTTAGCTGGTTAGATATAATTCGTCATCCTCTCGGTCAATTATTAGATACAGATTGCCTGGCCTGGAAAGATAGGAAGGAACAGAACAGAAGAAGGATGAAGGCAGAGAAGCTGGGGATTCCCAGGAGAGGAATGGATGAAGCGTCTTTGAGAAGAACTGAGTAACTGAGGGTAGAAGAGAGTCAGTGCCAAAGGCCAAAAAGAGGGCAAGGCCTTGATTTTCCCTGTGAATGAGGTGGTCAGAGAAAGAATATCAGACGGGTTTACTGAGGCAGAAAGCTCCAGATCAGTTTTATAAAATCTACTTGCCCGGAGTGACATGGGAAAATACAAAATATTTTCTCTGGGCCTAAGAGTTGTTCAGATAGAATCCAAGAGCGAGCAGACAACAGGGCTCTCACCGGGTAAGAACAAGCACATTGTCACTTATGCCAGTATGGAGAGAGGGCAAGGGCCAATGACAATTGCGGCGCTCTGAATGTTTGTATTCTACCACCCCCATTCATATGTTGAAACCTGATTTCCAGTGTGATAGTACTGAGGTGGGATAATTGGGAAGTAATTGGGTTCCTTATAATGGCATTAGTTTCCTTACAAAAGAGCTCAGAGGAGCTTGTCCCTTCCCTTTTGCCATGTGAGGACACATAGCAGGTGCCTCCTAGGAGAAACAGACCCTCATCAGACATCTAATCTGCTGGTTCCTTGATCTTGGACTTTGCAGCCTCCTGAACTGTGAGCAGTAAATTTCTGTTGTTTATAAATGATGCATTCTTTAAAAAAATTTTTTTTTAATTTCCATAGGATATTGGGGAAAAGGTGTTATTTGGTTACATGAGTAAGTTCTTTGGTGGTGATTTGTGAGATTTTGGTGCATCCATCACCTGAGTAGTATACATTGCCCCCAATTTGTACTGTTTTATCCCTCACCCCCTTCTAATCATAGAAATGCAAATCAAAATCATAATGCGATATCACCTTACTCCTGCAAGAATGGCCATAATCAAAAAATCCAAAAATAATAGATGTTGGCACAGATGCGGGGAACAGGGAACACTTCTACACTGCTGGTGGGAATGTAAACTAGTACAACCCACTATGAAAAGTAGTGGTAGATTCCTTAAAGAACTAAAAGTAGAACTACCATTTGATCCAGCAATTCCACTACTATCTACCCAGAGGAAAAGAAATCATTATACAAAAAAAGATACTTGCACACTCATGTTTATAGCAGCATAATTTGCAGTTGTAAAAATGTGGAACCAATCCAAATTCCCATCAATCGAGTGGGTAAAGAAATTGTGGTATTTACATATGATAGAATACTACTTAGCCATAAAAAGGAATGAATTGATGGCATTCACGGCAACCTGGATGAGACTGGAGACTATTAATCTAAGTGAAGTAACTCAGGAATGGAAAACCAAACATTGTATGTTCTCACTTATAGGTGGGAGCTAAGCTATGAGGATGATGCAAAGGCATATGAATGGACTTTGGGGACTCAGGGGATAAATGATACATTCTAAGGCATTTTGCTGTAGCTGCCTGAATGAACTGAAACAACAATGAAGATGGGACCTATTAGCTCTTTCCAGTACTATCAATGGCTTAGAGCAGTGTATGTGCCTGCTAATTTAGAAAGAGCACCAGGATGAGGGTAGGAGAGCCACTGAATAGACTTAAATTAAATGTCCACTACCTGGTAGAATGGAAATTTGCAAATATGCGTAATAAGTTTGGGTATAGACAGATTAAGTAATTGAATTTGTTTTATTCTTGAGTTTTTGAACTTGGTACTTTTCAATATATCTACATGGGATGGATAGATAAATAGAGATATCAGTATATCTAGATATTAATATGTCTATATAAATCAATATATACCGATCTATATATGAATAAATTAATGTGTCTACATAGGATATCATTTTTTATTTAAATAAAAAAAGTTTGAACTAAATAATATATGAGTTCCCCTTCAGTTATGGCAATCTAGAATCTTGATTCCATAAATGAGAGCTTTATAACCTGAATGTATTTATTTTTATCTTATGTAGAAGCCAAGATATTCTGAAGATTCTTGTAAACCCATTCTTCAATTAAATTCCTCCACCTAGCTTCAACTACAATAAAATACATGCACGGCATACACATACCATTTAAGTAAAATCTTAAAATCCAAACGCTACAGCATGGCTTCTGCAGTTGGGCCCCTATTATCTCTGTATCACCTTCTGCTCTTGTGTCAGTCACTGGCCCTTCTGGTCTGGGAACAACTGTATCAGCACTTGTGTTGGAGCCTTTGACCTTGTTACTTCCTCTGTCTGGAGTGACATTCCCTTAATGCTGCATAAAAGGTTGCTTCTCTTCTTTGAGATCTCAGGACAAATATCACCATTTGTGCAAGGCAATCGTATTGACTGACATACCTGCCCTCTGCATCTTTTTCTTCTTTAACACAAGGCCCTGTCTTGTGTCCATGTCCAAGGCTGCTTGGTTTGGGCATTGCCAATGGCTGCAGGCTGGGAGGATGAGTGTGGGTTGAAATCTGACTCACAGATTCCTCCTGAGCTCTAGAGGAACATCTTCTTTGTATTAGTAAGAGGCAGTATTGAGTAGACAAGCCTTTCATCGCAGTGGGAGTGGTATTTTTCTTCTCTGTTTTGTCCTCCTAGAGGAGACAGTTGTTTTTAATTCATATAATGGCCTATGAACTAGCATGTATTATCTTATATTTTTGTGTTTGGTTTGCTTATTTATTCATCTGCTCTGTCTTAACTTATTTATCATCTGCTTTTACCCAGTAGAATTTACATTCCACAAGGATATGGACCAAGTCTCTTTGGTTCATCTCTGTAATCACAGATTTTAGAATATTGCATGGCACAAATTAGTTGAGAGGATTAGATACCAGGACACCACCTCTATTCATAATTTAAAATATTATTAAATTCACATGCTATGACTTTCTAAGGAATGCCCACCATTTCTCATACTATCTATGAATTCCTTAAATGGACCTAAGTCTTGCTCCCCCACCAATGCCCCACATGTTCTGAGCACTCATCCTTTATTCTTTAGGTTTGCTTCGACCATAATGTTCTTCCTGCTCCCATCTATGCTTGAAGAAGTTCTACTTTCCTGGAGTAAATCTTGCATTTTCCAAGTAGGCTTCTTAGGTTTTGCCCCCATAAGTCTCCCTCCTTTTATGCTTACCAGAGAAATTTTCCAGTGCTCGGGAAATTCTCAGCAAAAAGCCCAGCCTATAGCAGATGCTTGACAAATGCCAGTTACCTTCTCCTGCATCTTGGAATTGTTGATCTAGCCCTTGTCTGTTTTTATAAGAGTAACTTATTTATAGATCATACATCCTCCTTCCCACTCCAACTATACAATTAACTTCTAGAGAAAAACTATACAATTAACTTCTAGAGAAAAAGGACTGTGGGCTTTACATCTTTGTATTACCTGCTAGGCACATGCTAAAAATACTGAATACTTTGTTTTTAGTAAAAAAAAAAAATAATGGCATAATTCTTAAATGCTTTAACAGTGGACCTCACAAGGACATGCATGGTGGTAGAGTTGGAGAACACCTGTGCACCCCTCATTATTCTGGTGCATAGACAAAGGTGGACTATTATACAGCAATTGGAAGTAATGAGTATGTGGCTGATGGCTGGACGTTAACAACATAGTGTGTGGTGAAAAAGAAACATAATGGGATATAAAAAATGCCACTTACAGGAATTAAGATGCATGCCTAAAAAATGATAGCACACACAGTGTATAAGGACACACAGACGTCAACATTAATCAGAATAGAATTGTTGCTGATAGTGGGGATAGGAGAATTAGGAGTAAGAAATGGTGAGAAAGGGAACTCAAAAAGTAAATAAACAAATACATTAACAAACAAAAATAGGACTGGGACCTTCCACATGCACTTGTTGATAGCAAGCCATGAACATAGAAGCGTGGTTAACACATGCCTCTGCCTTTGTTATATCCAAACAACAAGGGATAGCAAATACCATGAGAAACAATCGCAAATACCCTCTCAGGCAGCAGCCTCTGGTGCTCTCCTTTCTTCCCCACTCAGCCGGGGGATGGTGCCCATTCTTGGAGCATTTGGAGGTCCTCTGTTTACTTTCATCATCGGTCCTCTCTCAAGAAATTTCAGTCTTCTTTGCATTTGTTTGTGCAAACTTGGCAGAAAATGCTTGTCTTAATCTACTTTATATTTTGAGCAACTTGCACAGCACTAGATAAGTAGTAAGTGTCAATAAATATTTGTTAACTTCATAAATTGATGATGGAAAAAAAGAGGAGTATTGGACATAAATTGGTAGAACTCATCAGGCTTTGTCAAGCTGGTCCCAGGTGAGTGCACTCTCTCTTTCTTTTTATCTTGGTGTGTGTATGTGTGTGTGTGTATATATACATATATGTTAGTGTATTTTATAAATTTTTAATATATACTGTATATTTAATACTTAAACACATAATATTTTATAAATAATTTCCTTAGAGGAATTTATAAAATATGACACATTAAAGTATTAAGTATAGAATATAGATATTTAATACTTTAATAAATATTATATATTTAATATTTAAATGTATTATATATTAAGGAATTTATACAATGCTATATAGAGTATTTTAAAGCTTTGACTATTACTTTCTAAACCACCATTAGAAAACTCCTTTTTCTATGACTCCTTCAAATAAACAAACCATATTTATGCCTCCTCCCATGAAGTTTAAATTCAATGAACCTACCTATCCCAAACTCTACCAAACTGCTTTGAATTTTAAGATTGGAATCTCAATTTTGGTGTCCAAAAGTAGATCAAATCTGACATGAGGGTAAGAAGGCTGAGTGATGGGCATCTCGCATGCCATAAACACACAGGAGCTTTGAGTCCTTTATTTTGTTCTCTAACTTTAGCAAGTACTAGGCAAGAATACCTGAAAATATTTTTGTCCCAGGGCTATTTCTGCAGGTGTCAGGCAGCCTTGCAACTTTAGCTTAATGCCCTGGAGGTAGGAGATAAGCTATCAAACGGTTCAAAGGCAGTTAGGTCCCCTAATATGTGTTTTTGTCTGTGGTAAATGTATTTGCTTTCACTCTTTAATCTGAAAATACTTATCAGCGAAACAGCAGCCATAGAGTTGGGGCAATGGCAGATTAACAATGGTTTTACAAAAGGGTGTGTTGAAGTTTCCGTTCTGTAGTAACTGCATTCTTTTAACTGCTAGAAATGCCCTTTCATAACCCAGAGACGTCTTAATCATGTCTCCTTAAAGCTGTAGGATTTTCGATGAATTAAATATCTCATCATTTACTGCACTCACCAAACCTGAGGAAATTATTTTTGAAAAATCAAATCGAAACTGTGTTATATGTGAGCATGATGTTTATTTCAAATGTACAGCTCTACTGTCCTTCTATATTTAAAGAAAGATGTCTAGCAATTACAATAACTTGACTCAAGAATCAAATATTTAGGGCAGCAAACTGTGTCTATTTCAGGGCTTGCAGCTGACGTACATTCTTAGGATATACAGGATAAACACAGTATTTCATTTCAAGTTCCTAAAAAGGGAAGTGACCATGAGCAGGATGAAAATGCTTTGTTACCACACATCATATGCGCTTGCAGCTAGCTGGAGTTTGGGCAGCTGAACTGGGCCATTAATAAAAGTCTGACACAGCCTGTGACTGAAGACATTTAAAAGGTTAACATATTTCAGTCTTTCACAGAGGCATCAAGAAATGTACATCCATAGAGTTATTAATACATTAGTTGAGCCTGTAATTATTATCCTAATGGCTCTTATCAAAAACAGCAAGAGGTAGGCAAGAAATGGATAATTACAGGATGAGCAGAGGGAGATGGCCTTTTTTTTTTTTTTTTTTTTTTTTTTTTTTCAAAAAGCTTTCCATCAGCATAATGACCAGAGTATCTGGGACTCATTCTGAATTGCATTAACCAGATGATGTGATTATTAAGTAACTTACTTAATTAGCTCTGTTCACCAAAGGTTAGTGCAATCCAGCTTCCCCATCCCTCCCCACTACCTGCCCCAGGTAGAAGCTGCCCTCCTTCCCTTCCAATAAACAGCCATGCATCCTCTTCGACCAAGCCTGAAAGTATCATTGTTTCCATGACATTTTCCTTAACTCTATGAAAGGAAACTGTCTCCCCATCCATCCATCCATCCATCCATCCATCCATCCATCCATCCACCTACATAATTTTCTATGTCTTTCCAAAATGGATCTGAGTTGGCTGTCAGCGGACCATTTACTAAAATAAGATTTTTAAAAATCTAGTGATAAAAATAAGGGAATAAAGAGAAAGTAAGAGAGAGAGCAGAGAAGAGACACTCTGGAGCACAGTCAGTGTGCAGAATGAATGCCATATGGTTCTACAGGGTTACCACAGATTGTACCCACATTTGTCTTTTCTCTCCTTTATAGCTAAGACAAAGAAAAACTACATATATTATCACTTGTAAAGTCAACTGGTCCTTAAGGCAAAAATGAACCAGTGGCTGAGAAGAAGCACAGCTTTTCTTTTCTTTTTTTTTTTTTTTTTTCTAAAATCAAGATACTGCTTGTCCCACGTCTTCATAGGGCAGCCACCATGTGAAGCTGTGCATGTCACCTTCCATGGTGTCCCCACCACCGACACAGTGGCACATTTCTTAGGGCTGTCTGGGGGCAGCTGGTGGCATAACATTAACTTGAAAACCAGTAAAGGAAAATTAATGAAAGACCAAAATGGAAAAGTCCCTTAGTACCTTTGATTATTGCAGTTTAAGCAATTATTGTAGTGTTTCTTGTTTCTTGTTTAGTTTTCTATCTTTGCGTTAAGTCAATTCCTTAAGACAAAAATAATAGGATTTTATTCACCTGTGAATCTATAGAGATGAATAGTGCCTGGAACTGTTAATATTTCTCAAATGAATTAAATAATGTGCTGTAAATACAGGATTTTTTTTTTGTTTATCGCTTTGCTTTTTTTTAATTAAAGAAAATGCCCTTTCTTGGAGTAATCCTAAAAAGTTGAGAAGGTGGATTAGAATAATCAGCAGAGAGGCCTCGGAGAGTTATCCCGGCAGAGAAGCCTCGGGGAGGTGTCCCGGCGGGGGAGCCTCGGGGAGGTGTCCCGGCGGGGGGGCCTCGGGGAGGTATCCCCTTTTTGCTGTTTATGTTTATGGTGCCAGCTCATGCAAGGGATGCTGTAATGGTTAATTTTATGTGTCAACTTGTCTGGGTCACAGTGCCCAGATATGTCATAGAACATTATTCTGGATGTTTCTGTGAGGGTGTTTTCGGTGAGATTTAAAATGCTGGACTTTGAGTAAAGCTCATGGTGCTCCACATTTATAAGTGGGCCTCAACCAACCAACTGAAGGACTGAATAGAATGTAAGACTGATAAGACTGACTTTCCCTTCTCCCAGCAAGAAGGAATTCTCTGGAAGACTGTCTTTGGACTCAAACTGAAACTCTTTCCCGTTTTCAGCCTGCCAGCTTCCCCTATCAAATTTTGGACTCTCCAAGCCCCCACAATCATCAGAGCCATTTCTTAAAATAAATCTCATTTTTATATATCTACATCTTCATCCTATAGTTTCTGTTTCTCCAGAGAACTAATAAAATGCATCCACTCACTGGTCATCTGTAAGGAGGCTACACTTCTTTTTTTTTCTTTTCTTTTTTATTTTATTTTATTTTATTTTTTTTGAGACGGAGTCCCGCTCTGTTGCCCAGGCTGGAGTGCAGTGGCGTGATCTCAGCTCACTGCAAGCTCCACCTCCCGGGTTCACGCCATTCTCCTGTTTCAGCCTCCCAAGTAGCTCATACTACAGGCGCCCGCTACCACGCCTGGCTAATTTTTTTTTTTTTTTGTATTTTTAGTAGAGACGGGGTTTCACTGGGTTAGCCAGGATGGTCTCGATCTCCTGACCTCGTGATGCGCCTGCCTCGGCCTCCCAAAGTGCTGGGATTACAGGTGTGAGCCACCACTTGAGTGTCCTCTCTTGCCTTGACACATCCCACGTTTCATCCCAATCATCACAGCCGCTGCTGATAACTTTGTAGCATGTGGCTGAGAGTCTTCTTTGGAAATGCAGCAGATCCATTGTAAATAGGAATCCAACTAATGAGAAAGCAAGACCATGGAAAGCCAGAGCCATGAAGGCGTGGAAAACCAATTCACTCAGTCCTGCTACTCCTGTTTCTTGCTCTGAAGAGAGGCCTAGGAGTGGCTACTTTAAGCCGGAAGTGCACAGGCTTTGCAGTCGGGCAAAGGAGGATGCGCAGTGGCATTTAAGGACCGATAACTAGGAGTTGGAAGGGTATCAGGCCATCCCAGGGGATGTTACAATGGAGAGAGGTAAACATAAAAGCCACATGCGTGGCTTTTTACCCAAGCATGGCACTAATTAAGAACATGGAACACAAAAACAATCTCTGGAATTTTACAGGTTTCAGGAGTGTAAGTCCCCAATTGATGAGATTAAGTTTCTACCATGTAGCAAAACAGAGGTTTGAAATGAATATTGCCCATGTACAGAAAATACAATTACATTCTTGCAAAATTGATTTTTTGCAGGCTGAGATTAATATCTGCTCCAAAACTTAATATTGTAGAGTAAATGGTGACACATCATTAGTACTTAGATTACATATATTAACATATTAATATAGATGAGTATCATAAAATAACATACTTATATATAATGGTAAATAAGAAAAATATAAAGCTGAGTGACGATGTAGAATAAACCACTGGTTCTGTGGGCAAACAAAACTGTATTTGAATCCCAGATTCATGACTTGACCCGGGAACTTCAGGCAGGTACTAATATTTTCTTAGGTAGTGGTTGCATTTTAATCTGTAAAATGGAGACAATCTTTTGACCTTGGAGGAATTTTGTCAGAAATAAATTTGATTAAAAATCTAAATCATTGAGTCCAGTTTCTGACCAAATAGTGCTCAGCAGATGGTGTTTCCTGGATTCTGTCCCAGTGTGTAAAATATGTATGAATGAGGAGGACGCCTGGAAGGAAATAAATAAAACCGAAAACACATTTGTTGGGGTGATGAAATGATGCATGATTAATTTTTCACTTTTCAAAAATTTCTGCAATGTTGCATCATTCTTTTAACAATAATATATATACTATATATATACATACATATATATATACTATATATACACATACATATATACTATATATATACATATATACTATATATACACATACATATATGTACGTGTGTGTGTATATATATATTATATAATATATAATATATATAATATATTATATAATATATAATATATTATATATTATATAATATATATAATATAATATATATATATTATATATATAATATATAATATATATAATATATATAATATATATAATATATATATAATATATATATAATATATAATATATATAATATATATTATATATAATATATATATCTGAGAAAGCTTTTCACCAAGCTCTACAGTCCACAAAGTAAACAGAGGAATGTGTCAGATAAATTTGGCTTCTCTCTCTGACCCTGCTGCCTTACACAGAGAGGGGCGGAGCAACGGGGGAGCCCAAGCACTTCCTTTTTGGTTAATCAGCCTGACCCACTGATTGCGACACTCCAGAGCCTCATGCTTTTCTCAGCCTTTAAGTATCTTTCTGAATTGCTGTCCAAGGGCAAATTTTTCCTGTCAAACAGACCTGCAAGGTTGCTAGGCACATACAAGGAAAAAGAGATTCTGGTTACTCAATACTTGTTTTGCAAAGTCTGTTTAAAAAAAATTGCATCATATCTCATTTGATGATTGTGCAATGCAGGGTGGATACCTAAACTGAAAGTTAAGTAAGACTGAGCTGTCGGCACCTTTGCAATTGAGACATCCATTTATACGCCAGTGGAAAATATTCAGTTGTTATTAGTTTTAAGTAAAAAAAAGGGGGATAAAGCCAATGAAAATAGACCCCAATGCTCCCTGCACAGATAAAATACACACAGAAAATTTCCTATCCTGTTTCTTCTCAGGTATTTGGTACATTATGCTCCTGTGATGAATATAAATAGGATTAGTCTTTGGATCCTGCCAATTCACCTGGGGTTGTCTTTTAGTACAAAGAGTACCGATTAGGGAATTGCCCAATCTGGATGCAAATCCTGATGACTGGCAAATGACTTAATCTCGCTGAGTGGGATTTTCTTCCTCTTTATGATGAGGATGGTAATAGGAAGTCAGAAATTAGTGGAGAATAACTGTAAAGGACTGAGGCTATAGCCTGGCATGCATAGGGGATCAATACATATTAGTTCCCTTCCAACTCTTAATTTTCCTCATCTTAAACTGCTCGCCGTAATGGGTCCTGTTTCATGCTCACTTATCAAACATCATTCCGCCCCAGGACCTACATTAATACTTGGGGTGGGGTCAACAGATACAGGGAAGAGTCAGCCATGGGCACTGCCCTTCACATGCTCACAGTTTATTGGTAGAAGAGGCACATCTGTGAGTGGATTCTGGAAATAGCAGATGGCAGGGCATCATAAGGGAGAAGTTTATGGAGCCTGGGGAGGCAGGTATGGAGGGAGATTGAAGAAGGAGAAATACTTCTACACTCAGAGGTGCCAGAAATCACTGTGCAAGAGCTGGGCTTCCATCTAATGGTGTACTATAAGCAAAGCACAGTCCTAGGGAATTTGAGCTGTGTCCCTAAAAACAAAACCATCAGCTCATAGTCTGTTTACACAGTTGCTTCTCTAGTTGGTGTTTCTCTAACTTTGGGGCATCATTCACCCTCTGCAAATGTCCGTTTCCTCAACCTCCAAACATGGTCAACATTCCATGCTTCTTGAGTATGTGTTCTGAGGGAAGAGTTGGCAGTGCAAGAGAATGGGACAGGATGGGGAAAGGGAATTAGTGTTCAGTGATATAATTGACATGAAATTGGTTAAATATAAAATCTTGGGAAAACGTGAGACATTATTATGGTGCATAATTACATGCTTAATACAAGAGATGTGGGTTTTGAATCAGACAAAGGACTCAATGTTTTGCACAGATTCAACACTGGTACTTTGAGTAAACTGGATACTTCTTTGTTGATCTAAAGGGAAGAAACAGACAATCCCCAGTCGAGAGTTTCCACAAGCAGTTGAAGTGCATTGCTCAGCCGCAGCTCATTCCCTCACCCAGCACATGCTCTGTTACACTTTCTACTGTCTTTGGCACAGAAAGTGCACACACATATTCTCAAAGGGAAAATGCCATGCAAATGACACATTTTTCACAAGATGTGGAATTTCTTGTGTCTGTGATAGGCCTGAAGGCTCAGAGATAGGTACGATTTTTAAAATTGTTGTCATAGAACAAATAAACTTGAACTGAAGCCTCTATCCAAACACACCTGACACCTAGAAATTGGGAACCTTTGGCATCAGTCCAGCAATAGCAGTTTTTTGGGTGCTTGACGGCACTTTAAACTCAAAGTTAATTTAGCAAGTGTGTTTCCAGAAATGACAGAAAAGGACTGTCATAGGACTTTGAAATTTTAACCTGCAAATTTCAGATACGGTTGTTAATAGAAAAATTCTTATAAAAGTAGCATAATAATCCTTTTAGGGCTTAAATTTTTTTATTCAAAATATCAAATGATATTATTTATAGATAACATTAACTCAGTCATTCACAAATACTAGAGATATTTGTTTATTTTTCCCCATTATTATTTTATGTATTCAATCTTTTTTGTCTTACTATGGCTTTCTTGATATTTATTTTATATTTTGGTTATAACACCACAATGATTTATTCTTTTCTTTTGCCAAGTTGTTCCAGCTTCTGCCGCTGGGAACTCTTTCAGTTGGTTCCTGTGTTCCTCTAAAACACCCCATCAATGTGTGTGTGTGTGTGTGTGTGTGTGTGTGTGTGTGTGTATTAAGCATTTCTACTTTCTGGCATTACAAGATGCTCCAAGCTCATTTTGTGCATTCCCTACTCCAGTGCTAGAACCAGCCATATCTCCAAGAAGCCCTGGTTCTTTTTCTTCAAGAATGGTTTTAGAGGCCAGGCGCAGTGGCTTATGCCTGTAATTCCAGCACATTGGGAGGCCGAGGCGGGCGGATCACGAGGTCAGGAGATCGAGACCATCCTGGCTAACATGGTGAAACCCCATCTCTACTAAAAATACAAAAGAATTAGCCAGGCTTGGTGGCACATGCCTGTAGTCCCAGCTACTAGGGAGGCTGAAGCAGGAGAATCGCTTGAGCCAGGGAGGAGGAGGTTGCAGTGAGCCAAGATTACGCCACTGCACTCCAGCCTGGGTGACACAGCAAGACTCCATCTCAAAAGAAAAAAAAAAAAGAATGGTATTAGAACCCCAAATCTGGGCACTAGTTATACTCATTCAATTGGGGTGTCATTGTTTCTACACCCTCTTGGCCAACAGAGCAAGGAGACGTACATGTGTATACCAACCCACTTATATAAACATATCTGTATATATTTCTACATTTAACTATCTGTATCTATACTAAGCTAAACATGAGTTTGCACTCATGTCTCCAACTCTAATCTATTGCCACATGGATGATTCTAGCTTTTTCCTTTTGCTTGTCTACTTCAACAGTTAAAAAACGAGGCCTCCACAATCCACCATCCATTTACCAATGGCTCAATTTTTGTATATATTTATAACTGTATCAGTATTATTAACCTGTAGCCTCACTGGAAACTACTTTATCAACTAGAGTATAGGTCTTATGTACAGTTGCTTTTGCCTTTGTTCTTGTAGTAATCACTCATTTCCAAAGTTGATTAGGGTAGCATCTTCCTTCACCTTCCCTGTAGCCTTCAGTGAGATTATCTCATACATTTGAAATACAACTAGATTATCTTTGTGACAGTCTGCATTTCCTGCTAGAACTAAGGTTGCTGAACCAACCTCCTATATGATTTCTTTTTCAAAATTGTATACATTCAGTTCCATTCTCTGTGCTGTGAATTTCCATGGGTTTTGATCATACATAACGTAAAATAGTCATCCTTCCAGTATCATACAGAATAGTTTCCCCTACCTAAAATATCCCCTTGCTTTATTTCTTTAACCCTCCTCCCTACCCAAAACCCTGGAACACTGACTTCTTACCATCTCTGAAGTTTTGCCTTTTGCAAAAGATTATGTAAACTTAAGTTTATAGTATTTATCCTTTTTTCAGATTGGCTTCTTCCACTTAATGACACACAGAGAAGATTAATTCTTTATTTGTGGCATGGCTTTGATAGAACATTCCTTTTATTGCAAAATATTATTTCATATTATTCCACTGTATGAATGTACCTAAGTTTATTTTTTCATTTACTTACTGAAAGACATCTTGGTTGCTTCCAGTTTTTGCTGAATATTTAAGGGGCAGTTTGGGAGACTGAGACAGGAAGATCACTTGAGGCCAGGAATTTCAGACCAACCTGGACAGCAAAGTAAGACCCCATCTCTAGAAAAAAACGAAAAAAATTCGCTGGGCACACTAGTATGTTCCTGTGGTCCCAGCTACTTGGGAAGCTGAGGTGGGAGGGTCACTTGAGCTCAGGAGGTCAAGGCTGTAGTGAACCCTGGTAATGCCACTGCACTCTGGATTGACTAATAGAGCAAGACCTTGTCTCTCTCAAAACATAAATGAAAACAAAAAACAGCTTTATGACAATAACAGCTTTAAAAACCCATCCATCTAGAATTCACTAGAGTGAGCAGAATGGGTTTAAAGCTCCCTGAAAGCCCCATTCTCTGATAATTATAATTTTCCCTGTCTGGGAGCTCTGTAAAATGCTCTATTCACATTTTAGAAGGGCTTCTCTTCATTTTACCTAATGTAGGGCTTGCTTTAGAAAACAATGTTATACCTGGGAAATTTGTTGCAAACAGTAAATGGTGATTGTTTAACATCACAGTTGCATGAGGCAGTAATATAAGTTGGGTCTGAAAAAAGGCTGACCAAAAAAATTTAAAAAGAAAAGCCAGAGAATGGTATGTTCATAGAGAGCTTTGAAAAGTTTCTATATACCTTATTTCTGGTTAACACTAAAAATCTGCACAAGCAGAAAGTAGGGCCTAATCAGAGTTGTAAATTGCCTGTCATAAAACTGAAAATTTTCACCACACTACGTACTAACATACAGCCCCTTAGCAAAGGCTGGGAGCCTTATTGGTTCAAGGCACTTAAGACAATGCCTGCCAAACATTAGCTGAACAATGAGTTAGCCCAATTGGAGACATCAGTGGCTATGCTTGACAAAAAATATAGACATTACAAATTAATACAAGAAAGTCACTAAACAAACAGTGATGACAACAACAACAACCAATAATAACAACAAAGTCAGGGAAGGGATTGGAGGTCTGAATTTGCTGCATTATGTTATTTAACATGTCCATCTTGCAACAAAATAATTGTGAGACATGCAAGGACACAGGAAAGACCCTCAGGAAGCCCAGATATTGGACTTACTAGACAAAGACTTTAAATCAGCTATTGCAAATAGATGAAAAAAAGAGAAAGGAAATCTGGTATAAAGAAGTAAAGAGAAGTATGAGAATGATGTCTTACTAAGTTGAGACAACAAATAAAGAGATAAAAATTATAAAATAAATACCAAATATAGATTTGGGAGTTGAAAAGTCCAATATTTGAAATTAAAAATTCACTAGAGAGGCTCAACAGCAAATGTGAGCTGGTAGAAGGAAGAATTGATTAACTTGAAGATTGTTCAATTGAGATGATCCATGTGAAGGAATCAAAACAAAACAAAAAGAGAAAAATAAACATGTGGGATAACATCAAGCAGACCAATATGCACATTATGACAATCAAAATGAAGAAGAGAAAGGGAAAGCATACTTAAAGAAATAATGACCATAGCCCTCCAAATTTGATGAAAAACATTAATCTAAAAATTCAAGAAATTTAACAAACTCCAGATGGAATTAACTCAATGAGATTTACACTTGAAACACATCATAAACTATCAAACCTGAGAGGCTCATTGAAGTAGCGAGAGAAAGACAACTAGATGTATACAAGGGATTCTCAAGGTATTCTCTAATATAATTCTCTTATCTTCTTCATATAAGCCAGAAGGCAGTAGAAATGACCTTCTAAGTGCTGAAAGAAAAAAGGCAATTAATCAAGAATTGTATGCCTGCAAAACTATCCTTCAAAAACAAAAGACAAATTAAGACATTCACAGACAACCAAAAACTGAAGAATCTGTTATTAGTAGAACTTCTCTACATGAAATAGTAAAGGTTAATTCTTTAGACTGAATTGAAAAGTCACTAAACCAGTAACTCCAGTCTATATGAAGACATGAAGTACATGGTTGAAAATAACTTGCTAAGATAAATGTAAAAGACAGTAAGAATTTTTTGTTTGAAACTCTTTTTTTTTTTTGAGATGGAGTCTGGCTCTGTCGCCCAGGCTGGAGTGCAGTGGCGCGATGTTGGCTCACTGCAAGCTCCGCCTCCCGGGTTCACGCCATTCTCCTGCCTCAGCCTCCCGAGTAGCTGGGACTACAGGCACCCGCCACCACACCGGGCTATTTTTTTGTATTTTTAATAGAGACGGGGTTTCACCATGTTAGCCAGGATGGTCTCGATCTCCTGACCTAGTGATCTGCCCGTCTCGGACTCCCAAAGAGCTGGGATTACAGGCATGAGCCACCGCGTCTGGCCTGAAACTCTTTTATTATTTAAAAAACACCTGCATAAAACAATAATTATAAAACTGTGTTTATGTATTTTATGTGTAAGATAATTTATATGACAATAATAGAACAAAGGAGGTTGGAAGAAACAGAGCTCTATGAGACCAAGTATTGTGTTTCAATGAAATTAAGTTGGTATTAATCCAGACTAGATTGTTTCAAATTAAGATGTTAATTATAAGTGGCAGAAAAACCACTAAGGAAAAAAATACACACATCATGTGTCTTAGGAGACACTCAAAAGAACACAAAAAAGAAGTGGACAAGAAACACTGAAAATTTGAGACAAACAGTAAAACAAAATGGTAGAAATAAATCTAAACATATCAGTGATCATGACAAACGGGCTAAGTGCTCAAATTAAAATAAAGATTGTTAAACAGGATTAAAGGAGTCCAGTGGTATATTCTTTCATAGAAGGATATAAACAGTAGGAGGTTAAATAAATGTTAAAATTAAAGCAATAGGAAAAGAAAGATAACAGCCAAATGAAAGCCAAAGAATAACTGCGATAACTACAATAATACCAAACAAAATTGACTTTAAGATAAAAGCATCACTAAAGATAAAGGCAGTCAGTAATTAATTGTATTAGTCCGTTCTTACATTGCTACAGATACACTATCTGGGACTAGGTAATCTATAAACAAAAAGGTTTAATTGACTCACATTTCCTCATGGTTGGGGAGGCCTCAGGAAACTTACAATCATTGCTGGAGGCAAAGGGGAAGCAGGCACCTTATCCACAAGGCAACAGGAGAGAGAGAGAGAGAGAGAGAGAGAGAGACAGAGAGAGAGAGAGAGGAAGAGAGACAGAGAGAGAGAGAGGAAGTGTCGCACTTTAAAACCATCAGCTCTCATGAGAACGTACTCACTATTACGAGAACAGCATGGGGAAGACTGTCCCCATGATCCAATCACCTCCCAAAAGGTCCTTCCCCCAACACGTAGGGATTACAATTAGTGATAAGATTTGAGTGCGAACACAGAGCCAAACCATATCATAAATATTCAAATGTCTATTTTGAACTTGTTTACAGCTAATCTTCAAAAATGTGCTTAAAAATTTTAACTGACAATACCACATTAACAAATCAACAAATCTACCATTGTTTAAGATTTTAATACACTTGTCTCAGTAACTGATAGAGTTGAAAAATAAGACTTTTGTAGAAAATTCAACACATATAACATGCTTGATCTAATGGTTATATGCAGAACACTACATCCAATAGGTGCATAGTATAAGTTTTAAACACACACCGAATGTTTAACAAAGCTAACCATTTGGTGAGCTATAAAGAAATCTCAAAGACATTTCAAAGGACAACCTTCATACAGACAATATTCTTTTACTGAAATGTAATTAAGTTGCTAGAAAGAGAAGACTTAGACTTAGAAAAAAAAAGATACTTTTAGAAATCATTTATAACTGAAAATGAAAATATTACACAATAAAACAGTGGAATGAAG